>NC_000014.9:102944715-103247715 GCF_000001405.40 Homo sapiens
CCTCGGGGGCTGGTCCAAAGGCTCCTCTGCCTCTGCTGCTGTGCACACCCCTCAGTGCACCAGGGCTCCAGCTGGGCAGCGCTTCCACCTGGGTCCTCGCGCAGCAAGGCCCTGGGGTGATCTGGGCCTCCTTCCAGCTCATCCCCGAACCAGAGGGCCCTCACGCTGCACATGAGGGACAAAGAGCTGTCCCCAACCCACTGGGACCCTGAGACAAATCCTCTGAAGACGCTGCCCTCACAGGGCCCCCAGTGAAGACACTGCCCTCACACTCACACGGCCCCCAGTGAAGACGCCGCCCTCACACGGCCCCCAGGCTAACCCAAGCCCCTCGCTTGCTCAGATCTCCCCACAGAGCTGCCAGGGTACGGCCTCGCCCAGCGGCTGCCCCGCCCTTCTCGCTCCACGGCCATCACATGCAGAGATGCTGGGTCTGTCGGGAAAGGACTATGGCTCACATGAAATGTCGCTGGATTCCTTGAGGGATGCTCCCCTGGGCCCCTGCCCCCTGCCCATGGCCAGTTCCAGTCTCCTGACGTTTCTGCTCCTAGACCCAGGGCTGTGGAGCGGGTGCATGCCAGGATACCTTTGCCCTTCCTCGCTGGGAAGACTGAAGTGTCAAAATTGGAAGCAAAGAAACTAAAGCTTCTCAAGTGAAGCCTCAGCACATGTGGGAAAGCTGCAGCTGTTCCTCCTCCCAGGGGGCTTTCCTTGACCCCCCACCCACTCCCGCTCAGTGCTCCCCTTGAAGAACTCGATGGATGTGATACGCAACTTAGCACCGCGTCGCCATGCACTCGATGCCGGTCTTCACGGCACGCTGGCCCCTCCGGCGCCTTCATCAAGCGCATTTGTCTTAACCCTTAGGAGCTACTGACCCTGTGCTGTCTGCAGAGGCCAGGCTGGGCCTGTGACATCCCAGGCTGGAAACGCCCTGCTCACTCACCATCTCGGGTGACCTCTATGACATAGAGCCCTTCTTCTAGGCCGACTGCAATCCTGTCTGCATCTGTGGAGGGGTAAGTAACATACACAAAGTCAGTACAGCCGACCGTGAACAATATGGGTTTGAATGCGTGGGTGGGCTCATTCACAGATACTTTTCAACCATATGTGGATGAGAATACAGCATTCCAGGGATGTGACACTTCAGTATCGGGGGTGACTTTCTCTCTACACGAACTCCACAGGGCCGGCTGACTGTGGGATTGAGTCTGCAAGGATTTGGGTGTGTGTGGGGCTCCTGGAGCTGACCCTCAGGCTTAGCCGGGGCCAACTGTACTGTCCGCACAGGTCATCTGCTTTTTTTTTGAGACGGAGTCTCGGTCTGTCGCCCAGGCTGGAGTGCAGTGGTGTGATCTCGGCTCACTGTAAGCTCTGCCTCCTGGGTTCATGCTGTTCTCCCGCCTCAGTCTCCCAAGTAGCTGGGACTACAGGTGCCCGCCACCACGCCCAGCTATATTTTATTTTTATTTTTATTTTTTTTTTTAGCAGAGACAGGGTTTCACCGTGTTAGCCAGGATGGTCTCAACCTCCTGACCTTGTGATCCGCCCGCCTTGGCCTCCCAGAGTGCTGGGATTACAGGCGTGAGCCACCGCACCCGGCCTCGTCTGCTTCTTAACATGCATGGAGAAACTGTCTACAAACCCAAATGGACCTGTGACCTTCATCTGATTTTCAGATGGGCACTGCAGCGCCGCCGGAAGTGCTGTTGCTTCAGACACCTGAAGGACACAACCTTTGGGACGTACCCACGATGGCAGCTGTCAGGATGGCCTTGATGAGAGGCAGCGAGCTGTCGTAGGCTTCCAAGGGAACATGCACGACCTGATTCCTCAGCCGGTTTTTATGAAGGATGGACTGGAGTCCTTCTAGAATCCCAACCCACTTCCTCTTTTCATTCTCATTTTCTGTCAGAATGAGCAGCGAGCTGGTCTTAGAAGGTGCACCTAAGAGAGAGGCCGTCACCTTCATGACAGGAAACAGAAGAGAAGAGAGAAGTCATCAAACGCCAAAGCCGCACGCAGCTACCACGGCCCTGCTGGAGCCACGCACCCCAGGAGCAACGGGGGCTGATGTGCTTCCCAGGCAGGGACCCCTGACTCCACCTCGCTGGGCGCCTTGCAGAGGCTCCCGCGGCAGGACACGGAAGGGGCGGGGTTCTAAACAGCCCCGTGAGATCGCTTCCTGGTCCCATTTTCGTTAATTCTGCTTTTGTCAAAACTACGAGTAGCTGCCTACTTTAAATCTGCTTTCTTGAATAATCATTATAAAAGTAGATTCTGAAAATGTGTCCAGGAAAAGCAGATCTCAAAAACACTGGCCCAAATCATGCCTCCCTGTGAGCAGCCTCTGAGCACGCATGCTACCAAATGACCATCGTTCCAGTAACAATGATGGTAATTTCCTGTACTGTGTATGACAGGGTTGTTTCTGAATAGAGCTGTGATTTAGTAAAAGCTAATTTATAGACTTAGTTTTGTTATCAAAATTTTGCTGTTTATAAGAAAATTCCCAGTGGAGGGGGCTGGAGGGTTTCTTTCCCCAATTCAGTCTTCTAGGAACGTCCTAATGCTACAATGTCTAACACTAACTCAGTGAGGGAGCACTCACTCAGTCAACAAAAACGCTGGCTCCAATTGGCTGGGGGGCACTGGAGAGGCACCTTCATGCCTAACCTGCCACAGCGCCCGCCTGGCAGTGCACACGCTGTGAGGACAGTGGCCGGGACGTGGACTGAGTGGAAGAGGAGTTTCAGATGTAGGAGAAGGGAGGGTCAGTGAAGAGGGGTGTCTGGGAAGAAGCCAGCCAGGAGGCTCCCCGAGACGGGCACAGGCTGCTACTTGGCCAGGACGGGACGCACAAGGACCTGGAGCCAGGCTGGAGGTTGAGACCCTAGGGCCACACTGGAGGTGCGCTGATGGCTGCCGCAGCACAATGACATGCCTAGAACAATCAGTTTTAACCATGTGCTTTGTTAAAAAGATTAATGAAAAATTCATACCCTGAATATACATGGAATATCTCGGCGTGTAGCATGAATGACATCTGAGGCCAGGACTGAGCTCACGGAAAACTCGTCATCTCTGGTAAGGAAGAAACATTGACCCCGCTGGGAGACACGCGCACAGGACCCAAGGCCCTCCCACGCCCTGCCCTGCCCTGCCCTGCCATGTCCTTCCACCACCGTGTTCTGCAGTGGAGGGCGGGTCCCTCGCCTCCCCAGATGTAAGAAACACGGGCAGGGCCAACAAACTCAAGACTCTGGCAGGTGTTTCAGGGCTTAGGGATGCCGCAAGGGAAACCCCGGAGCCTCATCCCCACTGTGCTGGTGCCTCCAGACTATGCCAGTTACAGAAGACTCGGTTTGCACTTGGCACAGCCAGGCAGTCCCTCCAACAGCCAAGTGCAGAGGACAAGTGGGGTGAGGGGTGTGGAAGTGAGGGGGGAGTGGGAGGGAGTGGGGGGTGGTGGGGGGTGGGCGTGGAGGTGACAGGGGAGTGGGGGGTGGGTGTGGAGGTGGAGGGGAGTCGGGGGTGGGGTGGGGGTGGAGGTGAGGGGGAAGTAGGGGGGTGGGTGTGGAGGTGAGACGGGGAGTAGGGGGGTGGGGTGGGTTTGGAGGTGAGGGGGGTGGGGGGTAGGTGTGGAGGTGAGGGGGGAGGGTGGGGTGGGTGGAGAGGTGACGGGGAGGGTGGGGTGGGTGTGGAGGTGAGGGGAGGGTGGGGGGTGGGTTTGGAGGGAGGTGAGGGGGAGTGGGGGGTGGGCTTGGAAGTGAGGGGGAGTGGTGGGTGTGGAGGTGAGAGGGAGTGGGGTGGGTGTAGAGATGAGGGGGAGTGGGGGCTAGGTGTGGAGATGAGGGGGTGGGGTGGGTGCGGAGGTGGGGTGGGTGCAGAGGTGGGGGGGTGGCTGTGGAGAGGGGGAGTGGGGGGTGGGTTTGGAGGTGGGGGGGTGAGGGAGTGGGGGTGGGTGTGGAGGTGAGGGGGGAGCAGGGGGTGGGTGTGGAGGTGAGAGGGGGAGCGGGGTGTGGGATCAGTGTGGAAATGCTGTTCTGAAGAGGTTCCCTAAAGAGTGCTGAGCCCTCCGATGGGGCCCCTGACTTGGGCTCATGCCAACTTTTCGTCTACCAGTGGCCCTTCACCACCAGGCCAGGGGCACACCTGTGCACAGCCAGGGACTGGCGGGTGCCCCGGGGGAAGGGACATGGAAAGTGGAGTATGCTGCCAGGTGATGCCGACTCACCCTCGCTGTCCTCAGGGTACCCACCCAGCAGCCCTGCCCCCAAGAACCAATGCTACAGATGGAGTACCCAGCCCCGGCCTGAGCCCAGAGCAGTCCCGTGTGCACCACACAACAGACGGTGCACGGGCACAGCACAGAGATGACACAAAGGCAGTAGCATGGCTCCGTGTGCAGGCCCCGGGCTGAGCTAGGCCTCTTAGTGATGCGTTTACCTTCACAACAACATTCCACATGCCAGTAACATGACCACTGTCCTCTTCTCACTAACAGATGAGCCACAGATGTCAACTCTAAGAGGAAGTGGGAAGGAGGCCCCGCCTGCTCCTGCAGCTGACACTGGGTGGCACTGAGACAGGGTCACATAGCAAACGCTACGGCCACGCACACCCACATGGCCCACGGCTCCAGACTTCTTCCACACACCAGCACCTGCTGCGGTCTCTAAAACGCACAGACGGCTGTGGGCCGCGTGGCTTTTCTCTGGGATATCTTCTGCTTGTTCTTGGGCATGTGGTTTTCTTATGTTAAATTAATTCCCCTGTGGCAAACTTCTCAACGCAAACACATGCGAGGCAGGAAGCGTCTACAGCGCTCCCGTTCCTGCGCACGCAGGCCCGTATGCATGTCTGTTCATACGCATGTGAGCGCCTGAAGTCATGACTAAGCTGTACCCATTTTTGCAACCATACAATAATGAAGCAGGTGAAGTACTAATGAGGTGAAAGACTACTAAGGAACACACCGTCCTTTTGGCTAAAGATAGCTGAGGAAGATTCACAGAGCAAGGACAGTGCTGCCCAAACGCAGACCTGAGATCCAAGACTTGGCTCGCAATGACACCAGGCTGGGTGGATTTTCCTTCAGGCAGATCATACAGGAAGAGCTTGCAGTCACAGACGACTGCATATGCGCGCTGCCATCCCTTCTTCACCCCCGTGGGCTTTGGGACCTATGAATAAAAACAAACAGTGGCCACGTTCCACCAGGCCAGGCAGGCCGCCAGGCCCCATTACACTCGTTCACAATCTCCTTCCAGCTGCCAGGCTGGCGGCAGAGCTGTTTGGACAGAGGGATGTTTGCCCAAGAAGGCTCAAGGCGTTGCTGGGGAGGGGTCCATGCGTGGCAGCAGACGGTGCCAGGGAAAGCTGGCAGCTCAGCCAACGCTGTGTCCACCCCATGCAGGGTGCTGTGGTACACGCAGCCCGACAGTCTCGTAGAGGTGGGCCTGGCACAGTGGCTTTCAGACTGAGCTTCTGCCCACTGGCTGGACACTCAGCCCAGGATGGACTCTGAGTGAGCGTCTGCGTGGAGGCCTCAGGATGCCCAGGCCATTCAGAACAGCGGCTGCGCCGACCTGATGGCCTCAGTGCCCAGGAGGGTAAGCCCCCTAGGACTGGCACCAGGGCCACCTGCCGCAGCAAGGGGCTGCTTTCAAGAGTGGCTGGGCATGGCTATTGGTCACTGCACCTCACAGGCACCGAGGGCTGAGGGCGGAGATGAAGCCGCCTACCTTGACATGGCCTTTGTAGGCTGTTCCGATGCCTCGCTGCACGTCCACGCCCAGAGGCCTCTTGGACTGCTCGGGAGGTATTGGGCACACCTGGGGGGCACCGTCTTTGCAGGACACGTGGCAAGCAAAGGAACACACTGGAAGAGAGCAAGAACACTGCCTTCAAAGCTTGCTGCCTACAGAGAAGTCACTGCAGAACCTATGCCCTGAGGAGGCAATTTAATAATCACCAGGTCTCGCCTGGAATCCCAGCACTTTCGGAGGCCGAGGTGGGCAGACCACTTGAGGTCAGCAGTTTGAGACCAGCCTGGCCAACATGGTGAAATCCCGCCTTTATTAAAAATACAAAAATTAGCCAGGGGTGGTGAAGCGCACCTGTAATCCCAGCTACTCGGGAGGCTGAGGCAGAAGAATCGCTTGAGCCCGGGAGGCGGAGGTTGCAGTGAGCTGAGACCACACTATTGCACTCCAGCCTGGGCCACAGAGCGAGACTCCATCTCAAAAAAACAAAATAAAACAAAACAAACAAAAAATAATGATCAAGTCTCACATCAAGTCCAGACACCCAAAAAGGTAAGAACAGTTGCAAGGCAGAATCCACACAAAAGCTCAGGGTTTCTGGCATGAATGCGTCTTCAGCATGCGCACAGGGAAAGGGCCCATGGCAGAAGCCTGCTTCCATGCTGTCCCTGCCAGCCCGGGCCGCCTCCCACACGTGGGAGTTTCTACACGGCAATTCAGGCCAGCGGTCATGGGGACGTGGGGTCTTGGCAGCCAATCAAAATGTGCATGAGTTGAAATAACAAAAAACAATGCTTCTGCTATAATGTAGAATGAAGGGCATCTCTGTTCACAGACCCATGGTCAGGAAGGCGTGAGTGCTCAGAGCCAGTGCGAGTCTGGGCTCCAGGACCCTCCCACAGCACTGGGTGGCTTGGGGTGGTTGCTCATCTGTGAAATGGGGCAATCACTGAGGGGGTAAGAGCATGTCGAATCCCAGCACAGGGCAAGAGCACAAGATATAGCCTTAAAAATATGATGGGCTGGGCGCAGTGGCTCACACCTGTAATCCCAGCACTTTGGGAGGCCGAGGCAGGTGGATCACTTGAGGTCAGGAGTTCGAGACCAGCCTGGGCAACATGGCGAAACCCCATCTCTACTAAGAACACAAAAATTAGCCAGGCATGGTGGCGTGGGCCTGTCCCCAGCTACTTGGGCGGATGAGGCAGGAGAATCACTTGAATCTGGGAGGCAGCGGTTGCAGTAAGCTGAAATTGAGCCACTGCACTCTAGCCTGGGCAACAGAGTCAAACTCTTGTCTCGAAAAAGAAATAGAAAAAAAGAAAAAAAATACGAATGACGACCAGAAGCAGAGACAAATAATTGTGGTTATCTTTAGATAATTTGACAGTGGAAGGTTTTACACAATTACTTTTCCTCTCTGATTTTCTAGAACAGCTGCAGATGATCTACTTCGTAGTAATTCTCAGTAGATGAGTTGAGTCACCACAGAGGCGCACAGCACAATGGAGCCCCCAGCACAGCAGGGATCCACGGTTCCACAGACCTTTACTGAGGATTTGTAAAAATAAACCTGCCAGGCTGGGTGCAGTGGCTCATGCCTGTAATTCCAGCACTTCGGGAGGCTAAGGCGGGAGATCACTTGAGTCCCAGAGTTTGAGACCGGTCTGGGAAACAAAGTGAGATCCCTCAACTCTCTACAAAAAAAATTTAAAAATAGCCAGGCATGCTGGTGGTGTGTGTGTCTGAGGTCTCAACTACTTGAGAGGCTGAGACAAGGGAATCGCTTGAGCTGAACTGTGATTGCACCACTGCACTGAAGTCTGAGTGACAGAGTGAGACCCTATCTCCCCACTCCCCCTAAAAAAAACCCTGTCCTCAAATCATGCCAATGACATTTCACTTTAGTTTGGTTTGCTTGCATCAGGGCTGCCCTGGAGCCGGCTGGTGCCCTTAGCTGCAGGGGTGTGGGGCTGTGCACGCTGACCCCAGGAGCTGCAACGACACTCACCCTCGCAGGCGTAGCCCTGCCGGATCAGCCCAACCATCAGGGAGGTGCAGTGGCTGCACTGAGTAGGGCTGGAGAAGGACTTGATGCTGAACTGGTGAGCTTTTGGCTGGAAGGAGAAAATCAAGAACACTGAGGTGAACCATGGACTCTTGAGAGTCAGATCCATCTGCCTGTGATCCAGTTTATACACAGCTTGGGCATTATCCTGAAAAGGTGGAAATGTGCAAGTTCTGGTCTTGGTCTACGTGTTCCCTAACAGGGCTCATCAAATAGTGGTGAAAACCACCTACGAGCCTGAGCCAGAGAGAGGCCAACAAATACTTCCTTCAGTGGGAGAGCACTGCTACCAAAAAGCGAGGTCAGCTGGGCCAGAGGGCCGAGGTGGCATGGCCAGTGCTCTTTCTGGCTCATGCTCCTGGCCTCCTGGAGACCAGCACCAACTGGCTCTTGGGGGCCGACCTGGGGCCACATTTAGGTTGGGCTGCACACAGGCCTTGCATGTGTCCAAGAGACACCCAAGAATCACCGACAGGAGGACAGTTCATAACAGCAAACGCCTGGAAAGGCTCACGGTCCCTCATCAGGAGTGGACACATTGTGAACCCAGCGGCAACTGCAGCAGCCCCAAGGCTGAACAGAGGGTCGTGGTGCAGGCCATGCGGGACCGCCTGTTTACCAAGCTCAGGCGCAGCAGAGACCAATACGATCCTCAGCAGGAAACAGATGTGGGTGAGACCACTTGCAAGAAGTAGGGGAGTGACCGACACAAACTCCAGAGAGCTGTGGGGGAAGAGGCTGGCTGAGGTGGGCAGGGAGGCCGTGGGGCGGTGGCCGGGCCATCAGGACTAGGAGTGACACACCAGCACTCTGCAGAGTTGCTATCAAATATGGTAACCAAATAAACGACCTCGCGACTTGGTCCCTGACTCTGCAAGAGTCTTAGTCCAAAAGCCAAACCCTTAGGTAGCCTCATAGAAGTTTGGCTTCTTACGTCCAGCCGGCATAGCTGCCTGTGGCAGGAAGCACAGGCAGAGGCCGTGTCTACATTAACAACAACAAAAACCACCTTAGGCCACAGGGCTACGTACTCGCAATGCTTGGAACTCAGGGGCCCGTCACCCTGGAGACTTTCTGATCTGCGTTGATGTTTATATGAAAGAAAAGGGGATGTTACAGAAGAAGCCGAGGCCAGGACAGGGGAGCAGGGGCCCAGTGGGGCCGCTGTGCTGGCTCTCCAGGATGCACTTGTGGAAAGGATGAGGCTCAGAACCGCACATGCACTGCAGGGCCGTTTATGCTGGGAGTCATTCTCACCCACCAGCCACATGGTTCTGTAAGGTTCTCTAAGTGCAGGCAGACAAATGAAAATCAATGTGGAGAAGTAAGCTGCCTACCTGTGGAGAGGGGAATATGGCTTGGGGAATGAGAGAAGGAGAGTGGGGAGACTGAATGCTGAACTTTTCCAATTAAAATATATTTGTGTAGCACTGGTATCATTAAGAAAACACAGGGTCCTGACAGCTTCCTGAATTACACACCATTCTCAACAACTTTCCTACAGAACATGAGGGTCGCTACTGTGTGTATGCAAAAATGACTAAGTATGTTTTATTTATACAAAACTTATTTTCTAAATAACTGAGAATAAATAAACAACTAAATAACTAAGAAGGCGCCCCGGGTGAAAGCAAGGCCCCTACCTTCGGTCCAGCCAGAGCCAGGGCCTGCGTGGTGGGCAACGGCACAGCGGATGGCCTCTGCGGGGGCCGAGCCATGTCCTGGGAGACAAGCAGGACAGGTGAGTGTCGGCCCAGCTCAGCATGGCTGAGACACCTGGCCCTACGGGGTGCACTTCTCTCAAGAATGTGTTAACAGTGAACAGTTCTGCATTTTTAATTTGCTACAATGTTGAGACATCTGCGGAAGCCTCCCTCATCTAGGGGAGGGACTGACAGTTAATTCTCAAAATGAAAGGTGGGCTTGAGCACCTGGGCAGAGGCCCTCGCTGCAAACTGTTATGCAGGGGCCAGGTGAGCAGCATCTGGTCACCTGGACACGAGGGCAGACCCCAGGTGGGAGCATCACCAGGGCAACGCTGTCTCACCTCCTGCTGCTCTGATGCAGCCACAGACATCGACGGGGACGCTTCTGGCTTCGGAGCTTGTGTTTCTTGCTCACTAGCTGAGCTGGTCTGTGAGAACCAAGAAAGAAAGAGTGGGGTGAAAGGACATATTCTACATGATCCAGACTCTACTTACAAGTTCTTTACTAATAAAAGCAGATTCTGTCTAGCCCAGAAGTCCCAGCGGTTCTTACTCCTGGATCCTATCACCCCTTGGGTCTCCTCACAGACCCCTGCTCCACTCCCAGCTGGCCGGCCTGCCCTGAGGACCCCTGCACTTGGCTTCCTCAGCTGAGTGGTGATTGCGTGGGCAGGTGGAGTCTGACAAGTCACAGTCACCCCGCTGAGGTGAGAATTTGCCTGGAGACACCTCTAATGCACAGCCCTGAGCATACCCGCCCCCTCCTGCAGCCTCCTTGCCCCGGTCACTGAAAGGGCAAGACCTGGAAATGCTGATCCTTCCTGACCTTTATTCATAAGTAATGTTATCTAAGCCTAGCAGCCTTAAGATCAATTAGCCAGGCCAGGCACGGTGGCTCACGCCTGTAATCCCAGCAATTTGGGAGGCTGAGGGGGGCAGACCACCTGAAGTCAGGATTTTGAGACCAGCCTGGCCAACATGGCGAAACCCCGTCTCTACTAAAAATACAAAAATTAGCCGGGTGTGCTAGCACACACCCATAATCCCAGCTACTCTGGAGGCTGAGGCACGACAATCGCTTGAACCCAGGAGAAGGTTGCAGTGAGCCGAGATCAAGTCATTGCACTCCAGCCTGGGCA
Source organism: Homo sapiens (assembly GCF_000001405.40). NCBI lineage: Eukaryota > Metazoa > Chordata > Mammalia > Primates > Hominidae > Homo > Homo sapiens. The sequence continues at coordinate 102,955,400 of NC_000014.9, forward strand.
ACAAATCAAGACTGTCTCAAAAGAAAAAGAGAAAGAAGAAAAGATCAAATAGCCAAATGCTTCTTAACCTCATTTCAAGGATCAAGAAGAAATTCGAACATCAACAGAGGTCGGTGGGCCCATGAGTAGATTTAAGAATTTCCTTGAAAATTTTATGACACAGGGAAGCAATGTTTTGTTTTAACAAATTAAGAGTTCTAATTTCACAGTGATTTATTTGAAGCTAAAGCTACACTCTGAAACCACTTAAAAACAACTCTATTTCAACAAGTATTCCTGAAACTAATAGTTTATCATCACAGGCCACTGCTGTTTACAGACGCACATGTAGGTATGCTGAGTAGCAAGTGTTAGCACCAGCAAGCAGTGTGATGGGACACAGACATGGCTGGGTAGGCGCCTAAAGCATTGACAGCTGTATTTTGTGTTCCACATCAGAATCCCAATGAACCAAATCAGATAAACACTTTCCAACAGTTGCAATTAATTAGGCCACTGAGGAAGGAGCCAAATTCAGATGGGATGGCAGCATACACACATAAAACACACACACAACTGTGTACTGCAAATTCACAAGGGAAAGGCTAGCTCGACTGGCTAATTACCAAAGCTCAAAAATGTAAGCAAATCTGCCCCATAAACAAGGTATGTTAAGTGTTACGGTTCCATCTTTAGATAAATGAGAAAAAGAATATTAATTTTAGGCATGTAAAAGCCCCACTCGTTTCATTTAGTTGGTTAATTAATCAAAGGGATGCAGATTCAGGAACAGGAACATTGAGGAGGCTGTGCACTAACAGGAGTGAAAGCTGCGGGAAGCCAGCGCTGGCAGCCACTTACTTCTTCCCAAAAGGCTAGCAGGGAAGATGCAGACGAGGAGGAGAGAGAGTCCTTGGAGGTAACAGACAGGAGGAACAAACATCATTTCCCACCCAGTCAACACTGGCATGAAGATATATTGACTTAATCTTGGTGACAAACTGTTTCTAGTAAAAACCAACATGTTTCATGCAGGCAGCGTGGGATAAGAAGTTTCTCAAAGACAATTTTCAAAAGAGTCTGGAAGCTCTAACAGACCCAGCCCCTGATGGAGGGTTTTTTCTGTTCAACAATAAATGCCTTCCCATTTAAATCACAGAGGGATTAGCGGCCAGGCACGGTGGCTCATGCCTATAATCCCAGCACTTTGGGAGGCCAAGGCGGGCAGATCACCTGAGGTTAGGAGTTTGAGACCGGTCTGGGCAATATAGCAAGAATCCATCTCTACAAAAATTTAAAAATTAGCTGGGTGCGGTGGCGAGCACCTGTAGTGCCAGCTACTCAGGAGGCTGAGGCAGGAGAATCGCTTGAGCCCAGGAGTTTGAGGTTGCAGTGAGCTATGATGGTGGCACGGCACTCCAGCCTGGGCAGCAGAAGGAAGCCCTGACTCTAAAAAATGGTTAAGATGGTAAGTTTTATGTTATGTGTGCTTATATCACAATTTATAAATCAATTATGGGCCAGGCATGGTGGCTCACACCTGTAATCCCAGCACTTTGGGAGGCTGAGGTGGGTGGATCACCTGAGGTCAGAAGTTCAAGACCATCCTGGGCGACATGGTGAAACCCCATCTCTACTAAAAATACAAAAAAAAAAAAAAAAAAAAAAAAAAATTAGCCGGGCATAGTGGCGCGTGCCTGTAGTCCCAGCTACTTGGGATGCTGAGGCACAAGAATTGCTTGAACCTGGGAGGTGGAGGTTGTGGTGAGCCGAAACTGCACCACTGCACTCCAGCCTGGGTGACAGAGTAAGACTGTCTCAAAAAAAAAAAAAAAAAAAAAAAAAGGGAGGGATGAGGGATTAGCAAGGGCAGGCGTGCTGGCTGTAGAGAATGAGGCATGAAGATGCCGCCTCTGTCTCCATCTCTGCTGCCCACTCTCCACAGCTGTGACTCACACACTCATGGACAGTACTGGCTGTAAACTCACTTGCTACCGGGCCCTCTACTCTGTTAATGTTACAGAAAGCTACCGCTTTCCTGGCCGCCTCCATTCAGTGATCAAGCACCATCTCTGGTTCTCTGGAATCCACTTATTCCTCCCCACAGCAGTGCCCGGCTCCGCAGCAACGAGAGAGGCAATGACTTGTGCAGAAACAGGCTTATCAAAGATCTGGCGGGCACTTACCGGTTAAATAGATTTGCTTCTTCAAAACTGTGGATTTCAGGGAAAAGACAAGCATTGCCAGTTTGATAAAACAAACAAACATTTTGACAGGTGAAGGTGAACAGGTGTGCGTCCAGAGTGGCTGTGAGCAATGCAAGCCTGCTTGGGTGTTGTAATGACAGACACAGGCCAGGATGCTAAGAGTCCACCCCAAGGGAGGCTGCTACGGGCAGATGCCCACATGGGCACCTGCTGACTGCCCCCTACTCACACAGGCAGCAACCCTAGCCAACCCCACCTCAACCCAACGATCAGACTTGGCATCACCCACCCTGGGCAGGCCGGCCTCTGTGCGTGGAAAGGGCACAGCTCCTCCTGAGGAGAGTTTGTGCCAAAGGTTCAACCCACAACTGATGAAGATGAAACATCAGACAAACCCAGAGTGGACATTCTGCAGGACAACTGGCCTGGGTAACACCAAAATATCATTGTCATAAAAGGGAACAGATGGGGAACTGTTCCAGATTAAAGGAAACAAAAGACTAAATGCGATTCATGACCTCCAGATGGATCCAGAACTAGGAGGAAAAGCCAGCAGGAAAGGGCATTCCTGGGACGACAAGGGACACATGGATATGGGCTGTCCCACGGCATCAGCACAGAATGCCTGATGACAGTGACACTGTGGTTATGTGAGAGAATGCCCCAATCGTAGGAAATAACTGCTGAAGTATGTTGGGGTCGCTGATACCTTCAAGTCGCTTTCAAATACTTCAGAGGAAGAAAGTCTCTTATGTTGAGAGAGAGAAAGCAGATGTAGCAAAACCCCAGGTGAGGGACATGTACACATGCACCCTATTCTTCCCACTCGCCTGCAGGGCTGGAGTTTTCTAAATCAAAGGCTGGAACCACCTTCCCCACCCTGCACCCCATCAGGAGTTCCATTAGTGAGCTCCACTCTCCCTGCTCCAATATGCTTTGCGTGCTGCTATCAAGGGTGCATCCCTACAGGTTTCAAAGAGGAGGAAAGGCTGTCCTGCCTCCACGGAATGCCACCAAGAACCTGCGGCCCATGGAGGGAGGCAGTGGGGTCTGCTCCTCACTCGACAGCTAATTCCCAAGTAGATGACCAGCGGCTCCGACTGCCTGAGGGGGTTGGCCTCCTTGTGAGGGTCTCGGCAAGGCACCTGGTGCCAGACTGTTCCCATCAACCACCTTTCCCATCGATCCCCAATGCCGAACTCTACAGCTACACAGATGGAAACACAACTAAAGTATTTTTATTCGCTCTAGTGTGGGATTTTTTTTTTTAAGAGATAGGGTCTCGCTATATTGCCCAGGCTCGTCTTGAACTCCTGGGCTCAAGTGATCCTCCCACTTCAGCCTCCCAAAGTGCTGGGATTACAGGCGTGAGCCACTGCACCCATCCCAGTGTGAGAATTTGTATTATTTTCTTGAAATAATCGCTACAGGCTGGGCGTGGTGGCTCACGCCTGTAATCCCAGCACTCTGGGAGGCCAAGGTGGGTGGATCACCTGAGGTCAGGAGTTCGAGACCAGCCTCGCCAATATGGTGAAACCCTGTCTCTACTAAAAATACAAAAATTAGCCGGGCGTGGTGGTGGGTGCCTGTAGTCCCAGCTACTTGGGAGGCTGAGGCAGGAGAATCACTTGAACCCGGGAGGCAGAAGTTGCAGTGAGCCAAGATCATGCCACTGCACTCCAGCCTGGGTGACAGAGCAAGACTCCGTCTCAAAAAAAAAAAAAAAAATACTCACTACACAGCTGAGGCCAGTGCAGATTTCTCCCTGAAGAGGCTGAGCACTTTCTTAATCTCATCTCTACTTAATCTGAGTTGAGAAAGCTTCTCTGGGAGCACCTCAAATACCCTAAATGTCTGTCACCTGATGCGTTTAATGTGGGTTGATTACATGTGGGTCAATTACACAGTTAGCACAACGCTGAGATAAACACTGAATGTATATTTACTGGTGTGTTTGTGGCCCCATGAGTGGTAAAATCATATATGACACTATTTCTAACTTATCATAAACTCATCTGTCACTTAAAAAAAAAACAATGACTTACTCTAAATGTCAGGTCATGTGCAAGAGGAGCAGTGTTGAAATACTCAAAAATGGAATCCTGAAAATCTGGAAGTTTGAGCCCTGCAAAAAGAAACAAAGAATAGTCAAGGCAAAAAAACTAAAGTCTACATATTATTTTCAGACAGACTCAGTGTCTTCAAGATGTCAATTCTCCTTGAGTAACTGATACATCTGACATGATCACAATTAAAAAAAAAAAAAAAAAAAAAAGGGGTCAGGCTTTTCCCCAGAGAGTAACAAGAATCAAAAAGTTCACTTGAAAAAGTAACCAAGGGACTGGGTGCGGTGGCTCACGCCTGTAATCCCAACACTTTGGGAGGCCGAGGTGGGCGGATCACCTGAGGTCAGGAGTTAAAGACCAGCCTGGCCAACATGGTGAAATCCCATCTCTGCTAAAAATACAAAAATTAGCTGTGCATGGTGGTATGTGCCTGAAATCCCAGCTACTCGGGAGGCTGAGGCAGGAGAATCTCGAGCCCAGGAGGCAGAGGTTGTGGTAAGCCAAGATCATGCCACTGTACTCCAGCCTGGGCGACAGAGCAAGACTCTATCTCAAAAAAAAACAAAAACAAAAAACAAAACCCCTCAAAACCACAGGGGCAGCTGGGCTGGGCGTAGGTGGAGGAGGAGCAGATCTACCAGATATTAAAGCAGATTCACTAAGGCCTCTACAATAAGAATCATGGCCAGGCACAGTGGTTCACACCTGTCATCCCAGCACTTTGGGAGGCCAAGGTCGGAGGACTGCTTGAGGCCATGAGTTTGAGACCAGCCTGGGCAACACAGAGAGACCCCATCTCCATAAAAATTAAATAAATAAAATTAGCTGTGCATGGTGGCATGTGCCTGTGGTCCTAGCTACTTGGGAGACAGAGACAGGAGGATCACTTGAGCTGGGGAGATTGAGGCTGCACGTGCCACTGCATTCCTGCCTGGGTGACAGAGTGAGACCCTGTCACACACACAAAAAAACACATATCAAAAAACAAGAATCAAGTGGTTCTTCCCCATGAACAATGGAACAGGGGAGAAGATCCAGAAACAGACCCAAGCCCATGGTGATCCTGTACATGACAACAGTCATACATAAAACCAGCAGGAAAAATAGCTTAATAACTGGTATTGGACAACCAGCTAGCCATTAGCAAAAGATAAAACTGGATACACTCCTCGAACCGTATGTCAGAGCAAATTTCAAATGGATCAGTATTCTAATTTAAAAAATGAGGCTGGGCACGGTGGCTCACGCCTGTAATCCTAGCACTTTGGGAGACACGGCAGTCAGATTGCTTGAGTCCAGGAGTTCAAGACCAGCCTGGGAAATACGGCACAACCCCATCTCTAAAAATAAATAAATAAATAAATAAATAGCCAGGTGTGGTGGCACGTGCCTGTAGTCCCAGCTACTCAGGGGGCTGAGGTGGGAGGATCACTTGAGCCCAGAAAGTTGAGGCTGCAGTGAACCCTGATCGTGCTACTGCACTCCAGCCTGGGCAACAGAGCAAGACCCTGAATCAATCAATCAATCAATCAATCAATCAATCAATCAATCATGAAGCCACACAAGTATGAGAAGCATGAGGGAATCCCTCCAACAACTGGGAGTTAGGTGTATTTTCCTATTTATGACTCAAAAAAGGAAGAAGACTGAAAACTTGACACACAAAAAATTTTGAAAACCACCTTTTTTTTTTTTTCTTGACAGACGGAATCTGGCTCTGTCACCCAGGCTGGAGTGCAGTGGCGAGATCTCAGCTCACTGCAACCTCTGCCTCCCAGGTTCAAGCGATTCTCCTGCCTCAGCCTCCTGAGTAGCTGGGACTATAGGCATGCCCCACCACGCCCAGCTAATTTTTGTATTTTTAGTAGAGATGGCAAAACCCCCCCCACTTTTTTTTAAGACAGCGTTTTGCTCTTGTTGCCCAAGCTGGAGTGCAATGGTGCAATCTCGGCTCACCGCAACCTCTGCCTCCCGGGTTGAGGTTCAAGTTCAAACAATACTCCTGCCTCAGCCTCCTGAGTAGCTGGGATTACAGGCATGCACCACCACGCCCAGCTAATTTTGTATTTTTACAAGAGATGGGGTTTCTCCATGTTGGTCAGGCTGGTCTCGAACTCCAGACCTCAGGTGATCCGCCCACCTCAGCCTCCCGAAGTGTTGGGATTACAGGCGTGAGCCACCGCACCGGCTGCAAAACCACTTTTATTTGGCAAAAAAATAAATAAATGATAAGCAAAGACAAACTAGGAAAAATACTTGCAACTTACATCACAAACAAAAGGCACTAATCCCCAAAATGCAAAAGGCTTTTAGAAATCCGCAAGACTAACAACCTGAATTTTTAAAAGCGGGCAAACAATAAAAACATATAATGCACAAAATACAAAAGTCCCTCAAACATATAAAAAGATGCTCAATCTTACTTATGAGAAATATGCAAGTTAAACCTCTACGGAGATGCTATTTCTCACCTATTCAGAGCGGCAAAAATCCAAAAGTCTGAAATCCTACTTTGTGGGTAGGCTGTGGGGCAGAAACCCCTCATGCAAAGTGGGAGGAACGTCACTGCACAGCCTCTGGAGGCCTGTCCGTCAGCATGCAGCAAGAGTGTACAGGCATGTTTGCCCTTTGCCCTGGCAATCCCACTTCTAGAACTCTATCCCGAAATACACCGACAAAAACAGGAAATGTTCTATCCATACAGCCACTCCTGGCAGCACTTTCTGTGACAGCAAATGCCAGGGAATAAACCATCCCAGTGGCTGGCCAGCCCACGGCAGCGCACAGTGCAGCTGCAGAGGAGGCCGGGGTGGCCCCTCCAGCACAAAATGATGCCTTTTGTGTTATCAGGGGATACAAATGTGTGCCTAGATTTGTGTGGATTTGCCATATGCTTTCAAGATGAAAGGAAGGATAGGCTGGGCACGGTGGCTCACACCTGTAATTCCAGCACTTTGGGAGGCTGAGGTGGGTGGATTGCCTGAGGTCAGGAGTTGCAGACCAGCCTGGCCAACGTGGCAAAACCCCATCTCTACTAAAAATACAAAAATTAGCCAGGGGTGGTGGTGGTGTGCACCTGCAATCCCAGCTACTTGCGAGGCTGAGGCGGGAGAATCCTTGAACCCAGGATGCAGAGGTTGCAGTGAGCCGAGATTGTGCCATTGCACTCCAGCCTGGGTGACACAGCGAGACTGTCTCAAAAAAAAAGGAAGGATAAACCAAAAACAATGGCTACCTTTGGGGAAAATATATTTGAAGATGTTGTTTGAAAATGCTGATTTTGGAAAATACTGAATTTGGAATTCTGTAGGTGCTTCTAAAGTAACTATTAAGTCGAAAAGAAAATAAAAACATTCATTTGAAAAATACTTATATTCAAATAATGCAGAATCGCACAACATTAATTTACCAGTATCTGCTCTGAATTTTTCTTCCATCTTTTTCTTCAAAATTTCCATTTCTTCTAATAATTCTCTGTTTTTGGCTTCGGAATCCTTTAGTTTGCTAAAATAAAAAATAAATGGCTTTAAGTGCACTGAGAAGAGGTTGTCTGTGAGCTGGTATGGGGCAGGTCAGGATGAGAGAGCCGGGATTTCTCCCCAGCACTCAGGACTGTCCAGAACACGGTAGCTCATGCTGGGCCTTTCTACTGCAAACACCATGAACAGTACGAATATTTCAAATATAAACATTCAAACAGGAATTTAAAAAGTCATGGCTTAGGAAGGCGTGTCTCATGAAGGCCTAATGGAGCTCTTGACCTTCCTAATCTTGTTCCCAGGCGAGTCCTCTGTTCTTCAGGGACACAGGGCCCAGGCCGCTCAGCCGTCAGCCCCATCAATATCTTTCCCATAACTGGCAAGATGGTGGCTGCACCAAGAAGCACCAGCACCACCCGCACGGGTAGCCTTGCAATTCCAGCAACTTCGTGCAGGGGACAGAGGAAGTCAGGCTGCCACGGGGAACACCTGGCCGGGAGGGATGCAGTTTGTGGGGGCTGGTCCACTCATCAGTGGGGTGACAGTGGGCAAATCACCTGCGGAGTGTGTGTAAGTGGGAGTAACAAGACTGCCTACCCTGTTGGGCTGTGGGAGGGTCACAGGATTTAACAACAGAACAGTCTTACAGCAATTCCCAGTATAAAGAAAGTCAATTTAACTGAAACCTATTACCATTAATTTTTTAGCCCCAAACTAACAGGATTTGGGACTTGGTAATTCTGTTAGAGACACTGTCCCTTCCAGGTCCTCGCCTGCCTCATGGCACAGCAGAGCTGGCCTGGTTTTTATGAAACTGACGTTCATTATCGTATCCTCGTAAAACCAGATCTGCAAAGAGGAGACTCTCAGCAAATACTGACTGAATCACTGCTGTGTGAAAATGGCGTTCTCGTTACTGCTTGGAGTTAGGGAAAAATTTCAAGTGAGAATGCCATCTTCAACCTCTGTTTTAAAATATTCACGTTAGCTTGAAAGGAACAATCTTGAATTAGTGAATGGAGCGGCACGGAGGTGACTAAGCAGTGAGAGGGGCTCCTGTCAGACAGCGGTGTGAGTCTCGCTACCCAGCGTGGGGGCACAAGCACCCGCTGCCGTCAAAACACGGCTCGCACCGCACCACACCCCCCCGCGGCAGGCAAGGCCCTGCACCCTCGCGGCCACCTCAGTGCCAGAACGGCCTGCTATTCGGGGCTCCTGCAGGTGAACCCGACGTGCTGCCTCCTAAGGCTCCAGCAAACGCCGTGGCCCCGATTTTCCAGGCGAGGAGCATCGGAGCCCGTGAGGCTCAGGGCGGGCTCGAGGCCACACAGCCACTGCTCCTACCTGGAGTCAGACCCTGGCACCAAGTACCTTTCCAAGGTGAGGTTGGCGTCCTTGACCTTCCTGAGCTCCTCCTGGACAAGCTGCTTGGCCCGGATCTCCGCCTCCAGGGCCGACTGCAGCTCCAGCCGCGCGGACATGTCCAGCTTCTGGCTGCGGCGCACCTTCCACAGCGGGTCCTTGAGACACGGTCATGGCGTTAAAAATGCATTTTCAGTTATCCGCTTGTTAAACTAATGTTAACAAATAAGTTATCTTTGTCTAACCTTAAGCCATTACGGTCTCATTTAGATATTAACTCTAAATTATGGAGGTGCCTCAGGAGTTTTAGTTTTGATATTTTATGACTTTTTTTACTCTTCCTCAGAAATCTTCTAAAAAATAACTAAATAATTTACTTTATCTTTTAGAAGAATAAAAGTGATTCTGTAGTGCAATTTCTTTTCTTTTCTTTTCTTTTTTTTTTTGTTTGAGATGTAGTTTCGCTCTTGTTGCCTAGGCTGGAGTGCAATGGCGTGATCTCAGCTTACCGCGACCTCCGCCTCTTGGGTTCAAGCGATTTTCCTGTCTCAGCCTCTCCAGTAGCCAGTAGCTGGGATTACAGGTGCCGCACCACCATGCCTGGCTAATTTTTGTATTTTTAGTAGAGACAGGGTTTCACCACGTTGGCCAGGCTAGTCTCCAACTCCTGCTCTCGTGATCCACCCCCCTTGGCCTCCCAAAGTGCTGGGATTACAGGCATGAGCCGCTGCGCCTGGCCTCTGTAATGCAATTTCTATATGGGTCCACTGGACCCTGGACCCTTTTACAAACCTAAGGTACATTATAGGGTTCGGTTATCTTTTTCTCATAACTTGAAACGTTTTGCTATTTCACCATCCTGGGAATTATGTCATTACTCATTCCTACCTGTGATTAAAAAAAAAAAAAAAAAAAAAAGACTAAAATAATAAGGGAAGAATGACAGAGTGACCTAGGATGAAGCAACAGTGGAATAAGCCAGTTCACTAACATCATCCTCCTGTTTTCTTACTGAGTTGCCCAATGTATGACATCAACTTTCGAGAGGTATCAAAGAAGTCCAGAGATGCCATCTTGCTGTTTTTTCTTTTTTAAAACAAACTGAAAACCTTTCATTGAACACAATTGAGAATGCTTCATTTTCCATCTATAACAGTAAAGAGAAGAAAATGGACAGAGGAAGGCCAGGTGTGGGGGCTCATGCCTGTAATCCCAGCACTTTGGGAGGCCGAAGCGGGCAGATCACCTGAGGTCAGGGGTTTGAGACCAGCCTGGCCAACATGGTGGAAACCCGTCTCTACTAAAATACAAAAATGAGCCAGGTGTAGCGGCACACGCCTGTAATCCCAGCTACTCGGGGGGGCTGAGGCAGGAGAATCACTTGAAGCCGGGAGGCGGAGGTTGCAGTAAGCCGAGATCACGCCACTGCACTCTAGCCTGGGCAACAGAGTGAGACTGTCGCGGGAGGAAAAAAATAAAATACACACATCACTAAATGAACCAATGAAATTAATAAAAGCAAGCTCTCTGAGGGCAGAATCCAGTCTTAACTTGACACCACGGAGCTCAGTGCTCAGTAATTATTTGCTAAACGAATGAATGCTGTCGAGAGAAGCCATGATGATCTGAGAGCTGGCAAATGTTGGCGTTCCTTAAATTGGGGAACTGGTTACACAGAAGTCTCTTGCATCACTGTAATTCCCTAAATAGTACTTATATGTCACATTTATACTTAAAACCATTAGCGAATTATTCAGTAATAGAAATGCAGGCATTACACAAAACCTACCAGTGTTCTTGACCCCAGACTAGAACTCCTCAAAGCCTCGAGCTCTTCGGTCATCTTGGAAGCAAGAGCTTGAAGGTAACCCCGGGCATCTTTCTCGTCACTGACCCTGGAGGAGGGAACAGATGTTCTATCTCACGAAGCATGGCTATCAGGGAGAAGCCAAACAAGAAGGGGACGTTCCCGCCTTCCTCGGCACACAGTGACACAGTGTCACGTCAGCTAGAGTGCCCGCAGTGTACCCGTTGTATACACGGGATCTCATTGATGGATGCGTCGTTACATTGCACATGACTGCAGTTTAAAAAGACACCAAACTTCCAAGACTCAAGAATGAAAAAATTCTATTACTCCATAAATATATATACCTACTACGCACCCACAAAAATTAAAAATAAAAACTCTTTTTTTAATTACAACTTCACACCTTAGGAGCGGAGGGCCAGGTCCCAGCTCGCTCCAAGTCTCCCTGCTGCTTCTGCAGCCGCTTTGGGAGGGCTCTGCCTCCCCTGTCTCTGAGAACGCAAGGGGTGTGAACGGTTTGCCCCAAGTCCTTCAGTGGGTTGGTGGGGGCGTATCTCCACCTCTATTCCAACAGAACCACTGCCCCAGACATGAGAAGTTCTGGGGAACAGCAGTGAGACCTGCACCCCAGCCTGAGAGGCACGGCCTGGCGTGGAGCACAGGATCAGGCAGAAGAGGCGGGGCAGACCCCATGGACTGAGCAGGGAGCGGATTCACGGCCGCTAATGGGGCCGCGCACGTACCACTGAATGATTTCCGCAATCTGAGCTTCCCAGTGGGCCACTGACTCCTTCTTGGCTGCCAGATCCTGCAGCTCATCCTCCAGCTGTCTATTTTGAGCTGTGAGTTTATCCACAAAGGAACAGAGCTGAAATGAAACAATTTCACCACAGAACTTGTTAATCGGGCATCCTTTAAGTATGCTGGATTTAACACTGGAAGTTCTTTTGAAGACTCTGAAAGTTTTCTTTAATCGTCATGAGATTTTTCCAAACTAAGTTCATGATATGGATTTTTTTCACTGTATCTAGCTTAAGTCACATTTCAATTCAAATCTAAACCTAAACTGATGGAGCTGGAGCTAGTGACTTCAGGCAATTGGCATCTTTTCGCTGAATACAAACATCCTATTTAAAAGACCAAACACATGACTCCATTCAAAAATTAAAACAGTCACGTGTAGTGAAACAGCAAGAACACGGTCTGAGAAACGTGTCCTTGCACACACAGCGTGAATGCACTCACGCAAGCCTAGACGGTGCGGCTGCCGCACACCAGGCCCTGTGGTACAGCCTGTCAATTCCAGGCCCCAAGCCTGCATACCATGTTGCTGTGCGGGACGCTGCCGGCGGCTGTAGCACAATGCTAAGTATCTGTGTATCTCAACACAGAAGAGGTAGAGTAAAGTACAGTATTATGATCGTACGGGACGCCTGTTGTACACACAGTCTATCATTGATGGAAGCATCGTTATATGGCACATTACTGCACTGTAAAAAGACACCAAACTTCGGCCGGCGCAGTGGCTCATGCCTGTAATCCCAGCACTTTGGGAGGCTGAGGTGGGTGGATCATGAGGTCAGGAGATTGAGACCATCCTGGCTAACACGGTGAAAACCCGTCTCTACTAAAAATACAAAAACTTAGCCAGGCGTGGTGGCAGACGCCTGTAGTCCCAGCCACTTGGGAGGCTGAGGTGGGAGAATGGCATGAACCTGGGAGGCAGAGGTTGCAGTGAGCCAAGATCGCGTCACTGCACTCCAGCCTGAGCGACAGAGCGAGACTCCATCTCAAAAAAAAAAAACCAAACTTCCAAGACTCAAGAATGACGACATTCTACTCCCCCATAAATATATATACCTACTATGTACCCACACAAATTAAAAATAATTTTTTTTTAAATTACAACTTCCACACAAAGTGCTAACTCAGGTACTTTGAATTAATTACCTTTTCATTTTCAGCAGTTAGCTTCTTGTTTTCATCAAACAGCATCGCTCTTTCTCGTTCGTATTTATCTTTTATTGTACCTACTGCCTCCTCCATCTCGTTATGCCTGCCAAGGTGAGCGAGAAACAGTTTTAAAAGCTCGTAACTTCACTGATATTCGTATCTATGGCGTGGGTATCAGCTTGCATCTTCTGAACTGAGAAGCTCATGAAAACCTACCGTTCTCGCTTTGACTTTTCTAACTTATCTTTTAACATCAAGATTTCTTTCTGCAGGGCCAGCTGGTGGCTTTCTGAATCATGCACCTCCTTCTTCACATTTTTCACTTCTAGCACATGGGAGGCCTCACGTCTGACCAATTCCTCTTCATAAAATAAGACTTTCTTCTCCAGCTCGGATTTGATTTTGGAAATCTCTTGCTGGTGCTCTAAGGTGGCACCCGCTCCCCGGCCTCCTTGCTTCACCTGAAGACAAAGGTTAACATAAATTGACAAACCTCTGTGTCCTCAAGGGTCACACTGTCCTTTCAACCCCTTTCATCCCAAGCAAGTGCAGACACCTTCCCAAGGACTGTGTGTGCCTGGTCTACACCAGATGACGTAGCTGACCTGGCTAACGTGATCCAGGTTCTAGGGGGTCACAGCAGGAGACGGCCTTGCAGGGGGATGTGCCCAGGTCTGCCTGGGACCCCCGAAGCTCTGCCCCACACCCTGTTCATTCATGCTTGCAGCATTCTTCTGAGGGCTGACTCTGTGCTGGGCCCCCTCCTTGTGACTGGGGTGACACTGAGGTCTCTGCTCTCTTGGGGCTGGCGGGAACTGACAGCAAACCAGTAAAGGGGCAGAGGGGCCGTGCACCCCAGCCAGGTTGTAGGGAGTGGAGGGCGTGCCAGGATGGCTGGGGCGGCTTCTGTAAGGTGCTGGCCTATTAAGTGAGGTGTCAGGCTAGGGGCAAAGAACAAGGGCACAGGCTGGAGTGAGGTGGGACGTGTTGGCAGTGTTTGCAGCATGCAGAGAGGCCAGTGTGTCTGGTGTGGCGGGGCAAGGAGGGGCAGGAGAGGCACTGCTGGGCTGGAGCAGGCAGGAGGGTAGCTGCTGGACAGCTGCGGAGCCACGGAGGCCCTGCCGCACAGGAATGTGATCCGGCTTTGGTCTGCCAAGCTCACTCTGCCTGCTGTGCAGAGAGGAGACTCAAGGGCTGAGAAAGGGGCAGGAGCCTCGGGCACCACATGCCGAGGTCCAGCCAAGCCCGCTGCCAGGGAGGAACAGCATCTCAGGCCCACGTCCCAGAGGAAGAGTTGCCAGATCACTGAGGCGAAGGGAGAGGGCAGACCCATCGCACGCGGCTCACACATGAGGAGATCCAGGCCACGCCATACTGCCAAGGAGATCCGCCTCCGGCCCCTTGCCCACTTGGCCACTGTGGCCTTCCCCACTCCCGCCCTCCGCGGCCTCCCTGCTACCCTCCAGCCCCACCAGTGGGCCCCGACTGATGGCCAGCCTGTCTCTTCCCCAGTCAGCAGCAGGCTACGGGCTTTAAGGAGCTTTTCCAAAACTCAACTGCACCGAATTTAGAATACCACGATGTGAAGAAGGCTATGAATTGATGGGGCTGGAGTAGGAAATGAGCCAATTAGATATTCGTTTCCTAGGACTTACTGTGAATTGCCTGAAACTTTTATATAACAAAGGAAAAACATGAACTTGGCCTTTAAAAATGAAAGCAGTCACGAAGGCAGGGGTCACACCCCCCACCTCTCCACATGTGGGTCTTGTCTGAACAGCCTCGGGTGACACTCGGCCCGGACCACACATTACACAAGGTGACTTCCATGTGGTGGCGTCAGCAAAGATAAGCATCCCTCTCAGTTAAGGGCAGAGACCCCCGCCCAGCACTACCTTGAGGGCCTCCAGCTCGCTTTCCATTTGCTTGCAGAAGTTCTCGCTGTGCTCACGAAGCTTGCGCTCCTTGGAGGCCTCAGCAACAGCATCATCAAGCTGAGCTTCCAGCTACAAAAGGAAGATCCAGTTTCTATTAACAAAAAGCGAGCCCTGCTTCACCAGTTACAGCAGCACCCACGGGACCTCCACAAGAACAAGACCTCGAAGGAGCTCTGCGCGTGTTCACCCTTCATCAAATCTTATCACAAATTAAAGTTTGAGAAATACACTTCTGGGTTCAACTGGGATGGTTGGTTACTAATAAAACAAGGTTCAATTCTAGCTTAAATTGACACTTAAATTTCAAGAAAGGATACATTTCTTGAAATTTAAATTTCACTGATTCGTGAAAACCAGTACTTTTGATATCTGTAGAACTTGAATTCATTTATTAAATGGGCCATTTCAAACACGCACACGAAGAACGAGCAGAATAGCGAACACACGTGCCGGCACCCAGCTTCAACAGTGAGCTCCCGAGCCAAGCCCGCTTCATCTCTGCCTGTGCCCAAACCACTCGAGGGCAATCCCAGGCACTGTTATCACTTCCCCCATATGTGGAATGCTAATTCCTCATTAGGGGTATCACTAACTTCAGTTTTAACTGCCTGTAACTACAAATATATTTGGGTTGCAAAATAGACTAAGAAGAAAACAAACAGGTCCTCTGGGGCTAAAGAACAAAGAGCCCTGAACTTGAAAGGAACAGGAGCATGTGCTTCCAGGCCTTCTCATTTATGGGATTTATCAAGGAAATTTTAATAGAGTTCTAAACTAAGCATCGCTTACAATATGTCAACCATTCACAGCAGAACACTCAGAACACCCAGGGCGGCACAGGGCTGCAAACCCTGGGGTCCTGAGACATCAGGGGTGTGCAAGGCCCTTCCTTTCCTAATTAGCTATCTGTGGGGGCCAGGATTTCTTCATGTACTTTATCCAGAACGGTGTAGCAAAACGGATTGAAGAAACAGCCATGAGAACTCAACTGTTTTCCATTCAGCCAGATATTAAAGAACAGCTAACAAAATGTAAAAAATGCCATTCTTCCTGCCAAATTTTTAAAGAAATAGTTACTTTTCATTAAACATGTTACTTATGTTAACATGAAATGGGTTTTCATTGTATTAACAAGATTTTGTTTTAATTTCTGCCATGGTGCATGTTGAGAGCTGTAGCCTACATAAGAAAGCTCTTTGGGGTTGTAATCATTCCAACAGTGTCGAATGGTGCTGAGCCAAGACACTTCAGAAGCACTCACCTAAGCGGCGGCCTGAAGTGTGCTGAAGGGTTTTGCCATGTTGCTCAGGCTGGTCTCAAACTCCTAAACTCAACGATCCATCTATCTTGGCGCCTCCCACAGTGTTGGGATTCCAGGCGTGAGCCCCGTGCCCGGCCCGTGATTTGCCTTTCTACTGCCACCTGCCCTGTGTGGACTGCAGGTGTCTTATTCACATAAGCCAGGCTGCATCACAGCACAGCATAAACACCCTCTATTTACTTAAAAGGGAATTAAAGAAAATCAGCACCACAAGAACCTTATTGTAATTTCACCAATATTGAGGAATGAGAACAACAAAATAAATGCTCGGCCGATCAACTTACTTGGCTCCACAGAAAATTTCTGACCCCTTTTACAGTAATGCAGCCCAAGATTTCAAAGACGTTTTATAAAAGTCACACAAATGTCCAGTCGATACCATCCCTGAACCATCTCCACAGCTACCTCTTTCCTGAGCTTCTCAGCTCTCCGCATTTCCTGCCGCATGGCGTCCACCTTCTGCGTGGCCACCTCCATCTCCTCCTCCTTGTCTCGCAGCTGCCGGGACACCTTCTGCTTCTGGGCACGGAGCTCTGCCATGCGCTCGTTCAGCTCCGAGAACTCCTGCAGGGCCAGCTTTCGCTGCTGATGGGCATCTTTGAGTTCCTTGGCCTGGGATTTCAACCGCTCTGAGGCTTCAACCAGTTGCTGAACAAAAACAATTATAGATGTTTTACGTTTGCCTAACAAAGGCTTGGAAGGCTGGAGGTTCGGTCTTCCATGATATTGAGGAGTTAAAAGCGACAGCCAATGCTGGTTACAGATTAGAGCCACAGATCTGAGCTGCTTGGAAAAAGACCTGTGCTCTGTCTCGTGCCAGCCACACAGGCAATGGGAAGGCCGCCTGGGCTCAGGTGCTGAGACCAACTGCACACCAAGAAAGGCCCCACAGGCCGGGCACAGTGGCTCACACCTGTAACCCCAGCACTTTTGGAGGCCAAGGTGGGCGGGTCACCTGAGGTCAGGAGATCGAGACCATCCTGGCTAACACAGTGAAACCCCGTCTCTATTAAAAATACAAAAAAATTAGCTGGGCGTGGTGGTGGGTGCCTGTAGTCCCAGCTACTTGGGAAGCTGAGGCAGGAGAACGGTGTGAACCTGGGAGGCAGAGGTTGCAGTGAGCCGAGATTGTGCCACTGCACTCCAGGCTGGGCGACAGAGCAAGACTCTGCCTCAAAAAAAAAAAAAAAAAAAAAAAAAAAAAAAAAAAAAAAAAAAAAAAAAAAAAAAAGCCCCACAACCACATGGGGGCAGCGTGCTTACAGGAGGACGCTCCGTAATGTCAGCCTCTGCCCAGTGTCACCTGCACAGCCGCAAAGCTGAATGAAGCATTTGGGCACTCAATCTAGTTACTTAAACATAAGCAAAATCAAAAAGAACACATATGACACAAAGTGCTGAAGGTGAAGTCACAGTGAAGAACTGTATAAAAACAATCGCTGGACAGCCTGCCCTTCAATGCAGACTGATGTGCGGATACTGGCTGTCACTCTGCACTCACCACGCTGATGACCCTGACCTCCCTGCAGCCAATCTGGTCAACTATCTGGCAGTTCAGTCACTGTCACACCTGCTGGTCTGAGATGGAAGTGACAAGACCCTGAGCAAGCTGGCAGGGCAGCTCCCACACGTGAAGGGGAGGCCTCCCCAGGCCTCTCTGGGCCCGCTGGGAGGTACTATGACCCTGTCAAGCAATGAGATGCCATGTGCCCCACACTGCACTTCTAGACAAATCACTCACGTGGATGACCCACAGATTATCTTAAGAAACAATCTGGGTTTGATACCTGGCACATTTTAGAGAACAGATCACAAACTACAGGTTCAAGAATAACATGTATCAATGAATGTATTTTAGAAAACACGCATATAATTGTGTTAGTAACATGCTGACACCTGAGCATAAAAGTTTCCCATATATTACTAAAAATGAAATTTATAAACGAATTATGGGGGGAAATCACCCAGATTTTAACACAGGGTCTCTGCTGCAGTTCCCTGTCATTACTAAGGGTCCCCTTCTAAGAGCAGAGGCCTGGTGGAGAGAAGGGGAGGGCCTGGCTCGGGACGCAGCGTGTGTTGCCACAGCCACCATGCCCTATGCACAGCCACCATGCCCTGTGGACGGCCACCATGCCCTGTGCACGGCCACCATGCCCTATCGACATCTTTCCTCGCTTTAGAATGCAGTGGGGTGCTGCTTTCTCTGTGGGTCTGAAGTGGAGACTGGAGAGGCTGATTGCGAGGTGGATAACCGCTGGGGGCAAGGGGGTGGAAGGCACCTGCCACTGGGAGCCAAGCTCTGCCAGCCGACGCGGGGGCTGTGCAGCAGGCAGGCGTGGCAGGGGCCCCGGGGCCAGGCTTGGCCCTGGCGTCCTGCATGCAGCAGGGACAGCCCATGGGCAGGAGTCCCAAGAGGTCTTCCATCATCGGCATGAACGTGACCTTACAGAATTCTGCAAAGTCCCGTAAGCCTTTCTCACCCCAAACTGAGCCACCTACCTTGTGCAGCTCCTCCTTCTCCTGCCGGACCACGCGGTGCTGCTTCTCCAGCCCCCGCAGCCGCTGCGTGGAGTCCTCACGCTCTTGGCGAAGCGCCACTGTGTCCTCAAGCTGTCGCTCGAGCCTGTTTGAATCTGGACAAAAGAGGAAATAAACTCTGTTCCTTTATGTGCAATGACTATATGTAAACTTTATGTTAGCTGACTTACTGACAGGAAATTATTTAATAATTCACAACACTTTTTCATTCAGAGGTTTTTTTACTTACACACACACACACACACACACACACACACACACACACAGTGTCATAGGCACAGCTACCTGCATGCCTGTGCTGAACAGGCTCCCTAGACTTTACTCTGATCTGACAGCGATCTCCCCTGAGCACTGGGAGCCCTTGGGTGGCGCACACACTCGTCTGCTCAGTCCCTCTAACCTGTGTCACCCAGCACAGTGCCTGGCCCTTGTCCTTTCTCAGCGTGCAAGAAAAGTTTTAGTTAGTAAGTGACTCAATCAAAGAAGTCTGTTTTTGGATCAGGACAGTGGGGTTCCTGATAGGAAATGCAGAGAAGGTGAGATTCAAAGTGTGCTTTGGAGGTGAAGGTCAACTGCAGAGCCAACCTGTGTGAGGTTAAGGCTTAAAAGTGATTGGAGCCAGGCCAGGCGCAGCGGCTCACGCCTGTAATCCCAGCACTTCGGGAGGCCAAGGCAGGCGGATCACGAGGTCAGGAGATCGAGACCATCCTGGCTAACACAGTGAAATCCTGTCTCTATTTTGTAAAAATACAAAAAATTAGCCAGGCGTGGTGGGGGGCTACTTGGGAGGCTGAGACAGGAGAATGGCGTGAACCCAGGAGGCGGAGCTTGCAGTGAGCCGAGATCATGCCACTGCACTCCAGCCTGGGTGACAGAGTGAGACTCCGTCTCAAAAAACAAAAAAACAAAAAAACAAAAACTGATTGGAGCTTTTAGGGAACTTTGATAACCTAGGAACCGCCAAAAGAAAGTGGTGACAGCAGGTCTAGCACCTACAACACCAAGGAGCAGGCAGAGTCACTGATTAAGCTTTAGGAGGAAAGCAGCTCTAGGAACTGTCTGAAAGCCACAAAAAGGAAAACTGTAACAGAGAAGCAGAAAATAGCCAGAGAACGTACAGATAAAATATCAGGAACTGATTCTAGCTGGTGACTATAAAATAATATCATTAGAACTAAGCCAATTGGGGCTGGGCGCAGTGGCTCATGCTTGTAATTCCAGCACTTTGGGAAGCCAAGGCAGGCAGATCACCTGAGGTCAGGAGTTCGAGACCAGCCTGGCCAACATGGTGAAACCCTGTCTCTACTAAAAATACAAAATTAGCCGGGTGTGGTGGCACATGCCTGTAATCCCAGCTACTTGGGAGGCTGAGGCAAGAGAATCGCTTGAACCCAGGAGGTGGAGGTTTCAGTGAGCTGAGATCGCACCACTGCACTCCAGCCTGGGTGACAAAAGTGAAACTCCGTCTAAAAAAAAACAACTGACCAAAATTTGAGAACTCTAAATAAGCTTGCTAAAGCCTAAGCTTTTTTTCTGCTTTCCCACTTTATGAAAAGGACTCTGAAATTCCCTTTTAAGACAGTAATGACCAAAAATAGAGACTAAGAAGTCACACTTTTAAACACATACCTGCTATTTTATTCTTCAAGCGTTCGATTTCTTCATTTAGCTTTTTGATTTCTTTATCTCGGTTTGAATTGCTGAGGGCCCGAGATGAGCCGTGGAGGGACTGCACGGTCTGGGTGGACTCTGAGGGATGGAGAGACAGCGTGAGGTGCAGCCTGGCCGCAGCGCCCCCGCCTGGCCCCGGAGCCGGCGCTGCCCTCACCTTGCAGCTTCCTGCTCAGCTCCAGCTTCTCCTGTTCCAGCCTCCGAATCCTCCTCTCGTAAGCTTCCATCTGCAGGCTGTGCTCCAGGTCCCGCTGCACATCCTCATCTTTGGTTAATGTGTTGGACTGCATTATGCTCTTCAGAGAGCCTCGATCAGAAAAACAGCTGGGAAACCAAGCAACAGGTTTTTTTGATCTACTGAAAATTTAGCGATTTCATTAGCATTTTCAATCTTCCTGAGGTGAAAGATAGTCTTTTTAAATCAGCAAACAAAAACACCTGAGATAAGACTTTATGGTTTATGGAACCAAAGTTAGACAAGTGACCAGATGGTCAAGGAGACACTGACAAGGGCCCTCCCCATCGCTGGTCAAAGAAAGCGCCTCTGCAAAGGAGGGGAAATGGCATTTCTAAATCATCCCCCACACTTAACTATAAATGCAAAACCAGAAGGCATGGATCCTGCGTAAAGCAAGGCTTAGGGGGCAGCCCCAGCTCGTCTGCAGGTCAGCGGTACGCATGGACCACTGAAAGCTTCCTGGTTTGGCCACCAACTGGCCAAGCAATCCAGGACAGCTCTTTCAACTCTTCTTCCCCTGCAGGCTAAGCCACCAATTCTAGCACTGACCAGCACACTAAGCCCCTTACCAAGGACCAGACCACTCGATGACGCACACAGCCGAGGCACAGGCTGAAGCCCAGGATGGCTCTCATTTAATAGCTTAATTCTTGGGCTGCTTTAGGAGTTACTTAGTTCTGCTTAGCTCTTTATGTGACAATGAAGTCAGGGAAATTTTGAGCTCCTACGCAGAGTTCCATAAAGGCACCCAGCCCCCTTTAGAGAAGACCTGGTCAGTGTTTCTCCACAGGTGGTCTGAGGGTGCTGGGCTGCTCCAGCCCTGCGGGATCTGTCAAGAGGAGAGCTCTAGGCCTATCTGGCCAAACTACAGCCATGGGCTTGGGACCTGCAAGTGTGACAAGCATTTGGTGAGCTGGCATGTATTAGAAAGATCAAGAACCTCTGCACTGGGGGCTGGTAAATCAATATGCCCACCCAGAAAGCCTCCTGTGGGCTGGAAGACAGCAGCTGCCACTTTGGCTTATGGGCTGTTTAACCCTGGCCTCTCACACCAAAAGAGATTTCTTCCAAGCTCGAGCAGAAGTATGGGGATATCAGCCGGGCGCGGTGGCTCACGCCTGTAATCCTGACACTTTGGGAGGCCGAGGCGGGGAGATCACGAGGTCAGGAGATCGAGACCATCTGGCCAATATGGTGAAACCCTCTCTCTACTAAAATAAAAAAAATTAGTCGGGCGTGGTGGCGGGCGCCTGTAGTCCCAGCTACTCAGGAGGCTGCGGCAGGGGAATCGCTTGAACCCGGGAGGCAGAAGTTGCAGTAAGCTGAGATCGTGCCTCTGCACTCCAGCCTGGGCGACAGAGCGAGACTCCGTCTCCAAAAAAAAAAAAAAAAAAAAAAGAAGCATGGGGATATCTCCCTCCCAAGACATTTTCAACTGTGGTTCCAGCTGCCAGAGGACGCCAGGAATCAGATTCTGTGGCACAGTGGGAGCTTCCATTGTCTCATTTCACCTCTCTTTCTTCCTAACCCCTCTCCTCTTGGCCCCAGTTTCCTTTTAAAATCGAGGTGGACCATCTCAGGCGACACAACTTTGCAAAGAGGCCCATTTGGGACAGGGGCCCACAACACACAATCCTTACAAAAGCCAGCAGAGTGCTCTGATGGAAGCCAGCTCTCAGCTGAGTGCGCATGGCAACTGCTCTGCTTGCTGTGGCCACCGACTGGATCAGAGCTAACCCTGCCAATGCTGGCGGCCTATTGGTCAGGGGTTGGCAAACTACGGCCTCTGGGAGAAATCTCACCCCCCTGGCCTCTGGGAGAAATCCTGCCCGAGGCCTGTTTCTGCACCATCACGAGCATGAATGGTTTTAACATTTTTAAAGGGTTGTAAAAAGAAGAACATACAACAAAGGCCATGAAACCTGAATTCTTTACGACCTGGATATCTGTAGAGAAAAAGCCTGCAACCTTGCTATGGTATCACCTGTAGTCATCAGGTGTGCATATTTTAAGACCAAAAACCCATCTCCATCTCCCTTAAGTAATGGCCTCCCAGCGCACACACCACCCACTAGCCCGCCCCCAGGGACAGACTGTGGTGTCTGACTGTTCATCTACCACAGGGGAAGTGTCTCCCTGGGGAATGATAAATCCAGACATACCTTTCCGTTGTGAATGTAAAACCAATGAATGGCAAATGTAATCCAGAAAAGCCTGTGTGAGAACCAGGAGGTAATATTTCCTGCATAAGAACATATACAACACAAATGAAATCTACATTCAAACAAACAGGTAAAAAGAGGAAAGATGGTTACAGTCATGGTGACAGGAGGCACTGGGCAGAACATGTGGCCTTGGAGAATGCGGATTCCATGGTGTCCTCTGCAGGGGAGATGAGTATAGCAGATCTGTCTTTCTCAAGCCTGGCCCTGTACGCTGTATGTACAATAAAGCTCACAGGAGACACACTCTGATTTCGATGATGACAGTGGCACAGGCCGTCACCAGGTTAGTGATTTTCAAAGACTTCTTAAAGCCACAGAATTCACTGCTTAACACAACTGTGTGCAGAGTCCAACAGTGTGAACAGGTATGGTCCCTCTGAGGACCCCGGACAGAGCCTGGGGACTCTCAGGTTCTTGACCTAAGACAAGAGGCCCCAAGGCAAAAAGGAACCCAAAGGTAGATTATTTTAGATAAGTTTATTATAACTCTATTTTTCATTCTGAGGATCTTTCTTTATTAAAAACTATAACCAGGGGCCAGGCACAGTGGCTCACGCCTGTAGTCCCAGCAATTTGGGAGGCTGAGGTGGGTGGCTTGCTTGAGACCAGGAGTTCAAGATCAGCCTAGGCCAACATGGTGAAACCCCGTCTCTACTAAAAATACAAAAATTAGCTGGATGTGGCAGCACGTGCCTGTAATCCCAGCTACTCAAGAGGCCGAGGCACGAGACTTGATTGAATATGGGAGGCTGAGGTTGCAGTGAGCTGAGGTTGTATCACTGTATTCCAGCCTGGGTGACAGAAGGAGATCAGTCTCAAAAAATAAAAAATATAAGCAAAGTTCTTTATCTGGGAAATTTCAGTGTGGAAGGAGTTGGAGTCTGGAGTCAGAGTCTAGGACAACAATCCTTTCAACAATGACAATACTTTTCTCAGCATTTTCTCCATGTGGTCTGAAGTTCAGCCTTTATTTTGAATGTGAAGCCATCAAAGCAAGTATTCGGTGCAAATAGATTTAACTTTTCTTGTTTTTTTTTTTTTTTGAGATGGACTCTCGCTCTGTCACCCAGGCCGGAGTGCAGTGGCGTATTCTCAGGCACTGCAACTTCCACCTCTTGGGTTCAAGTGATTCTCCTGCCTCAGCCTCCCAAGTAGCTGGATTACAGGCACCCGCTATCATGCCCGGCTAATTTTTGTATTTTTAGTAGAGACGGGGTTTCACCATGTTGGCTAGGCTGGTCTCGAAATCCTGACCTCAGGTGATCCGCCCACCTCAGCCTCCCAAAGTTCTGGGACTACAGGGGTGACTCGCCGCACCCGGCCCAGATTTACCTTTTCCATGACCCTACAAGGGGTACTTCATAGTTTCTAAGAACCTCTGCTCCTCCCACTAAACTACTAGGAGTTTCCCCAGGTTCATGGTCATTCATTTCCAGAGGTCCTGGGGATGAAACATACAGAGTGAATGATGATGCTTCGGTGTAAGAAACTCTCTAAATTAATAAGCAACGAAGAAGATTTTCCTTTTATTTGGTTAAACCTCAGCTTGTCTATCCCCAAACGAAGTCACACATGTATGGGTTTGATGAGAACAAAAGAATTTTACGAGATATGAGCAAAATTCTCCAGGACCAAAGGTACTGGCTAGTGTGTCAAAGAGGCCCTGTCAGAGCCGACTGGAACACCAAACAAGTCCCACAGCTGGAACCCAACTCGGAAAATCCTGATCTTAAACATCAGTGCGGAGACTCAAAATCTGCTATTATCATCTTTATTCTGAACTCTTGCTGTATAAAGAAACACCAATGCAGACACAAAGCGCTGTAATGTTAGAAAGATTTAACGTGCTCTCACATGTAGGGAAAAGACCAGTAACTGAGAGGCCGCCACACTGCCTATGGGACTGTAGGCTAAGCCCATGTCTTGGTGTCTTTCAACCTAAAAAACCTAAAATGTGGTGACAGGGTCACAGTGAAGCTCTAATACAATGATGTATGTGACACTGCTTTGAAAAGTATCAAGTAGGCTGGGCGCGATGGCTCACGCCTATAATCCCAGCACTTTGGGAGGCAGAGGTGGGCGGATCATGTGGTCAGGAGATCGAGACTATCCTGGCCAACATGGTGAAACCCCGTCTCTACTATAAATACAAAAATTAGCTGGGCATGGTGGCGCATGCCTGTAATCTCAGCTACTCGGGAGGCTGAGGCAGGAGAATGGCTTGAAACAGGGAGTCAGAGGTTGCAGTGAGCTGAGATTGCACCACTGCACTCCAGCCTGGCGACAGAGCAAGACTGTCTCAAAAAAAAAAAGTATCAAGTACTGTGAAAATAAAAGCAAAAGTATTTCTGTTGAGTTGCAAAACAAATGAGCTGTTTAACTGAATTTTACTCAAATTGAGTCATCCATCATTTTTTAAAGGAATATTAAGGACCCAGCTGAAGGCTGGAATAAAAAGCACACTGTCTTAAGTGCCAAATTTCACAGCTTTATGGTGTACTGACTTGATAAGCAACGCCCTCAACACAGCACTGCATGTCAGACCCACAGCCAGCAACCCTGAGAACGGTGCTTTCACACTCACCGTGTTTCTCAGCACGTCGTCATCCACGTCGAAGTTGGATGTGTCAGAGGGACTGCTCACATCAGGAATATAAGGTGCTTCTAGGTTTCGTATATTTTCCCAATTTAGACCTTCAAAAAACGCATGCTTTTTGAAATCCTCTATTCCATTCTGCCCCAGCCGGCGTTCTCTACTGCAGATCAGTCTCTGGATGAGGTCCTTCGCTTCTTCAGATACATCCGTGACATGGGATGGGAACTGGAATCGCTCCTGCAAGGGGTGGCAAAAACACCGGTGGACAGGTGGACGCATTCAGAGAGTTTAAGGTGTACAGATATGATAGGAAACAAAGTAGAAATGGTAGCTTCAAAGCAGGTCACTTCATGGGAACTAAATGCAATCCAAAGCTAATAAATTTCCATTCCCAAAAGGCAAACAAGAAAACCAGTGGTCCTTCTGGTTTTACTCATTGTAGACTTGTGACCACACTGCATGTAAATGACACATTTTACCTATGGAAGTGGCAAGGAATGTGGGAAACATGCCGTGCGCGGGAAGAGGGACAGGCGCAGCCCCGTCAGAATGCACAGTGCACGCGTCACGGCAGCTCCGCTTCTGGAAACTCACACTAAAAAAGCAGTTACTAAGAGGAAACACAACATGCTCAGGACTGCACTGTATTTTGACCAAGAAAACTGCAAATTACCTACATGCCCATCAAAAAAGAGACTCGTTAAAAAAGATACCGGCTGGGCACAGTGACTCACGCCTGTAATCCCAGCACTTTGGGAGGCCGAGGTGGGCAGATCACCTGAGGTCAGGAGTTCCAGACCAGCCTGACCAACAAGGTGAAACCCTGTCTCTACTAAAAATACAAAAATTACCGGGCGTGGTGGCGGCCTGTAATCCCAGCTACCTGGGAGGCTGAGGCACGAGAATCGCTTAAACTCGGGAGGTGCAAGTTGCAGTGAGCCAAGATCGTGCCACTGCACTCCAGCCTGGGTGACAAGAGCGAGATTCCAGCTCAAAACAAAAAAGATGGGGCACAAAGAAAAAGGAACATGTCTGTGTGCTGCTATAGAAAGACACCACAGATACAATGACAAAAAACTGTTGATATGTAACATGATGCCACGTATCTAAACACACACATGCGCACGCACACACACGAGCTGAGGTCTGCCGAGGCCACACACCCTCATGGTAGAGTGGGCTGAGAGCTGAGCCACCACCTCTGTCATCTACAGAAAGGAAGAACAATGTCACCTGCTTCACGGAGTGCCTGACCCAAGAGCCCACAGGTGGTCGGCACTCAGTGACTGCTGGCAGGCTCTTAGTAATAACGAAGTCCCAGTTGTTACTTTAACAGAATTTGTCACTAAGAAGTGGATGAGACAATTTTCATTATCTACAATATGCATTTTTGCATTGTCTGAAGTTTTTATAGGGGGTATATATTAATTTACAAATAAAAATATGCTTCTACTTTGGGAAAAACGTTTTTTAAAACTGTAACTTTTGCTTTGCTTTGGAGTTAAATGGAAAACCAGTTCCCGCTTCAGTGTTAATCTGCTCCCTGTGAGAGCGAACTGTGGGAGGCCCTGGCTGGAGGACAGGCCAGCACTCAATCAGGATCATTCTGGGATCTGTCATGTGCACAGGAGACAGCGGGGAGGGAAATGCTATGAGCACGCTGGTAGAGAGGGTGAAATCGGCATTAGGAAGACACATGACTGACTGGGTGCGATGGCTCACGCCTGTAATCCCAGCACTTTGGGAGGCCAAGGTGGGTGGATTGCCTGAAGTCAGGAGTTTGAGACCAGCTTTGCTAACATGGTGAAACCCTGTCTCTACTACTAATACAAAAAAATTAGCCAGGTGTTGTGGCAGGCACCTATAATCCCAGCTACTCAGGAAACTGAGGCAGGAGAATCGCTTGAACCTGGGAGGCATAGCTGAGATTGCACCATTGCACTCCAGCCTGGGCGACAAGAGCGAAACTCCGTCTCAAAAAAAAAGATAAAAAGAC
Organism: Homo sapiens; assembly: GCF_000001405.40. Taxonomy (NCBI): domain Eukaryota; kingdom Metazoa; phylum Chordata; class Mammalia; order Primates; family Hominidae; genus Homo; species Homo sapiens. The sequence continues at coordinate 102,982,781 of NC_000014.9, forward strand.
AGGCAGGAGAATCGCTTGAACTCGGGAGGCAGAGGTTGCAGTGAGCCGAGACTGCGCCACTGTACTCCAGCCTGGGCGACAGAGTGAGACTCCATCTCAAAAAAGAAAGACACATGACTAAGGAAAATTTTTAAAAAGAAATAAAAAATATCAGACAGAAGAGAAAATGATAAAAAGGAAAACAAAGGAGGTGGAGAGAGGTGACATGGAAGTGAGAAAGTGAACAGTTCGGAAAGGGAAGGAGGAAAAGAGGAAACAGGATGGGGAGGATGAAGGGCTCCACCATCTGGAGACACATGATCATTTACAGGGACTGATTTCTGGGGAACAGACTTGAGAATCAAAGTTGGCACCTAACCAGTGAATCTAGAGCCACAGGTCAAAGGGCCCACCTGGACCTCCCCACTGGCTACCCCCGGGCGCCTCACTCCATGCGCCTGTGCAGACGACGCGTCTGTCTACAGAAACCTGCCTTCCCTCCAGGAAGCCAGCTTGGAGCAGGCCAGCGTCCTTCCCCTGAGAGTGGGGGTGGGGGTCACCCTCAGAACCTCCTTCCCCTTCCTCTGGCGCCCACATCTCCTGGTGCCGACCCCGCCTCTGGATGCCCTCTCCAATGTCTACTCCAATCTGCCTGTCCCCAGTTTGGTCCAAACCCCGTCACCTCTTCCTCAACTACTCGCGTTGCTTCCTAACGGATCTTCCTGCACTAGTTGTGCTCTCTGTACTTTAGGCCTGAGCCAGGTACCAAAAAAAAAAAAAAAATGCAACGTCTTACTTCATGGTTCATGATCTTCCCATAGGTCTCCACGAGTGACTCCGCATAAAACGGCGTTTCTCCATAGAGCATCTCATACATGCAGACACCCAGAGACCACCAGTCACACTCAGGCCCGTATTTGCCCATGCCGTCCTCCATCGCCTGCAGGATCTCCGGCGAGATGTAGTCAGGTGTGCCCACGGCCACGGAGGACTGCACCTTAGGGGAGAAGGAGGTGCTGAAGGAAACCCTAGGGCATCTCCAATCACATATTTCCAACTACTTTCTCTAAAATATAGCGGAGGCAGAAAATGAAATAATCATAGAATAAAACTGATGAATGATCGTGTTTTTTAAACCCAGTAATTCAAGCTGAGTATAGTGCCTCGAGCCTGTAGCCTCAGCTACTTGGGAGGCTGAGGCCGGAGAACCGCTTGAGCCCAGGAGCTCAAGGCCAACACGGGCAACATGGTCCCCAACCCTGTCTCTAACGAAACAAAACGGAATTTAAAAACCTCAATAATGCAAAATTCAATGCAAATAAATATCCTTTTGAAGCACTAAACATTATGCGGCTCCCAGAATGCATGAAACTCTTGTACACATGGTCTGTCAATACCCAAATACCAGCCACAGCCCCAAACAGTGCCTCTCCAATCCCCCAGGGTTGGCATTTCCCACTCTCTGTCACTGCTCCCAGTGTGATGCAGGGGCCACATGTGCACAGGCCAGCCTTTCTGATTTTCATGTGCAGCACGCAGGGAGTCTTGTGTAGGGTCTGTTTTTAGAATAAAGACTCCAGTGGGGCACAAGAGGCTGCATTTCTAATAAGCTTCTGGGGGTACTAAGGCTGCTCACCTGCAGCCGACCCTGTGGTCTTCCTCATGGGAACATGCAGAAGTTGGTCCAGGCATTAGCCGGGTGCTCAGGCATTCCCTGGACAGCGCACCAGGAGGCTAAGACCGCTCCTACCCCCGCAAGGGAGAAAACAGCTCCCCTGCTATCTACATCAGCAGGCAGGTGCCAGAGTACAGTGACACCTCTGCAGAAAGCTGCGAGGGCACGGGCCACCTCAGAGCAAGCGGGAGGAGCCTGGTGAAGCTGAGAAATCATCCAAGCAGAGAGAACGATGGAGAGTATAGGGCCATCCTGACGGGCTGAGTCTCTAAGACTGAGGCTCAGGCAGGAACTGGAGACAACAACCACAGGCCTGTCTGGGGAAGGCCAGGCTCTCCCGAGGGTCCCCTCTGGGAAGAGAGACACAGGGTCCAAGCAGCACCCCAGAGCCAGTGGTGTGAGAACTGCTCAGGCTGAATGGATCAGCAGAGAACTCCACCTCTATCACTTCCCTGCACGAGTGCGTGGCCAGCCCACAGGAGCTCCTACAGACAGCGGGACCACTGGGGTGTTGGGCGGTGACTCCACGATGAACAACTACTGTGACGGGGTGGAGTGGAGGTGAGGAGGGTAACCCATGCTCTGGTTAAACCATGACGGGGTGGTGTGGAGGTGAGGAGGGTAACCCATGCTCTGGTTATACCATGACGGGGTGGTGTGGAGGTGAGGAGGGTAACCCATGTTCTGGTTATACCGTGACAGGGTGGTGTGGAGGTCAGGAGGGTAACCCATGCTCTGGTTATACTGTGACAGGGTGGTGTGGAGGTGTGGAGGGTAACCCATGCTCTGGTTAAACCATGACGGGGTGGTGTGGAGGTGAGGAGGGTAACCCATGTTCTGGTTATACCATGACGGGGTGGTATGGAGGTGAGGAGGGTAACCCATGTTCTGGTTATACCGTGACAGGGTGGTGTGGAGGTGAGGAGGGTAACCCATGCTCTTGTTATACCGTGACAGGGTGGTGTGGAGGTCAGGAGGGTAACCCATGCTCTGGTTATACTGTGACAGGGTGGTGTGGAGGTGTGGAGGGTAACCCATGTTCTGGTTCAGACCTGTTCTAGTCACTGGAAGACTGGAGTGGAGGACAGCACCCGCCTACCAATTAATCAATATGTGGTCAAGACTATTAAAAACAAGAGACTGGCTTTGTGGAATGAAAATGAGCAAACTGCTTTATTTCTTATAAAACGCTGTCAACTGAAGCCAGTCACATGGGTGCTTCCACTACTGCTTGAAAATCCGCCAGTAGGCAAGAAAGGGATTGCTCTCTCGGAAAACTATTTGATGTTAGACCTTATGATAAGTGTAGGTTTCAAAAAAGAAAAGACTCCAAACATGTAAGAACAAAACTGCAACAGTGGCCACAGACGCAGTGAAAGCAGTTTGCTGCAAGCAGCTGCCAACAGGGTGTGAGCAGAGCTGGGACTGCCCCCATCAGGCTACTCGGCCATGACGCTGGTCTGACTGCGGGGTGGAGACCACAGGGCCTGTGGCCTGAGCCTGGGTCTCCTGGTGATAGCCGATCCGGGGGCAACCTCCTGTTCTTTCCCTGCTGGCGGGAGTGTCAGCTGGCCCCGTAACACTGAGCACCTAGGACTCTATTTCTAGGTCTACAACACCCATAGAGAGGAAACCCCTAGCAGGAAGTTACCTGCCCCAACACAAGTGAGAAAGTACAGTTACATGGTTAATGCCTGCCCACCCGACCAGCCTGGACAGGGCCCTTTAAGGAAGAAGCAGGGAGCGCCCTCGATCTGCTACAGGGCTGGCATGCTTTTAGCCACCTTGGGATTGAGGAAACCTGACAACTCCCATTCTGGAAGGCACACATATTACTTTTGTAAACATAAAAAGCAATAAAGATGCTTTCCAACTTAATTTTTATTTGGGAAACAAAACTCCCCAAACAGAAAATTTCAACTATCTCCAAAATGGATTCATTTTCTGAATTAATATACTTGGTTTCTTAATTGTACCTCAAATTGAAAACTTCCCTTCTGACTATATGCCAAACCCAAAACCAAATGGAAAATCTCCAACAAAAATACCTACAGTGCCATCATCATTCATCTTCAAACATGATCCAAAGTCAGCCAGGCGGATATGACCATTCACGTCCAAAAGGACATTGTCAGGTTTAATGTCTCTGTTTGTAAAATAAACACACAAATTAACCATCTCCATGCAACACATTAGGTAGATCAAAGCCCTTAACTAGTGGTGATCAGATGAATAAATGCTAATATCCTCTTGTGAACAGCTGTCACCATCCAGTACAAATGCCTCTGTGTGACATTCAGCTGGCATGGTGGCAGCCGAAGTCGTATCACTGCCCCTCGTTTAGTCCCCAGTTACCCTGGCGAGGCCCTGTGACGATTCCTACTCGTCTGCCCACCCAGCTAACGAGCCCCTCCTGAGCATCTCCTTGGTGCCAGGCACTGCTCTCCAGCCCACCCACCTATGCACGTGACAACGCTGCCCCTGCCTTCATGAAGCCTGCACACGAGCTGAGGTCTTGCAAACACAAATAGGCACTGCTGTCTCAGGCAGGCTCACACGGTGCAAGCTCTGTGCTGAGTACCACGGAAAACAGGAATGGGACAAAGGGACAGAGGGACACGTGTGGAGGAAGCTGGCTGGGGGCTGCCACACAAAGAGACGGCAGTGGCCAGACGAGGTCCAGGAGGCAGGTGGCGATCTGGGGGAAGACTGCTGCAAACCGCCCCATACCCCCAAAACTGCACTTTATAGATGAAGACATGGAAGCTGAGCCAACTGCCCACAGTTACAGAGCAGCACGTGCTGGAGCAGGAACATAAACACAGGTCTGTCCCACTAACGCCTGTTTCTAAACTACTTTCTGTGCGCTCTCAAACACATGTGCGGGTGCAGGGCACCTCAGAGCATGAATGCTTTTTTCTGGCACAATAAGCTTACATGACTCAACAGTATGAATGCAAACAAACTTTAAAAACAAAGACAGACATTCAGCAAAAGACAAGTACAAGCATGTTCCCAGCGGCACCACTTCTAACAGCCAAAAGGCAGAAACAATCTAAATCTCTGCCTCCAAGAGAATGGGTGAGTAAGCTGGGCTATACTCGTGTGATAGACACCACACCCCAATGAAAACAGACGGGTACCAACTCCCCCAGCCACATGAATCAATCTCACACAAACATGGGCAGATGATAATTCTTACCTCAAAACCAGAAACAAAACACAAAACCAGAAACAAAAACACAAGGCAAAAGAAACTCTAGCATGTAACACTCCAAACTAAAATAAAATATCCTCAAATAAACATTCAGGAATACGAAAAAGAAAACAAAACAAAATCCCACAAACACACAAACACACACACACACACACACACACACACACACACACGGCCAGGTGCAGTGGCTCACAAACTATAATCTCAGCACTTTGGGAGGCTGAGGCAAGAGAATTGCTTGAACCTTGGGAGGCAGAGGCTGTAGTGAGCTGTGATTGCGCCACTGCACTCCAGCCTGGGCGACAGAGCAAGACCCTGTCTCAAAACACAAAAACACACGTACACACACAAACACACACGCACGCACTAGACAAAAGCATGCAGAAAAGAAGAGCTGATTTAACTCAGGGAAGAAATAGAAGAAACAGATAAAATCTTATCAGAAATGAAATTATAAGAGGACCAAACAAGAACAAATTGAAACAAAAATCTAATGAAAAATTGAAGAAAGGGAAGAAAAGATCTAGAAGAATAAAATGAGGTAAAGAAACAAGGAAACGCAGTCAGATAGGAAGCAGCCAGAGGCTAAAGTGGGAGACAGGCAAAGAAGGCCCAACAGATGCATAACTGGAGTCCCTGAAAGAAATCAAAACAAAACATGACTAACATTTGACTACAATCCAACAGAACTTTCCAGAAATTAAAAAAAAAAAAAAAAATACCTGAATCTAGAATGAGAGGGCCCATAAGATTAAAAAAAAGAAAATATCAATGTCCTCTTTTTTGAAGCCAGCCAAGTTGATATTGATGCTCATATGAAAAGAAAAGCCAGAAAAACCCTGAAGAGTGAGCTGTGATGAGGATCAGGCCCAGATGATTTCAAAACACACTACACAGCCTCCCTAATTAAAGCAGTGTGGTGCTAGTGTGTGCAGAGGCAGAGAGAAAATGGAATAGAGTAGAATGTCTAGAAACAAACCAACTACATAAAGAAATCAAGTACAGGACAAAGATAATACGAATCACTGGGGTAAAGATAGACTTAAATAAATTGGTGTTGTGACAACTGGAGAGCCATTTAAAGATAAAATTAGAACTCTTCCTTGTGCCGTATATAAGAATAAACCTGAAATGGACCCAAGATCCACATGGAACAGATGAACCTATATGAATGAAAAAGTAAAAATACTAAAAAACAAAACAAAACAACCCCCCCTTCCAAAAAAAAAAAAAAAACAAACAAACCAACACGTGGGTTTTCTTTTTCTGGGAGTAAGGATTTCTCATTCGATTATGTACAAAAATGTTTAAAAATCTGTGTGGCAAAAAACCACAATGAACCACATCAAAAAACAAATGGCAAATTGGGGAAAAATATTTGTAATATATATTACAGATAAAAGGCAAATACTTCTTTAAGAATTGGGGGAAAAAAGCCAGAAATCCATAATAAAAGGGTAAAACCAATGAAAAAACTCACATACACACACACAAAAATACAAACATGATGGTCAACATCACGAGAAAGGTGAAAAAGAAAACTACAATTGTGTACCACCTGTCACCCATCAGAGGGCAAAAATACAAAAGTCTGAAAATGCACGGTTGGCAAAGCTGCAAGGAAACAGGCACTTTCATCCACTGCTGGTGGGAATACAAATTGGTAATGTCTATGGAGGGAAACTTACAACATCAAATAAACCTACGTATGTAATTTATTTCTCTCTTGATCCAGCAACCCCACTTGTAGAGATTTACCCTGAAGGCACACAACCAAAACAAAAACCACCTTGCACAAGGGTATTTATTTCTACATTTATAATTGCAAAATATTGGAAACTATCTAAATGTCCACTCTTAGGAGACTACTTGAATAAACTATGGTAGTTACCTATGGTAGTTCGCAGTATTATGCAAACATAAAAAAGAATGAAGAGCAGGCCGGGTGCGATGGCTCACGCCTGTAATCCCAACACTTTGGGAGGCTGAGGTGGAAGGATCGCCTGAGGTTGGGAGTTTGAGACCAGCCTCACCAACATGGAGTACCCTGTCTTTATTAAAAATACAAAATTAGCTGGGAGTGGTGGCGGGCGGCTACTCAGGAGGCTGAGGCAGGAGAATCACTTGAACCCAGGAGGCAGAGGTTGCAGTGAGCCGAGATCGCACCACTGCGCGCCAGCCTGGGCAACAAAAGCGAAACTCTGTTTCAAAAAAAAAAAGAAAAAAAAAAGAATGAAGAGCTCCATGAATTGATATGGAATGATTTACAGGATACATCACTAAAGTTTTTAAAGGTATCACCTTTTGCTTAACAAAGGATAAACAAGAAAACGCCTGCATGGACGATAGCAGAAGACAGCAGACTGGCTACGGATCCTGGGTTGCCAGCGGAGGTGGGCAGGATAAAGAAGGGGCGACGCTTCTGAGTACAACTTCATGCAGTTTTGGAAGCACGCTAACGTCCTACGTACTCAAAGAATAAAACTCAATCAACAAAGGCGGAAGGGAAGTCTAAAATGGAAAACTGATTCAAACCAATGAATCCAACTGTATTTCAAATAAATAACAACACTGAAGGGGGAGATGGGGTTAAAACAAAACAAAACAAAACAAAACAAATCCAAGTGACTTATGAACACAGAACTTGAATTACTGCAGGTGAGGGGTGCAGTCCCAATGAGATGGGGGAGAACCGCAAACAAACCCGGAATGCCTGCGGGCAGGTTTGCTTCTGTGGTGTCCTGGGCAGAGCAATTCTAAAGCTTTTTTAGACACATCTCAGGACTGAGTGAGTGCACGTACTAACGGTGCTGGGAGTCACAGTTTCAGTAGGAGGAAGACAAAAGTCTGGAAAGGGAGGAAGTCAGGAAGTTAACTCATGATTCCTGAGTATGCACAGGTAGACGTGTGTGTCCATGAGTGTGTCTATACCTCTGTTACTACCTCTGTGCACTGAGGGGCCTAGAAGCAGGCAACCCCATAGTAATGCGCATGCCCAGCACCCAGAACTTGGTCTTCAAAGCCGCTCCCCACTAAAGGGCCTTGAGCTCTTCTGAGAAACAACGGAGTGGGGACAGAGAAGGTATAGGATGAGCCAGAAACTAAGGGCATCCTCAAAAAGTGAAGAGGCACAGCGCAAACACAGGAGTCGGCTAGAATGCCAAATATGGGCCAATTTCAGCACAAAAATAACTAAGATAGTGAATTAAAAACCACTGGGAGAAAGAAGGATCCATGTAGCCACACTGATCACAAACAGACCAATACACAGGGAGAAAGGGGTTGCTTCCTTAGAGGAGAAAGCCGGATGACGACTGGTCAGCATGGTGGGTCTGGAGTTTGTGAGTCAATCTGCAACCATGCAAAGACTGGTCTAGGCAAAATTCATTAATGGGTACTAAATCTCTGGAGGAAATTTTAAAGAGGAAGAGGATATTTGCATGGTCTTAAAAGTATCTCCCCACAGGGAAAAAACTATATAGCAGAAAAATCTAACAAAATCTTAACTGCGTGATGGGTTTATCACCACCAAGGGGCTGATGGATATTGTACACCTGTGGAAATGACACCCTGAGAAGGACACAATATAGCTATACACACACATTCCAAGAGGAAGGAACACATCATCTCAATCTATCAGAAGGAAACATCAGACCAAACCAAAGAAGTCTTCTACTGAAAAAGCAAGGGACACTGTATTCGCCAAACACATCAATGTTCTTCCAACATGCCAATGTCACAACAAAGGAAGGATGAGGAACTATTCTAGATTAAAAGAGATTAAAGAAGACATGACAATAAATGCAACATGTGATCCTGGACTGGATTCTGTACTGGAGGGAAGAAAATACTGTAAGAGATGCTCCTGGGTCAACTGCTAAAATCTGAGTAAAGAGGGTATGATTAAGCATGAGTAGTGTAAGTAAGAATTTTGGGGTAAATGCTCTTGGTACATGCAGCTTATTCTTAGATGGGTGAGGAAAAATCTGTACGTGTGTGTACACATGTGGAGAGGGAGGGGGATGTATATAATAGGAGCCAAAATATTAACAATACGTGAATCTGATTAAAAGTATATGGGTGCTTTTTGTACCGTTCTTGCAACCCTTGTATAAGACTGAAATTTTTTAAGTTTGAAATTATTTGAAACATTATTTAAAAAGAAAACTTTTAAAAGAATGCACATGTAATATGATTCCATATATATAGTATTTTAAAACAGGCAAAGCTGATTTATGCTTTCAGAGCCTCACTGTCTAACATGGTAGCCCCTAGCCACAGAGGGCTATTCAAACTCAAATTAATGTAAATTACATAAAATGAAGAATTTGGTTCTTTTGTTGCACCAGCCACGTTTTGAGTGCTCATGAGCCACATGTGGCTGGGGCTACCGTATTGAGCAGTGCACATCTAGAACATTCTGTCACTGTGGAAAGTTCTGCATAGCACTGTGGGGGGGATGAGGGGTGGTGACCCCTGGGGAGGGAGTGATGGGGGAGCCCCAAGGGGGCTTATCTGGGTGCTGCTGTGAGCGTGCAGTTTTGAACAATCCACTGAGTTGCACCCCTCGGTTTGGGAGCTTTACTGAATACCTGTGACATATCTCAGTAAGATTTACATAAAGAAGTCAACTGAAATGGACTTTAAAGTTACAAAAAGCCCTCCTATCCCAACTACAGATAACAGTGATTTAAAGGATGTTTTTGCTGGGACCCAGAAATAAAACAGCCACCAGTTATAAATGGCAGACACAGTACCTGCCATGCATAAATTGTCACAATTGACCCTCAGGCCAGCCAGTGTGGTGGGGTAGAGACGGTGCTCCTCTCGTTACGGAAGAGGCAGCTGAGGAGCAGTGACTGCTGCCGCCTCCCAGCCTGCGCTGACAGCACAGTGACATCACGAATGCCAGCACCTGTGCTCACGTCACACGCTGCAATAACCTAAGAATCCACTCACCGCCTCACCAACTGTTTCAGCACATCAGAATTCAAAAACAATTTTTGTCTCACATTACTTTAGCAGCTTTGACACAAAATCTTTAAGTCTGAAAGAAAAAAATCAAAAGGAAAACATCTGCTGAATATACATATATTCAAAAATATATATATTCAAAAAATATATATTAAAAATATATATATTCAAAAATATATATTAAAAATATATATTTTATTTATTTATTTATTTATTTTTGAGACAGAGTCTCACTCTGTCACCCAGGCTGGAGTGCAGTGACACAATCTCAGCTCACTGCAACCTCTTGACTCCCTGGGTTCAAGCGATTCTCATACCTCAGCCTCCCAAGTAGCCGGGATTACAGGCGTGCACTACCACGCCCAGCTAGTTTTTTGTATTTTTAGTAGAGACAGGGTTTTGCCATGTTGGCCAGGCTGGTCTTGAACTTGTGAGCTCAAGCAATCCACACACCTCGGCCTCCCAAAGTGTTGGGATTACAGGCGTGAGCCACTGCACCTGGCCCATCTGCTGAATATATTATTTTCACTAATAAAAATCCTCTTTTCTTGGAAGTGTCTACTATACATATTTAAATACATCTCAATTAAATTTGCTTCAGAGGAACAAATTCTTCTTCATACGTTATATATACTACGTTCACTTCCCAACAGACTCCACCAGTGTTGGGAAGAAAGGCAGGTATCTGCAACTCTGAAGGCTGTGTGCACAGGGCATGCCGCAGGTGGGTTCTCAATGAGCCGCTCCACATGGGATGCGAGGCTTCTGGCCAAGAGCACGTCTATTAACAGCACTTTTGGGGACATCTAACAGACTCTCCCACGTCCACCAGTTTTTCTGCATTCTTTTCTCATGAAAAAAGAGTGAAAGGCAGAAAGAGAGAGGGAGAGTTGGAAGGATGAGAGGATGGAAGGATGGAGGGAAAGAGGGAGGGAGGGAGGGGAAATGAAGACCAACACTCCTGGAAGCAGAAGCAGACCCAGCCCTTCCCCTACCCTCCCCATGACCAGGGCACTCAGAAGCGCTCACTCGACCTCACAAACTTTTCACCATGGCTTCCTGCCTCCACTCCCTTCTGTGAGTCACCCATGTAAATAAAAGATGACCAGTTTTATGACAAGGAAGACTTGAAGCAATGCATACAGGACAAATGTATGAAGAGAAGCTCAAGGAGGTTGTGTAACAAGCTCTATACCTGGCTGCCGGGAAGAAATGGATTAAAGACAAGGATAATTACACTACTTTATTTAGACTGGAACAAACTGGTTCTTCTCCCCAAAAATCTCATCATTTAGGCTTAACTTTTTTGGTTTGGGAATGGAAGGCAGGGCAATTCAGAGAAATGGAGAAATGATTATATAGGAAAATGTTTAAGGCAAATAACCATAATTTCACATACACACGAAAAATGTCCCAAGTGGCCTGAGACAGGCTAGGAAGACACAGAAGAGAGTAAGGAGGCGCCGAGACACGCCACAACAGGTGTTCTATGGACCGAGTTAGCAGGAATGCAACGACCAGAGTCCAGGCTAAACAGGACCTGGTTGCCAGGAATTCCCTATAAAACAGGGATGTTTTTCCAGGGGCCACCCCAGGACCACCAACACAGTACACTCTGAGAAGACAGGCCGAGGAGGGGTCTCCGGAAGGCCATCTTCCTTGTATACCTTCCAGGGGCCATTTGCACGCACTGGGGGTCATCTGCGCCGTATAATTCTGTATTTAAAACATGTGGTGGTGGTTGATTTTTTTTTTTTAAGTGAACTTGCTGTTTGTGTGAGGAAAGCTCTCCTGACAGAAGAGCACTGGAGGTTCAGGGCAAGGGCTGACCTATGGCTCCCAACCGCCGAGGCCTTTAGATGGGCAGATGCCCAGGCCAACTGAGAGAGCTGACGGTCCCCATGGGCCACTGTGCTGGGACTGCCTATGTCCATTCTCCTCTAATGGCACAGCGGGGAGCAGCGGCGTCTTCAGGGGAGAGTCAGGCACAGCGCTGAGAAGCAGCTCTAGGCTCCCCCAAGTGCATTTTCTCCCAGCTGCTGAGATTCTGGCTAAAATCAGTGGCATCCAGCAGGTGTGGGTGAAAGAGCCATGGTGAATTGCAGGCTTTATGTCTCCCTTCCAGCTCTTCCTCTGACACTGAAAAGGGAGGCTGCTTCTGTCCCTCACCGTACCATTTCTGAGTGATGTCAACTCCCACTTCCATCCGTTCCCCTTGTGGAACTTCCTGCTGCAAAACCAGCAGAGGTCTGATTCCCACAGCAGGTGTGCCTCAGCCTCCAGAGCACAGTCCACCACCTGGGGTGTGGCTCCAGAGCCACTCTGACCGCCAGATCTTCTCTCCGAGGTTTTCTTTTCTTTTTTTCCTTTTTGTCAGATTTCCTCTACTTCATCTTCTGCCTCTTCTACTCAACTTTCTACTTTAGCTTTTATTTTCCAAGACTTTTTGTTTTCTACATATTCTTTTTCTTAAAATTTGTACTCTGTTCTTATTTTGTTCATACACTATACTCTCTGCTCTCTCTTTAGGGATGTGATGTTCTCTCTCTCTCTCTTTTTTTTTTTTGAGACAGAGTATCGCTCTTGTTCTCCAGGCTGGAGTGCAATGGCGCGATCTCGGCTCACTGCAACCTCCACTTCACGGGTTCAAGCAGTCCTCCTGCCCCAGCCTCCCGAGCAGCTGGGAGTACAGGTGCTCATCACTAAGCCTGGCTAATTTTTTGTATTTTTAGTAGAGACAGGTTTTACCATGTTGGCCAGGCAGGTCTCAAACTCCTGACCTCAGGTGATCCACCTGCCTAGGCCTCCCAAAGTGCTGGGATTACAGGCGTGAGCCACTGTGGCCGATGTTCTCTCTCTGAAACCCTTTGTGTCATTCATGATCTCTGCCTTTCCGGATATCATCAGGGGCTGACCTCTCAGGAAGGAGCTGTACCCACCTGTGAGGGGCACCCACAGGGTCCTGGTCTGCCACTGATTTCCTCACCCGGAAGGCTTTTGGGGTCCAGCTGCGGAAACCAGGCAGCAGCTGTGAAACCTGCAGACCCCCGCCTGCGGGGTGGGATCCCCACAGCACCCGACTAACCCCAGGAAGGGGCCCAAGCGGCAGCACAGTGGCACGGGCTCCAAACCATGCTGTAACGTCAGCCACGCCGTAAAGTTGGCCACACCGTAACATCGGCCAGCGGCACCACTCTGGCGCCAATGACATTTCTTTCTGACCCTACCAAATGTTCACAATGCCCCCACCTGAGACTGGGGTAAGACAGGCCTCCTAGAAAAATCTCTGTTCTATTTTTAGATTGCATCTGGGCACTCAGTCTGAATAATGAGTTAATTTGGGGGGAAAAATAAAGTTTTAAAATTACATATTTTGATGTCTACTATGCCCGGACGTCAAACGACTGAGCAAAGCTTCTACACAGCCAATTAAGAGAATGAGGATGGCTCACGCCTGTAATCCCAGCACTTTGGGAGGCCGAGGCGGGCGGATCACGAGGTCAGGAGATCAAGACCATTCTGGCTAACACGGTGAAACCCCATCTCTACTAAAAATACAAAAAAATTAGCTGGGCGTGGTGGTGGGCACCTGTAGTCCCAGCTACTCGGGAGGCTGAGGCAGGAGAATGGCGTGAACCCGGGAGGCGGAGCTTGCAGTGAGCTGAGATGATGCCACTGCACTCCAGCCTGGGTGACAGAGCAAGACTCCGTCTCAAAAAAGAAAAGAGAGAGAGAATGAGGAGAACGCTTTCTATTTAGGGGGAGAAAAACAATTTAAAAGGTGGTCAAACTAATTTCCCTGGAGATCTGTGATAAATACAAAGACATTTATTTCTCTATTGTGAATTAAGTTCTACCAAGAAGACAGTATAAAATCTAAATGTTAAAACCTATACTAACTTATGGGCCGGGGGAGGTGGCTCATGCCTGTAATTCCAGAACTTTGGGAGGCCGAGGTGGGTGGATCACCTGAGGTCAGGAGTTCTAGACCAGCCTGACCAACATGGAGAAACCCCATCTCTACTAAAAACACAAAATTAGTTGGGTGTGATGGTGCATGCCTGTAATCCTAGCTACTCGGGAGGCTGAGGCAAGAGAATTGCTTGAACCTGGGAGGTGGAGATTATAGTGAGCTGAGACCGCTCCATTGTACTCCAGCCTAGGCAACAAGAGTGAGACTCCATCTCAAAAAAAAAAAAAAACAACCTATACTAATTTATAAAAGCAAGCATAACTATGTTAAGAAATGTATTTTTTAAAAAGAAAGAAAGAGAAAGCAATGTCCACAACCTCATCACACTAAATGAGTGTCTGTTCTATCGGGACAGCTCCCTGTGTGCTGGGAGGTGCGAGCCATCAGCAATGAGGCTAAGGAAAGGCGCCCACCTCTCTAGCCTCAACTTCCTCCTCTAGCAACGAAGCAGCACTCCAGCAAGACGGAAGAGCTATAACTCAGCAGCGCCCTTGCTCCCCACACAGGAGGGGCTGTGTCTGCTTGGGAAAGCCTCCTGATCACCACGGAGGGGGCCCGAGCACAGGCCTACAGCTCAGAACACAAAGCCATGGAGACCACAATGGCCTCACACCTCTCGAGAGCAGCCTCAAGGTGGAAGACACAGACACATGTGATGCCTGCGAAGTCCCAAGGGGAAAGTGGTTTCCAACTAAAATCTCCACACTGGATAAAGCACCAGTCACAGACACACATGGAATAAAGGCACTGATTTCAAAAAACTCTCTCATATACCCCCCTTCCAGCCACCACTGGAGGACACGCGCTACCAAGCCAAACTAAAAAGCCAAGAAAAAGAAAAATGAACGGCTCGGAAAAGCTGGGAGCCAGTCCCAGAAAGGGAGAGGGGATCTCTGCACTTGAAAAGCCATCTCAGAATGAGTGCAGCACAGGACAAATGAGGAACCAACGTGGAAGAGAGGAGGGGAACGATGGAAGGGACAGCGCCAAGGAAAACCAGATCGAGACTACCCGATGCATGTCCGGTACGGAGCTTCATAACGTGGCCACAATATCTGGGGACAAATTAGTGACAGCTACAAAGAAAAGCTAATAAAAAGCAAGGCAATTATCAACTCCAGAGAAAGCAGAAGTTTATGTAAGTGTAGTTCTCAACTACAAGGCTGCTGTCATAGTTACGCAGTCACAGTATTATCAACACCAAATGCTGACTGAACCATAGCTGAAAGGATGGATTTTAACCATTCTAATCAGGATGACGTGGAGCCGGGCGCGGTGGCTCACGCCTGTAATCCCAGCACTTTGGGAGGCCGAGATGGGCGGATCACTTGAGGTCAAGAGTTCAAGACCAGCCTGGCCAACATGGCGAAATCCCATCTCTACTAAAAATACAAAAAAATTAGCTGGGCGTAATGGCTACTCAGGAGCCTGAGGCAGGAGAATCTCTTGAACCCAGGAGGCAGAGGCTATAGTGAGTGAAATCACGCCACTGCACTCCAGCCTGGGTGGCAGAGCGAGACTCCATCCTAAAAAATATATCAAAATAAAAATGAAAAGGATGATGTGGGAGAAAGGAAGACAGTTTGGAAGTATATGTGAGAGAGATGGGTGACAGAGAGAAAGAGGTAATTATGTAAAAGAGTTAAAATTTCAATTTCATAGATGTGATCTAAAGCCAAAAAAGAAAAGAAAGAAATTAGCAATATAAACCTGTGACTTAAGACACATGAAGGCAGATGCTGGAAAAATAATTTTACAAATTTACAATAGTTACCTGACCAAGTGTAATCAGCGGGGCCAGGGCTGGGCTTGGTTTTGGTTGGAGGCTCTATAGAACTGTTTGACTTTTTAAACCTATTACCATAAAATTATCTTGTAATAAAAATACAAGTAAAACTAGTTTTTAAAAACAACGAAAACCAAAACAAACCACAGGACTGAATCTTTGAGTCTCAGGACAAGAGGGATGTGAAGATGTGGACTCAGTGGCTGAGTCACTGGGGAGCTGCCCTCCCAGCCGAGAAGGCAGAGGGGGCCCCTGAGAGCAGGAGACGGAGCTGCTTTAGGCCTCTGCCCCACACGCTCTCTCAGCTCAACTCCTGCAAGTCGCAGTGATGGAAGCCTCTTCCTCAAGCCCTATTTCCTTTGTGAGTGTCCTGGGGCCCTTCAGGGGTCAGCACGGCACAGAGAAGACCAGAGTTGAGAAAGAATGTGGGGACAGAGGGCCCCAGGCCCCACACGAGACATTTCAGGGTGGTAAGGACAGAGGACCCTGAGCCCCACGTGAGCCCCAGGGAGCACAGGCATTTTAGGGAGGGGGTCTTGGGCGGTAGAGACAGAGGACCCCGGGGCCCACGTGAGCCCCAGGGAGCACAGGCATTTTAGGGAGGGGGTCTTGGGCGGTAGAGACAGAGGACCCCGGGGCCCACGTGAGCCCCAGGGAGCACAAGCATTTTAGGGAGGGGGTCTTGGGCGGTAGAGACAGAGGACCCCGGGGCCCACGTGAGCCCCAGGGAGCACAGGCATTTTAGGGAGGGGGTCTTGGGCGGTAGAGACAGAGGACCCCGGGGCCCACGTGAGCCCCAGGGAGCACAAGCATTTTAGGGAGGGGGTCTTGGGCGGTAGAGACAGAGGACCCCGGGGCCCACGTGAGCCCCAGGGAGCACAGGCATTTTAGGGAGGGGGTCTCAGACGGGGAGAAGTTGAGTCAATGTCAAATAAATATCAAAAGACACAGTGGCTTCGGCTGACAGCAGACCATGACAACTGCAACAATGAGAGCTGGGATCCACCGGCTGCTGGGGCTGGAAGACGGTGATGTGGGCAAATCAGTCTGTGCTGCGGCAGCTCAAAGTGGGGACTCGCTACCTACATGGCTTCTTGGGACGGCCTGGACTTGGGAGCTCTGAAAGGAGTCTTTTAACAATTAAACGTGGTTTCCATAAAATATATCAGAAGCCGGTTACCTGTGCACGTAATGAAGCTGATGGATGGAGTCAATGGCCAGCACCATTTCACCAATGTAGAACCTCGCCATATCTTCCGGAAGCTTGTCTTCAAATTTGCTGAGCAGGGTCAGTAAATCACCACCCACATAGTAATCCATGACTAAGTACTACAAATTGGAAAGAGAAGGGGAGAGAATACCACATTTAGTCACCACTAAACCTGACAGTTACAGGCCAGTCTTCCATGGCGAGGTTCTCAGGCTCCAGGTCTGGCTCGTGGCATCTCAGCTGCTCTTCTGTCACCCAAGACCCTCCTTCTGGAACATGCGCCCCGATGCGTCCACGACGCCGCCATCTTCAGGGGTGCATATGGCAGAGAGTGGACTTCAGTAAGTGATGTATTTAATCAATGGGAGGAATGATGAAAGGGCTTGAGGTTGGAGAGGGCACTCTAAAAGCTAGTGACCCAAAGCAGAAGCACAGTTAATAGCCCATCAATCCTATGGGTTTAAAAATAATTCTCCAGGCCCTCATGTTATGTGAGGACGACACCAGACCAGAGAAGGGAGGCAAAGTAGTTAACATCACACATGGTATCAGCAGTTCTTATTGGAAAGATTATATCATAAAAGAGCCGAAAGATAATTACTTATAGGTTCACTCCAACAGAAACCTCAGAAAAGCTCCTACTTAAGTAGAAATTGGAGTAATGGGAGAAAAAACATCTGCTAACAGGGCTGAGCCCGTCACTTCCCCGCGAGTTCCCTCGCCACCGGGCCAGCCGTGTGCTGGGAGTGGGCGACCCCGAGGTGAGCCTGCGTAGAGCTCTGCCTGAGGACAGCCTGTCTCTTGCAGCACTCAGAAAGCTCAGACCACAAAGCCCACAGTCTGTGGAGGCCCCAGTGGGGAGATCTCACAGGTCAGAGAGGCCCAGGACAGGCAAGACCATCACAGCCAGAGTCAGGGTGGCAGCCAACACCTCCATCTCTGGGGCCGCTGTGCCTCAGTGAATGCTGGGGAAGCACGTGGCCTGAACCTCACAGGAGCCGCCTTCCTTGGTGCAAATTTCCTGTGAAGAGATGGATGCTGTGGTCTGGACAGCTAGCTTTTAACTAACCCGCACAGGGAGTAAACGCCCTGTTTATCAGCCGGGGCAGGGACCCTGTAATATTTATGGAGAACCTAATCATATCAGCTGCTGTCACCATGAAGGCCCACGCTCGGGCCCAGGCTGTGAGACACAGGCCAGTGCTGTCCTGTTCACGCTCCCACCTGCCCTTGCCTCTGGCACCAAGACCCCATCGACACGGGAGGCTTGGGGATGGGCCCGGGGTCTCCCAGCAAGCAAGGACAGAGCAAAGACCTGGGCCCAACAGTCAGACTCCACGCCCATCACATTCAACCAGACTGCAGTGTCTCCAAAGGAAGGGAAGCACCACACCGGTGGGCTTGTCTGAGGAAGGGAGCGGCCCAGCTAATCAGAGGAAACGACAGAAGCCTTCATTTTAGGTCCCTGCTCTCAACAGAATCTTTACCAGCAAACTCTCATCCCTTCCAAGCCTCTCCACAGCTGTCCCACCCTGTGGAGTCTTCCTCAAGCCTCCCTGCCACCGCCAAGGGCAGCCCCAGCCTCCCCGCCCTGGCTCAGGCACTGCCCGTCCTTCCCCGCCGAGTTTTTCAATTTGTTCATTCGCTCGTGCACCCTCACTGTGGCCCCGCCAGCCCCTCTGGCAACAGGGGTGCTGGCATGCACGAGACAGCGAGGTCCCTGGCTCAGCAGAGCTCACACTGGGGGCGGGAGAGACCGTGGCCAGCATGGAGAGCAGGCAGTGGTGAGCGCCAGCTGACCGCAGGCCGCCTGGTGAGGTGCCCAGGCCAGAGGTTGCCAAGCAGAGGCCTGAGGGGAGCCGCGGTCGTGCTCCAGATGAAGGGGTGCGTGCAAAGCGGCTAGGAGGAAAGTGGCAGCGGCACCCTGGAGCCTGCCAAAAGGGGAGGGCCGGCCACAGTGGGGGCTGCAGCCCCACACTCAGAGCAGTGAGTGGGTGATGTTCCCCAGCTACGTTCAGAAGCCCAGGCACCGAGGTGCCACTGCGTGTGGAGGGCGATGCAGAGGGGGCGGTGGATGCACACTGCAGGCATTCCAGAGGGAGCGGCCCCGGCAGCTGACGGACACACACGGGGCCAGGGGAGATGCGGTGAACGAACGGCCAGGCCCTCGGGCCCCTAAGGAAGGCCGTGGGGTCGAGTCAAGCCCTTACTAGCTGAGCCCCAGCCGCGTCCACGTCTGCCGAGAACTCTAAGAGGAGGAGCTTCCTACAGCAGCACTGGGTCTGATCAACGGTCTCCTGGAGCATGGTCTCTGAGGAAAGCTAACGCGGGAGCTCGTGAGGCAGACGGCGGAGGCCCACTCCAGAATGAGAATCAGACCTAGTCTGTCCTGTCACAGAACGCGGGGTGCTGAGTTAAGCCAGTAAGTTTTAGTTAGCAGTCAAACAGGTTTAATTTTGATAAAACTCTGTGAGATAGCTCCAATAGAAACTGTAGCAGAACCCGCTCTGTGGGTGGTCAGAGGAACCCACGTTTCCATATCGCTATGAGAGGCACCTGACACCAGCCTGCACTCGGGCCAGCCTCACAACCATAGGAAGAGGAACTGGCCTAACCCTCAACGCCCCCGCTCAAGGTGGCAGGTGTGCACCGCAGAAGCCGGCCCCGCAGTCACGGGCCAGAAAGCTTCCAAGGCCTCGCCTTCGTTTTCTCATCCTTAATTTTCATGGTACGTCTACCTGGGCAACTCCAAAATCTCAAGAACATGGAATCTTCACAGGGGCTCCTAACTGACGTGTGTTAACTTAGAATAAACCTGGCAACACCTAACATTTCAGATGGCAGCACGCTATGCTAATTTAAAAAAATATTAGAAACAAAACAAGCATCATCATCTTCCTTTGTACAGATCCCAGTTGCCTGTACTCCCTGGAAACTTCACTCAGTTCTTATCGAAAGTGGAAATGAACTGGAGACAGTCCACCGGGGTCCTGGGAGCAGGGACACTGAGCAGGAAGCGGGGGGGTTTATGTGGAGGTGGCCCCAGAGCAGGGGATCCGGAACCTGCTCGCCAGGCTGGGGCTGGGTCTTGGTCACAGGTGCTGTCATCCATGTGGTCACTTTGGGCAAGTGACTTCGCCTCCCTCTGCCCCAGACACCCCCTTATGAAACAGTGGAATCACTGGGTCGTTGGGAAGACGGACGGGGACCCCTGTGGGCCTGAAACATCCTAAGTGCTCAACAAACACCAGCTGCCCCCTCTGCTGGGCAAACACATATATATAAAGTCTACATAAGTACACATTTTTCCCTAATCCTGGGTGTTCAAATCTCAGGGCTTTCTCTGATGCTTCAAGGGCTCCTTTAGGGTGAATGGAAGGATCCCACACTACTCCATCTGCTGTGAACCAATGGAGCGCACAACCCAGGAGCTTCAGGTGGACACGCACGTTGGCTGCCAAGGAAAAGGAAGCCTCGGGTCCCTGCTCTGAGGCTTGGTGACCACAGCGACCACGCCCCTCTCGCCACCACTGCAGAAACAGTGCCATTGGGAATGAGTTGGGCTGAGACCTCCTTCTCTGAGGTCTGCCCGCGTCACGTCCACCCAGAGCTCCAGCAGTGGACACTTTCAGGTTCAGGCAAACCTAGAGTCACTCTAGGAATAAAAAGTCCTGAACAAGGCGGTCTGCGGGTCACTCAGCGGCCAAGACCAAGGGCTGGTTTCCCCTTCACCGCCAAGTCAGCTGCCTTAGAGTGCCGTGGAGGCGAACACGCTTGACAATGCACATGCATGTGCGTCACGAGGCTGGTCCATCTGTCCTGAAAGCAAGCCCTGTTTAAATCGGAAAAATACACAGGCAGCGTGGAGACTAAGAGTCACCTAAAACCTGTCGAAAGGGCCTGGGGCACCCCCCCCACCGCGGGAAGACAGGAGGACTGCAGGCCCACGAGAGGCACTCCCGGACTCAGCCCTAGCTGAGATGGAGGCAAAAACATCCACGTGGCTTAATCCCCACTGCGGTTCCTTATTCTCAATAATCCAAGATTGAAAGTGTTTCAAACTCCCAGCTGATTTAAATGTAATAAACCCAGCAAACAAACGAATCAGCTTCTCTAGTGATTAGAAAAAAACAAAGTCCTTACTTCCACATGTGTATTTTAAAGAAGTTCTACCTGACAATTACTGCATGAAAACAAGCCCCGCCGTTTTATCGAGTCCAATACACATTTTTTAAATGTCAGTTCCACATTGTCTGACTGAATTTTTAGTGACAGCATAAAGGAATAAAGCCGGAGCGAATGCCCTGACCGAGTCTCTGGCTGTGCGACCTACCAGGTGGTTCTCGTCCTGAAAGGCGTAGTGCAGCGCGGTGATCCACTGGCAGTCGCCGTTCACCAGCACATCGCGCTCCTCTCGGAAGCACGCGGTCTGCAAAGCAACGAGGGGTGTCAGTCTGTGTTCACTGGGAAGCAGGCCAGAGAGCGTACTGCCGGTCTCGGGGTCCCTCCTGGGACAGTGGCTCCAGCCACGGTGTCCCTGCCTTCCGGGCTCCTCCTCGTGCACCACCCCGAGGCTGCTGAGGCTGAGCCATCCCTCATCCCTTCCTCTCCCAAGCCCCGTGCAAGTGCCAAGGGCTGCTGAGGAGGCACTTGCACCCTGCTGTCCCACGGGCACCATTTCTGTGGCTGACACTTAGATTCACCCCACCCTTATGTGGATTCCTGACTGGGCTCCTCCCACCTGGCACCTCCTGACTCCTCTACCAGATCAACCTCTGCCAAGTATCGATGGCATGGGCAGCCCCACGTGTCTGCCCTCTCCGTCCTATACCCACTACTGAGCTGCTGTGCAGCTGGCAGAAGGCGCACACGTTTGCTGAAATCACAGTATAGTGATGACACAATTGTCACAGATTCCACTAGGGAGGCCTACAGCCAGCAGCACAGGGCAAGAGGCTGCCCTCTACCCTGCTACGTCTTCCAAAAGAGTTTTAATGCCCAGGTGGCATCTCCGTTTAAAAGTCACCAGGCCTGGCCGAGCACGGTGGCTCACACCTGAGGTCAGGAGTTCAAGACCAGCCTGGCCAACATGATGAAACCCTGTCTCTACTAAAAACTAGAAAAACTAGCCAGGTGTGGTGGCAGGTGCCTGTAATCCCAGCTACATGGGAGGCTGAGGGGGGAGAACTGCTTGAGCCCAGGAAGCGGAGGTTGCGGTGAGCCAAAATTGCATCACCGTACTCCAGCCTGGACGACAGAGCCAGACTCCATCTCAAAAAGAAAAAAAAAATGGCTGGTCACGGTGGCCCACACCTGTGGTCCCAGCAGTTTGGGAGGCCGAGGTGGGTGGATCACGAGGTCAGGAGATCAAGACCATCCTGGCTAACACCGTGAAACCCCGTCTCTATTAAAAATACAAAAAAATTAGCTGGGTGTGGTGGTGGGCGCCTGTAGTCCCAGCTACTCGGGAGGCTGAGGCAGGAGAATGGCATGAACCCAGGAGGCGGAGCTTGCAGTGAGCCGAGATCATGCCACTGCACTCCAGCCTGGGCGACAAAGCGAGACTCTGTCTCAAAAAAAAAAAAAAAGTCAACAGGCCTTTGGCATAATTTTAACATGATTTCCTCTTTATTGAGCACAGAACAAGATTCAAACTGTCTTACATTTGAACTTGTCAAGCTTAACAAAAATATAAGTACATTACGGAGAGCTTGCTATGTGAGGCACGAGGGCACAGTTCTGACCGGCTCTCAGCTGAGTCTCACAGTGACCTCTGAAACTTATTTCTTCTACAAGGTTTTCTTTTCTAAACTTTAAAAAGTTTTCCTTTCAGGCTGGCCATGGTGGCTCACGCTGTAATCCCAGCACCTTGGGAGGCCAAGGCGGGAGGATCACTTGAGCCTAGGAGTTTGAGACCAGCCTGGGCAACATAGTGAGACTCCGTCTCTACAAAAGAATCTTAAAAATTAGCCGGGTGTGGTGTCACCCGTCTGCAGTCCCAGCTACTCAAGAGGCTGAGGTGGGAGGATCGATGAGCCCAGCTGAGATCATGCCACTGTACTCCAGCCTGTACAACAGAGTAACAGAGTGAGACCCTGTCTCTAAAACAAGAAAAAAAAAGTTTTTCTTTCAAAATGAAATGGTTGGCTGCACACGGTGGCTCACGCGTGTAATCCCAGCACTTTGGGAGGCTGAGGCAGACGGATCGCGAGGTCAGGAGTTCAAGACCAGCTTGGCCAACATGGTGAAACCCCGTCTCTACTAAAAGTACAAAAATTAGCTAGGCGTGGTGGCGGGTGCCTGTAATCCCAGCTACTCGGGAGGCTGAGGCAGAGAATCGTTTGAACGCAGGAGACCGAGGTCGCAGTGAGCCAAGATCGTGCCATTGCACTCCAGCCTGGGCGACAGGGAGAGACGTCTCAAAAAAAAAAAAAAAAAAAAGATGGCTGTTGCAGCTGTGTCCCAGTTCTACTAATGACAACATGACAAGCGGTCAACATTCAGCTTGCTAATGTCCAGACATGCAGAGACCAGCAATTCTGGAATCATCACAACCCCTCTGCCAACAGCCACCTCAGCCACAAGGGCCTGGTGAAGGGACAACTAAAGAAAACCTGAGCCTCAGTGTGCCTGACCTCCTGTCTTCCAGAACGCGCCCCCAAAAAGAAATGGTGATGGAGTGCTGAGTCCCAGGTGAGGTGAGACCGTGGGCTCAGGAGGCCGGGGCTGCCCCGAGGATCTGCGGCACCTGTGCCAACGCCTCCAGGAGACGCTCCCTGAAGCTCTGCCTGGCAGCTAGCTGCCCAGAGCATTTAGGAAAAACCCATTCTTAAACTGGGGACTGCCTGCAAGGTGACCTGCTGACAGGAAACTTATGTATTATCCAGCAGTTTTGTTTAAGGAGCAGAGAGAGAAACTTTTAGTATTTTTTAACCAAGTAAGATGAAATAAAGACCTTGCCTGGTAGAAAAATTATAAACTACACTGCTTAGCAACTCTTCTACTGACCAACCTCTTAATTCATGCTTTTAAGAAAATTTTTTATAAATCAGTATTATAAAATTTAATGCTTAAAATAAGTCTATGATATAAAAATAAAAAGATAAATTATTTGCAACTAGCACCATATTTATTTTTATATCTCTTACACACATATACTCTAGTATAATCACCGCGACTGGCAAACATTCTTGAGCTTTTCTGAGCATGCCAATTAAACTGGATCTGTGTCACCAGATTCAAATTAAATCAGCAATATTTACTCTTTTTAAATGTACTCATCCACCATGACATTTAGGTAAATACCAAACACCTGATACCTCTCTACACTTTCATGTAACAGTAGCTACTTTTTCCCCTAAAAATTTGCTCCAATAACATTCCTGTGTTTGCCACTGTTTGGGGCGGGGAAAGGGCTGCTGGGGCTGAGGGCAGGCCCAGCGGAAGCACACAGTGAGATGACTGAGTGAAGATGGAGGAAAAGAGAGCAAAGGCTTCTCCCAAAGAAGGAAGGGAGACCGTGTACACCCCAGAAGCTGGGAGACCCAGGGGGCCGAAGCAATCACAGGCCACCGACATTTTGAGACCAGGGTAACTACAAAATGGTGCTAACTCTGTCAACCAACACGCGTTCAGTGAGCAACAAATGGTTGTGAGACCTTGTGCTGGGTGCCATAGCAGGGAAAGGGGAAATGGGTGCAGAGCGGGGGAGGGAAAAGCCAGAATGACTGAGTCACGAGGAACCGATAACACCCACCAAGTTAATAAAACCCAGGGCCCCAGAGAGATCTGGCCCGAATCGATGGTTGTACTGTTGTCGGCCCAAGGTGGCAACCATCATGGGCAGCACAGGCACAAATTCCAGGACCAAAGAGGAAAGCGTCACCTCAAATTACTAGAAGGGTGAGAGGAGTAAGAGGAGAGGGTCTAGAAACCCAAGAAGGACTTCCCAAAATGAGGAGGTGGCCACGTCGAGAGGTTCAACTCCAGAAGCAAGCGCTGACCGCAGGGCTGAGCAGCCTAGAGCCACCGCAGCGCTGCCAGGCACAGGCCTCGCTCAGGGCGGGTCAGAGACACACGGGGCCACAGCAAACCATTGTGATGAATGGCAGCCTGCAAGGAGGGGACTGCCAAGTGCCTTCTGGCAGAGGCGGGAGTCACGGGAGAGGATGGAGCATGATGGACGGAGCAGATCTGAAGCAGGAAGCAGGTCAACTGGCCAGGAAGGGCCTGGGCTCTGAGTGCAGGGGAGGGGAAGACAACAGGGCGGGTGAGGACAGAAACTCAAGATGGCCAGAGAGGAAAAGCGTGGGCTCCCCAGCAGGCCTGGCCTGCCTTAGGCAGGCAGGAGGGAGACCAATGGCAGAGCACGCGGCTGTAGAGGTGGGGTCAGAGGCATGGAATGGCCACCAAGAAGACTGACACGGAACTAAGAAAAAGGAGCTGATCAAAGCCTGCTGGGCAGTGGTCCACTTCATTTCTAATCGTGAGGATCCTCTAGGTGGGAATCTAAAGACCTATTCTGTATGTGAGCAGGGTCCAAACGTGTTAATTCCTTTTGTGTATGGAGCAGAACTGCAATCAATGCTGAAACTCTCCCGATGCTTTTTATTTGCCTTTACAGTAAACAGGACCCGCCAACATTCTCGAGGGTGCACTCTCAGGAACAGTGTCCAGCAAGCAAGTGGTCGCTGAGGCGGGGAGCAGCAGGCGCCAGGGAGGAGACTGAGACCTCCTCAAAAGAGAGTGCTCGCTCTGTCCGGGGGGCAGGGAGGCCCAGGGCTGTGGGGTGGCTGCAGCTTTTCCCCAGCTGGCTTCACAGTCACTTTCTGCTCACCCCAAGCCCCATTTGTATGGCTTTTCAAGCTCCATACTTACCTCTGCTCTTTTCAGCATCTCCCACTTGTTGAGGATTTTCATTGCATAAATTCGTTCAGTATTCTTCATTTTGACAACAGCAACCTGCAGTGCAAATGTGAGTTGAACAAAGATGCGGTTCTTGAACAAAAGGCTAGCACGCTGGAGCTAAACTGTAGTGAAATCCTAACAGCCCAGGAGCCTGTGAAACCAGCAGTGACCGAAAGCCAAGTTTCCCACCTAGCATGTGCCAGTTCCTGCATCAAGAACCTTTTCTTCACAGAGAAAGGGACCGGCCACGTGGGCTCCGGAGTTTCACTCCTGCAAATTCACCCCTTTATGGCTCGGGTTCCACCACTACAGGAGGTTAATGGCAGGACCGGACTCCTGAGACACCTATGAGGACCCATGAGCACTGACAGTTAATGTGCCCAGCACACTGTGGGGCACAGTCAGCACTCAGCGCGCGGCCACCAGCCACATTCTTTAAAGAACAATTCAAGTGCCACCTCCTTCAGGAAGTCCTCTTGGACTTTCCAGTTTCTACCAAATCTTGAATAAGCTCTGCCATCACTACCAACACCCGTCAAGATGTCTGCACCATTGTCTGGTGCATTCCACCCTACGTAAGTCACTCACACACGGGCCCAAGTCTCCAACTCAGCACTTCCTGTAAGCTACTCACTGGCAGTGACAGCGGCTTCCATACCTTCTGGCTGCCAATGGCAAGCAGCCAGCATGTCCCCGTGCCTGCAGCAGCCATGGCCTGAAGAGGTCTTAAATGGCAGTATCATCTACCTGCCTGTTTCTAACATCAAATACCACACAGTCACATCGTAGAGTCACTGTGAGAGCTGCCATTCACCAGGCACATTCTGCGTGCCAGAGACGGTGTTGAGCCGCGCATCCGCACCCCCACTTCACCCTCACAGCGACCCCAGCTGCGGGGGATTTCTAAAATCCATCTTGTACAGATATGGACTCTGAGGCTCCAAGGGAACAAGACCAAGGAGGGAATCCAAGAAGCAAAGGCCGCATGGAAAGGACAGGCTCCCTTCAATCAGAGGAGCTCAAAAAGCGATCAATGTTATCTTCTTTGAAACTCACACAAAACTGAGTTTTGCATTAAGTTTTTGGCAAAAAAGAGTACTAAAAATAACCGTAAACCATTCTGTTAAAACAATTTTCTCTCTCATTCCTTCATTTCCCTTGGTCGTCTCTCTGCCCTGGTGTGCCTCTCCCTCCCTCCTAAATGCATTCTGGAAAGTCCTGCCATGGCTGAAGGGCTCTGTGTGGCCTGGGCCCTGCTCACCTCCAAAGCCCCCATGCCTGGCACAGCTCAATGCTTGGTAGCAGACAGACAGGCAATCACTTAATGCAATCTGTTTTTACTTTTAAAAGGCTTTCTCAACTAGGTACAGTGGCTCATGCCTATAATCCCAGCACTCTTGAAGGTGGAGGCAGGACAATCACTTGTGCCCAGGAGTTTGAGACTAGCCTGGGCAACATAGCAAGATCCCTGTCTCTACTAAAAAGAAAAAAAGAAAACAACTAGCCAGGTACAGTGGTGCATGCCTGTGGTCCCAGCTACTTGGGAGGCTGGGGCGGGAGGGTTGCTTGAGCCCAGGAGTTCAAGATCAGTCTGGGCAACATAGTGACACCCCATTTCTACAAATAATAAAAAAAATTAGCCGGGCGTGGTGGCACATGCCTGTAGTCACAACTACTCAGGAGGCTGAGGAAGAAGGGTCACCTGAGCCTGGGTGGTGGAGGCTGCAGTGAGCTGTGATCATGCCAGCACACTCCAGCCTGGGCGACAGAGCAAGACCCTATCTCAAACAAAATAAACAAACTCTCTGTCCCATCCTGGCCTGTGGTAAATTGACTTTGGCTGGTGAGGCCTGGATCCAGGGTCTGTACTGAGATAAACTGGGAGCTCCGGGCACGATGGGACGAGCCTTGCAGGGGCTGCTCTCCTCCCCTATCCCTCTGGTGAGACTCACTCATGGGGATGGTGCTGCGAGAGGGGGGCTATTTCCCTAAAGTACTGATTTGCCTTCTTTCACGTCTGCACACTGGAAAATGCACGCCCTGCACAGCAAAGGCCATCTCGCTTTGTAGTGGTGTCCAGTAGGTTTGCTGTGGGCAGAGCACACCTGCTGCTGGGATGTGACACAGGGCGTTTCCTTGTTTGATTTTTCCTCAGTGAACCAAAAGGCACAGTTCCCCAGCCAAGGAGAGCTTAGATCAAACCTCAGCATAGGTGCTAAGGCACTGCACAGTTTAAGAAGCAAAACTTGGCCAGGCGCGGTGGCTCACGCCTGTAATCCCAGCACTTTGGGAGGCTGAGATGGGCGGATCACGAGGTCAGGAGATCAAGACCATCCTGGCTAACACGGTGAAACCCCATCTCTACTAAAAATACAAAAAATTAGCTGGCCTGGTGGCGGGCACCTGTGGTCCCAGCTACTCGGGAGGCTGAGGCAGGAGAATGGCATGAAGCCAGGAGGCAGAGCTTGCAGTGAGCGGAGATCGCACCACTGCACTCCAGCCTGGGTGACACAGCGAGACTCCATCTCAAAAAACAAAAAAAGCAGCAGCAAAGCTCTTCCGGTGACTCACTGTCAAACCACCCGAGGCGGTACCGCGGCCGCTGAGGGAGCCTGACCTCTCCCTTGGTCTTGGCAGAACTGTTCTGCAAGGCCGAGGCAGGTCTGTGGAGATGGCCTGGAAGGCGAGGCCACACCGTGCCACGGGCCTCCTGGGGCAGGGCTCCCAGCCCCATACAAGGGACCTGGTGAGCCTCTCCAGCTGCACCTGCATGACTGGCCCTCCTCCCCTAGGCAAAGCCAACCGGACCCAGAGCCACACCGCGTGTGTCAACAGCAAGCAAGTACAGAGCATGAAAACAGCTGCTATTCGACCCTCTCTGTGTTTTTTAGAAAATGCCAAGAAGTCAAAATTCAATTAACAAATGGAGTTTTAGAAACTACGTCAGAAGGCTGGGCGTGGTGACTCACACCTGTAATCCCAGCACTTTGGGAGGCTGGGCGGGGCATCTGGGCAGGTGGATCACTTGAGGCCAGGAGTTTGAGACCAGCCTGGCCAACATGGCAAAACCTCATCTCTACAAAAAATACAAAAATTAGCTAGGCACAGTGTCAGCACCTGTAGTCCCAGCTACTCGGAAGGCTGAGGCATGAGGATAGCTTGAACCCAGAAGGCAAAGGTTGCCGTTAGCCAAGATCGCGCCACTGCACTCCAGCCTGGGTGACAGTGCAAGACGTCCATCTCAAAAACAAAAACAAAAAAAACTACATCTGAAGAAACTATTTTTGGTCCCAACAATCTCCCAGGTCAGTCAGAAGCTTTCGAGTCTCCTTTCTCTTCATTCTATCTTTCAGATTTTCTCCCCAGCTCCTTGGGAGGCCGAGGCGGGGAGATCACTTGAGCCCAGGAGTTCAAAGCCAGCCTGGGCAACATGGTGAGACCTCATCTTAGAAAGAGAGAGAGGAAAAAACAAACTCTCCAAATAATACTAATTACCTCATCCCCAAACCAATGTATAGGTGCACAAAAAGGTGAAATGGAAGCTGCTGATGTTTTGGCAATTTAGGCAAAGTTAACAAAATGAAGTTTATCTTACCTCACCAAAAGCACCTCTTCCAATTACTTTAATTATTTCAAAGTCTTCTCGATGAAGCTGCATTTCTTTCACCAGCTGTGTAAATGGTTTAGCTACAAGTAAAACAGTAAAACCAACAATTTAGTCTAATCAGTTCATACTATATAAAAATTTAATTGAGTGGGGTGTTGCACTAAGTTATACTTTTAAAAAAGTTTGTTTGAAAATATTTAATATCTGACATGTTTTGGAAAGTGAGCACTTATACCAATGGACACAGATGTGGATCCTGAGCAACTGCAGCCACGCACTGGGTAACACTGTTGCAGCCACGCACTGGGTAACACTGTTGCAGCCGACGACGGACCACATACAGAACAGTGATCCCACAAGATTTATACTACTGTATTTTTACCAAATCTTTCCTATGTTTAGATACATAAATATGGCCAGGCGCGGTGGCTCATGGCTGTAATCCCAGCACCTTACGAGGCTGAGGCAGGAGGATCACCTGAGGTCAAGAGTTCGAAACCAGTCAGACCAACATGGTGAAATCTCGTCTCTACTAAAAATACAAAAATTAGCCGGATGTTGTGGCGGGTGACTGTAATCTCAGCTACTCAGGAGGCTGACACAAGAGAATCGTTTGAACCTAGGCGCCGGAGGTTACAATGAGCCAAGATCGTGCCACTGCACTCCAGTCTGGGCAACAAAGCAAGACTCCATCTCAGAAAAATAAATAAATAAAAATAGACACACAAAAACCACTGTGCTACAGCTGCCTACAGTGTTCGGAACTGTCGCACGCTGCACAGGTGTGTAACCCAGGAGCAGTAGGTTGTGCCACATGGCCTAGGTGTGGAGTAGGTTTTGCCATCTGAGTCTGTGACGTGCTGTTGTCATGTTCGCACAATGACAAAAACCACCTAACCATGCATTTCTCAGGAGGTATCCCCATCGTTATGCAACACACAACAGTATACTTCAGTATCTATCATAGCAAACATCATCACACAAAAGTCTCCTAGTCAAAGCCAATAGGTGAACACCTATCGAGAGAGCAACTGATGGGTGCCCAAAGCCCACGTACAGGACACAAGTGCGTGAGGTGAGTGAGAGCTGAGCTCCACCTGCCTGCACGCAGGAGCCACGGGGCAGCTCAGGGAACACAAGACATTCTCCAAGGCAACACAAGTGCTGGAGTCTCCCTGGACACCCATGGCGGTCCCGAATAGGTCCTGTGGCGTCTGTAACAGTAATGTCCACCAGTCAGGCACCTTACACTGCTCTTCCCGGCCTCCTCACGCGGACTCTCTGAGACTAATTCTGTTATTATCCACACTTCACAGATGAGAAAACTCAGCCAGGTTTCTGTGGGCACTGTACTGGGCTGGATAGTGTCCCCAGCAAAACTCATGTCTGCTCAGAACCTGTGACTGTAACCTCATTTGGAAACGGTCCTTACAGACGTAACCAAGTGAAAATAATGGCACCTGCTGGAATAGGGTAGGCCCTAAGTCCAACAAGACTGGTGTCCTTCTAAAAGGAGAGAAGTCAGACTCAGACAGAGGTAAAAAGAGCCAAGTGGGGATGGAGGCAGAGGCGAGAGTGATGCGGCCGCACACAAGGAGCGCCAAGCATTGCCAGCACCCCCAGAAGCTGAGCGTTCCCCGGAGCCTGCGAGGGACATGGCCTGGCTGACGCCCTGCCTCTGGACTTCTGGCCTCCAGAGCTGTGAGATAAATATCTGTTGTTTAAGCCCCCCACTTTGTGGCAACTGGTTACATCCCCCACAAGAAGCTCCTAGAGGCCAGGCGCAGTGGCTCACACCTGTAATCCCGGCACTTTGGGAGGCCGAGGCGGGCGGATCACGAGGTCAGGAGATCAAGACCATCCTGGCTAACACGGTGAAACCCTGTCTCTACTAAAAATACAAAAAATTTAGCTGGGCGTGGTGGCGGGCGCCTGCGGTCCCAGTTACTCGCGAGGCTGAGGCAGGAGAATGGCGTGAACCTGGGAGGTGGAGCTTGCAGTAAGCCGAGATCGTGCCACTGCACTCTAGCCTGGGCGACACAGCGAGACTCCGTCTCAAAAAAAAAAAAAAAAAAAAAGCTCCTAGAGAGAGGTCAGGTCAACTCTTCCCAGGAACACAGAGCACAAGGCAAGGCCAGGACTGGAGCCCACACTGTCTGACTCCAGACCAGCTCGTGCCCGCCATGTATCCTGCCAGTCTGGCATCCGTGCAGTCAATTGTCTCTCTTGCACCTGTCTCTATTTTCACCTTCAAGCCCAAATCTGCATGTTTTATGCTAGGTTTTTTTTTGTTCTATCTGGTTCTTTTTCAAATTATCTATCACTACAGTTTTATGAAAGGTGCCTCTGGGGGAACTGAGTGAAGTGCACAGGGCCCTCTCTGTCCTATTTCTTACCACTGCAGGAGTGGCTACAATTAGCTCCAAAACACATGCGATCTGACACTTCCTGGGCTTCTGACTGAGTTCCATATTATTAATCTGACTAATCCTGTGGGTTTTTTCTCCTTTAATAGTTGCTCAACACCACTGAGGTTCGATCACCACAACTGCAAGAGCCACAGAAGGTTCCAGGGGCCTGGGAGACAGTGAGTTATGAACAATGGCCCCCATCACAGCAAATACACATCAGCAGAGATCAGGAAACAGAACAAATGAGTCCTGAGTTATTAAAAAAGAAAGAAAGGCCAGGCTGAAGAAAACCCTTGAGCTGCACTCCAGCCTGGGCGACAGAGTGACACTCTATCTGAAAAACAAAACAAAACAAAAAACAGTGAAGACAAAGACAGATGAGACGCAGGAAGCAGTTCGCACCAAGGCTGTGCCCGGAACGTCCTCTCTTTTCTTTCCACATTAATTACTCTCAAGTCACCCGGGCTTCCTTGTCAAGTTTCCCCCTACTCTTTTGATAAAACACATTTTGTTAATTACGTAGTTTAATAGTTGTGTACACATTTCCCTAAAGCGGGCAGACACAGATGATGGTGGCCAGGCTGGAAGTGGGAGGAACTTCGAGGCAAGCCTGGGGTGAAGGCTTGGAGAGGCAAAACCACAAAAGCAAAGCAGCAGGGGACCTGTGTGCAGGCAGGAGCAAGTTCCCAAATCAGAGGGCAAAGGAGAAAAGGGCCCAGAAGGAAAAGCCTAAGAAAAACATTATTTCTCAGAAATACCAAATATTTTCAAACTGCTCCGAGAACACTAACAATTTTGTACTGGTGTATAAAAATAATTAGGCTGGGCATGGTGACACGCGGCTGTAATCCCAGCTACTCAGGAGGCTGAGGCAGGAGAATCGCTTGAACCCTGGAGGCAGAGGCTGCAGTGAGCCAAGATCTCGCCACTGCACTCCAGCCTGGGCAACAAGAGCAAAACTCCATTTCAAAAACAGAAACAATAAACATAATTAAGACCGCATTAGCTACAACTAGAAAGGAAAGCCGCATCACAGTAGCAGAGCACCCTGCTAACCACACAGGTACTGAGAGCAGGGGACAGAACATTTAACATGAATAACTGCCAACTAGGTTACTAAGATGGAAATACCACATGGAGGTGGCAAATGCAGGAAGCACCTTCTGCCATTAGGATCAGGAAATTAAAGAAGAGGCTGGAATTTTTATTTGAGACAGAGTCTAGCTTTGTTGCCAGGCTGGAGTGCAGTAACAATCTCAGCTCACTGCAACCTCCGCCTCCTGGGTTCAAGCGATTCTCCTGCTTCAGCCTCCCGAGTAGCCGGGATTACAGGCACGTGCCACCACACCCAGCTAATTTTTGTATTTTTTTTTTTTTTAGTAGAGACAGGGTTTCACTATGTTACCCAGGATGGTCTCGATCTCCTGACCTCGTGATCCGCCCACCTCGACCTCCCAAAGTGCTGGGATTACAGGCGTGAGCCACTGCGCCCGGCCGAGGCTGGAATTTTTAAAACTTAGAAACCTGGACAAAGGGCCCTGTAAAACTGAAACTCAGACCCCTGAGGATGGGGTGCTGCTGGCCGGCACTGGGTCTCTGAGCTCAAAGGCAGCCCCACAGGCTGGGTCCCCAGTGACTGGAAGGAGTGCAGCCAGCTGACGCTGGGCTCTCTGAGGTGACTGTGGCAGGGCTGTTCTGCTGGCGTGGGGAAAACTCCAAACTGGCACCAGTGGCCGACTGCCAGAAGGAACTTCGCTGCCAGGATGGTACTGCTAGGGTGTCACTCTAGGAGGGAGCGGGCAGGAAGCTGCAAGTCGTCCTCCCGCCTCCCAGCCTTGTAGTCTCCCTCCAGCACCTGCTTCAGGCAGAGCTCAACAGGGAGTGGGGGGGTCAGAGCTCCCCAGGATTGGCTGGGGTGTGGGGTGGAGTGAGGAGGACATCAGTGCCGGTGAAGCAGGTGAGGGGAGGGAACCAGGTGAGGGGAGGGAACCAGGTGAGGGGAGGGAACCAGGTGAGGGGAGGGAACCAGGTGAGGGGAGGGAACCAGGTGAGGGAGGGTGGTCCTCTTGTTACCTACAGGAGGACTGATCAGATAAGCAACATTCAGGATGATGGGGCTGGGTTCCTCACTGTCCAAGTGAGGAGTTATAGATAAGGAAGAAAACGAGAATAAACCGTACAACACTGGGATAGAATTGGGTTATTGGTATGAACTTGCAGCTTCAATATAGACAGACAGATACAGGGATAAACACAGCCATATATGGGTGTGAACATACAGAGTCCTAGCTCTGTCTACCGAAGAGTATCCGGAAGCAGCAGCAGTTCAGCTACAAGCACACCCAGTGTGGACCATGGTCTCTAAAGACCATTCTCCAACATAGGACAGGGCTCCTCAGGCAGCTCCAGAGCTGGGTCAGGAAACCGCAAGGTGAGCCTGCAGCAGCCGGTGCCCAGAAGTGAGAGTGTGCTCAAAATGAACACAAGCAGTCACAGATCATAATCTATTCAATAAAACAGGGCTGGGTGCGGTGGCTCATGCCTGGAATCCCAGCACTTTGGGAGGCTGAGGCAAGAGGACTGCTTGAGCCCAGGAGTTCAAGACCAGCCTGGGCAACATGACAAGACTCTATCTCTACAAAAAATAAAATCATGAACCAGGGTGTAGCGGCACACACCTGTGGTTCTAGCTCCTCTCAAGGTGGAGGCGAGAGATCGCTGGAGCCCGGGAGGTGGAGGCTGCAGTGAGCTGTGTTTGCACCACTGCACTCCAGGCTGGACAACAGTGAGAACTTGTCTCAAAACAAAAACAAAAAACACCAGGAAATCAGGAGTCCACACTGATATTAACATATAAAATTTAAAAATCTGATGAAAAATGGGATATTTATATAGTTTCAAAGTACATCCAAACAAAATACCTATCAATTACGCAGGGAAAATGGTGACTTTACAGTGAAGTCAGGCAGACATCACCTGAAATCAAGCAATCAGAGCGGCCAGCATCAGTTACGTGATGAGACGCAACCGCACATCCCACAGGACACGAGGGGGAAACCATAGCCTCACTTCTGTGATTTTCCTGCAAAGATCCACAACCCAAATCCAACCACCGGGAAACACCAGGCAAACCTAAACTGAAGAACAGTCTCCAAACTGTCAGCCTGAAACCTTCAGCAGTGTCGAGGTCATGAAAGTCAAGGAAAGACACAGAACTGATCACACAGAAAGGAACAAGGTCATGGTGTGTGTGGCTCTGCAGCAAACCCTTCCTTCTGCTACAGAGCAGAGTACCAGAAAATCCGCAATGCTTCAGTGGAATCTGAAGGTTAGATACAGCAATGTATCAATGCTACATTCCTGATTGTGTTGGTTACACCGTGGTTATGTAGAATATCCCTGTCTGCAGGAAATACATGCTAAAGCAGTGGTCCCAACCTTTTTGGCACCAGGGGCCACTTTCATGGAAGACAATTTTTCCACAGACCCGTAGGGGGGTGGAGGAGGTGAGGTGATGGTTTTGGGATGAAACTGTCCCACCCTGGATCATCAGGCACTGGACTCTCATAAGCAGCATGCAACATAGATCCCTCAAATACACAGTTCACAATAGGGTTCGTGCTCCTATGAGAATCTAATGCCACGCTGATCTGACCGGAGGTAGAGCTCAGGTGGGAATGCTCACTCATCTCCTGCCGTGGAGTCTGGTTCCTAACAGACCATGGAGCTGTCCGTGGCCTGGGGGTTGGGGATCCCTGTGGTAAAGTATTCAATGGCAAACAGCTGGGGGAGGAGAGTTCTTCTGTTATTTGCAACTTTTCTGAAGTTTCAAACTATTTCAAAAATGTTTTAAAAATACTTTTAGAAGTTCATTTGTTGCTATTTGGAAAACTTAGAGGGGCAAGGAGGGAGGGCCCACTGGATACAGCCACCACCGCCCCATTAAGATAACAATGGTGGCTTAGAAATGAATGGGACAGTGGTCCTGGAACAGAGGAGGAAGTCGCATCGATAGTGTTGGAACTAGAGTGGATTGTGGCATGGGATGAGCAAAGAAGATTCCAGGATGTGCACTAGGTTTCTAGCCACAGCAGCTTGATGAATGGGGTGCTACACACCAAAGCAGGAGAGGCCAGGAGAGCAGCAGGTTGGGGTGAGGAGGGGAGTAGGGCCTGGGGCAACGGAATCCAATTACATCACGTAGTTAGTGCTACAGTCTGAAATCGTGAAGAGACCATCTCAAAAAATTGATTTTTCTTACAGGACCCTACTGCTGTTTTATATTTTCAAAAAGTGATCACTTCGAAACCACCAGCTTCCATGGGGATGGGGAGAGGTGAGGCGTGAGAAGTGGGAGAACCAGCCTGTTGTGAGGCAACTAGAGACAGACACAGCTTCCAGGGAGGATGCAGGCCATTCGGTTTTTTGGTTTGTTTGTTTTTGAGACAGGGTTTTGCTCTGTCGACCAGGCTGGAGTGCAGTGGAGTGATCACAGCTCACTGCAGCCTCCACTTCCCAGGCTCAGGGGATCTTCCCACCTTGGCCTCCCCAGTAGCTGGGACCACAGGCATGCTCCCATGCCAGCTAATTCTTTTTTAGAGACGGGGTCTTGCTGTATTGTCCAGGCTGGTCTAGAACTCCTGGGCTCAAGTGATCCTCCCGCCTTGGCCTCCCAAAGTGATGGAATTACAGGGGTGGGCTACCACACCTGGCCATCCTGAAATATGCTAAGGCCCTAGAGACACGGCCGCCCTGCAGCTCAGAAGCTGGGCCAGGCTAACCAGCCAGCACTCACAAGGCTCCAAGTTGCAGCAACTGGGAGGCTACTGTCCACCACGCCTTGCATTGCCCACACCATCACCCACAGCGTCAGCCATGGCACCTGGGCATCATCTCAGACTTCTCCTGAAGAGCCCGTAGCCCTCACCCAGCACAAAGCCACCTCTTCCTGCCCGTCTTCCTCACCAGGCTCTAAGGCAGGGTTGATCGCTGCTCCCCTGGACCTGCCACGCTGACAGGACTCCTTCAGCACAGCTGCCTGTGTCTATGGCATGTGGCAACTGACATTCACGAGGAGTCATCACCAAAGGGCGGCCTTCTCTACACAGGGGGTTCGCACCCCTCCTAAGATAAGGACATTCAACATCTTGGGAGATTTTCCATCCAAAAGGCTGAATAAAGCTTTAGCCTTTAGACAGCTTAACTTTTACTGGAGAAATTTTCTCCTCATCAATCTCTTCATTCCTCCTACCCCGAACTGTCCCCTAAAGAACTTCTCTTGATGCTCTAGAAAACAATGGATTAATCAATCAAGTGTAACCACCGACAAATATGAGATCTAAACTGTAAGGCAAAATGGAGCCCAGTGCTCCCTTTAAATAGGAAAAGCTTTGCCAAGAAGAACTGCAGGCGGAGGGAGGATCTTTGTCTAAAACTGACAGAAAACCATTGTGAAATCAAACAAGATGAGACCAGCTGGAAGGAGTGCCCAGGGTGGGAGGGTCTGAGGAAAGAGGACGGTGTCAAGAGCTGAAGCCTGAGGCAGGCGGGCAGGAAGTCCTGCTTTCCCCTGTCCGGCAGAAGCTCTCCGCCTCCCCCTGGATGGTTCTGTTCATCCGTGCCACCCTGACTGTTTGGGCCTCAGCTGCTTTGTGGCCACAATCAATACATTTGGAATTGGAAAGAGTCTGACAGGTTATCCATTACGAATAATACCTTTTACCAATGAAGGTGAACAGGGCCCCAATGGCCAAGCAACATGCAGAGGACACAAGGGACAGACGTCTCGCCCCCGAGTCGTCAACTCCACCCACAGCGTGGTTCTCTCCTGAGGTCCTCTCCTTGTAACCGCCAGCTACCACTCCGTCCCTTCAAGAGATGGCAGGACCCACACCTGCCTGGAGCAGCACCTCCACAGCTGCTGGAGCGCGGGGGCAGCTGCAGGGGAGGCACCTACCGACGGCCCAGCAAGACCTACGCGGAGGCCGAGGGCCAGAGGCCAGGCTAGAGAAGGTATGGATGTGTGCGAGGGCCCAGGCACACTGACGCGCTATGCATCCGGACCTCCTGCAGAGAGAGAAGGGGCCAGAGCAGCACCCCAGGGACCAAGGAGTGCAGCCACAGTGGACGGGGCACATGCTGAACCCCCGTGAGAGAGAGAGCACAGGGCGTGTGCCAGGAGTCAGCGCCTTGGCCCGCACGTGGCAGGGAATGCAGGCGCCTTCACAGGACCACCCTGGAGAGAGTTCACAGCTCCAAAGGCTTGGAATTTATTCTTACGGTTCAGACGGCTGACGCAGCTACGGAAGATTAGTACCTATCACAAAGTTTTAGAAAAATGTGTTCAAATTACACAAAATGTGTTTTCTTTGTTTCACAATAACTAAGCTCTTTTGTAAGATGTCAGAATACTGCCTTTGCAAGGAGCCAGCCACAGACCCCTCTCATCAGGAATCACGAGTCTGAGAAAAGTGACTCTTCCCACAAGCCCTCTTAACCCCAAATACAGTTCTCTAAATAGGAGCTCTAGCTGATATAGGAGCACAGGCTGATAACCAGGAAGTATAACGCTGTAAAAAGAACAACCATTAAATTTTAACTTAATGCAACTTGAGACTTTAGAGGATTAAAAAGGGAGCCCTTTAAGAACACGTGGATGTGGCCGCGTGCAGTGGCTCACACCTGTAATCCCAGCACTTTGGGAGGCCGAGGCGAGTGGATCACGAGGTCAGGAGATCGAGACCATCCTGGCTAACACAGTGAAACCCCGTCTCTACTAAAAATATTTTTTAAAAAAATTAGCCAGGCGTGGTGGCGGGCACCTGTAGTCCCAGCTACTTGGGAGGCTGAGGCAGGAGAATGGCGTGAACCTGGGAGGCGGAGCTTGCAGTGAGCTGAGATCGCGCCACTGCACTCCAGCCTGGGTGACAGAGTGAGACTGTCTCAAAAAAAAAAAGACATCAAGGCCATCCTGGCCAACATGGTGAAACCCCATCTCTGCTAAAAATACAAAAATTAGCTGGGCATGGTGGCGCGTGCCTGCAGTCCCAGCTACTTGGGAGGCTGAGGCAGAATCGCTTGAATCCAGGAGGCAGAGGTTGCAGTGACCCGAGATCGTGCCACTGCACTCCAGCCTGGGCAACAAAGCAAGACCTAGTCTCAAAAAAAAAAAAAAAAGAACATTCAGATGCAAAAGACAGGAAGACAAGTGAGACCACAGATTGAGTCTGAGAAAACCTGAGGAGCGGGGTGGGCCAGAGCGGGGGTCGTGTGGTACAGGCGGGGATCATGTGGTGCAGGCGATAGCAGTCTGGTCAGAAGCAGCGGTGAGATCCTGGCTGTTCCTGAAAGTGAGACGAGCGGATTTCCTGCTGGATGGGGCGTGCAGGTTGACACTCGCACAGAGCACTGGCCAAGCACTAGGACGCTGGAGTTGCCTGCATGGGAAGGCTGACAGAGGCTGGTGGGCTGAGTGGCAGGGAAGCAGCTGGACAGGTGATGCAGTTCCAGAGAGAAGCCCAAGGTGCCCAGTGTACAGCTGGTATCGGATGAGATCACCAGGAAGTCAGCAGAGAGAGGGGAGGGGCCAAGGACAGAACCCTGGGGGGCTTCGACATGAGGTGGCTGCGGGGAAGAGAAGCCAGCAGGGTGCAGAGAAAGCCAGGACTTCCATCCTGGAAGGTGGATGACAACCAGGAATTACCTACTGGCTTTTGCCACGTGGAGACCACAGGTGGCCTTGACAAAAGCAGCAGTTTTGAGGGAGGCAGGGGACAGAAGTCTGATTGGCCTTTTGAGAATGAGAGAGGTGGGGTGGAGACAGAAGAGAGAACCCTGAAGAGTTCTTGTTGCTGTTGTTTTTGAGACAGGGTTTCACTCTGTCGGCAGCCTGGAGCACAGTGATGCCATCACGGCTCACTGCAGCCTCCACCTCCTGGGCTCAACGGATCCTCCCAGTCTCCCAAGCAGCTGGGACTACAGGCACATGCCACCACGCCCGGGAGATGTTTGAAATCATTTTCACCAAAGTGTTTTGTTTAAAAAACAAAACAAACAAAAACACCACTCATCTTGGCATAGACGGAAAGCTGGCCCATTCCCCACGGGTGCTCACATCACACTCGTCAACTGATCCAGCTGTTAGGGGGCAGGGTATCACCCAGAGATCACAGAGGCTGGAGACAAGTTCATTCTCACTGGCTTAAGTGTTAACAATAAACCATAAATTAAATTCTAGGGTGACAAAATAAACGCCCCAAGCTTCAATAAGCAATTGTGAGAACACAGCCAATTCCTTGAAACGAACATTATTGGTGCTTGCTGCATCTGTGCCTCCACCCAGTCAGTAGGGGGTGTTTCTCTGGAATGGGCTCACCCACCCCCCTCAGGCTCCCACTGCACCAGTCCACACCAGTTCTCTTAAGAACTGTTCATTTACACACCATGAAAAAAGCAGCAACCCACAGATATAGCTATTTTTTTTCTTTTCTTTTCCTTTTCTTTTTTTTTTTGAGGCAGGGTCCCCCAGGCTGGAGAGCAGCAGTGGCGTGATCACGGCTCACTCCCTGCAGCCTTATCTCCTGGGCTCAAGTGATTCTCCCCTCAGTCTCCCGAGTAGCAGACTACAGGTGCGCATTATCATGTGGCTAATTTTTTTTTTTTTTTTTGAGATGGAGTCTCACTCCATCACCCAGGCTGGAGTGCACTGGCGCGATCTCGGCTCACTGCAACCTCTGCCTCTCGGGTTCAAGCATTTCTCCTGTCTCAGCCTCCCGAGTAGCTGGGATTACAGGTGCCTGCCACCATGCCTGGCTACTTTTTCTATTTTTAGTAGAGACGGGTTTCACCTTCTTGGTCAGGCTGGTCTCAAACTCCTCACCTCAGGTGATCCACCTGCCTTGGCCTCCCAAAGTGCTGGGATTACAGGGATGAGCCACCATGCCTGGCAGTGGCTAATTTTTTATTTTTTGTAGACACGGGGTCTTGCTATGTTGCCCAGACTGGTTTCAAACTCCTGGGCTACAGTAATCTTCCCACCTTGGCCTTCCAAAGTGTTGGAATTACAGGCATGAACCACTATACCTGATCCTAATTGTTTTTTCTTTGGTAGAAATTAATAATTTTACTCACTGGTTTTTCTTAATTTTTTCCTTTTTTTAACTGATTTTCGAGTAAAAACTTTAGTTTTGACAAAGAAAATATATTCATAAACATATACACTTTTATTAAGTCAACTACTGGTATTATATTAAATATATATCTTCTAATATGCAGAATATATATATTCTAATATGCAGATTTTGCAGCTCGCCAAACAGAGGTATTTAAGATCACGCACAGATCAATTTTCAAAGACAAAAGGCAGCACACAGTGCAGGGAAATCTAGTCCCAGAGGGAGCCCCCATGTCAGCTGGGCAGGACCCTTCACACCAGCAGCACTGATGGGGGCGGTGCCCACCCCGGCCCCAGGAACAGGATCACAGGAAATGAGCTCAGCTGCTGCACTGGAGCAGGATGAGAAATCGAGAATGAATCCTCACTCCTTCCTAGTACAACGCCAGAGTAGTCCTAAATATATACAGAGACGCTCTCCCACACACTCCAAACTGGGCTGGGACCGCCAGGACAGGAAGGACGACGTGACAGCCAGGAAGAGAACCGTCTACGCATCTTCCTCCTGGAAGGCCTCGGACTTGTCTCTGTTTAACTGAGGCGGAAGGACAGAAAGGAGCCCCAATGCTCTGGCCTCTAGAGTTCTGTAACAGAGTCCGTCCTAACTTACTCTTCCTGGCTCTCTAACCCTTGAGACTGAGACTTGCTAATACACTTCTAGAAGACAGTGGGCACAGCACTCATAACAAAGTACAGTGATTAAACGGTATCTACAGTGATTAAATGCTTCCTACCCCGCATTAAGAAGCAGGGAGGAAGAGTTTTGAATGTAAGAAAGTAAAAAGTTTGCAAAGCATCAGTAAATAAGGTTCAAAGGAGAGCAACTTAACTTCAGTAATTAGTAATTTGGGGAATTTTTAGCAACTATTCGTAACATCCACCAAACTCTTAGGATTAATTCAAGCTTATAACATAGTCCTTCCTATTTGACAGACTTGAGAAGGCAGGATCTTTTAATACTTTCAATTTGCTTTTTATTCTCTTATACCCTAAATATTTGATGAAATATTCAACCCACCCATTGCTAATGGCAGCTTCCACTTTCTGAACATCTACATATGGGTCAGGGATGTTATATAATAATATCTCTACAGGCATATGGTCTCAAAACTCCTGGGCTCAAGTGATCTGCCCACCTCGGCCTTCCAAGGTGCTGGGATTACAGGCGTGAGCCACTGGGTCCAGTCTAAATGTTTGGTATTTTTAATCCCTTGTTATTTGTCTTTACTCCCCACATAAGACTTTTTACGTGTCAGTTTTAAAATTCAGAGGCAAAAATTAACTCCACTCATTTTTCTTGTTGCTCTTAACTTAATCTAGTAGACAGTATATTTTGAAATTTCTTTGTGTCACTGCTGTGAATTCAGAAAAGTCTGGTTTTCTTTCTGCACAGTAAAATACCAGCTGCTCCTAATGTCATGATTAGTACCATCTTCTGAAGAATTGACAGTCCATGCAGCAAGTATCATTTTAGTTTAAGGTGAACTGTGTCTTTCAAATTACTTGAGAACTGGTAATTCAAGTAAGCAATTCTTTCACTCTCCTGTAAGCAAGCACACTGTCCGATGTGCCACCCCTCTCCCCCACCAATTGCACTTGGATCGCTTAGGCTAACATATGTGTACCCTACGGCACAGAAATTCCCTCCCAGGTAAACACCCAAGAGAAGTGAGCAGGTATGTCTACCAAAAAGACACACACAAGAATGTTCAAAGCAGCTTTACTCATAATTATCAAAAACTGTAAACTACCCAAATGTCCACTCACAGAAGAGTGGATAACCTGTAGTATTCATGTAATGAACTAGTACACATTAAAAAAAAAAAAAGAAAAAAAAAAGGAGGAGCCAGGTGTGGTGGCTCATGCCTGTAATCCCAGCACTTTGGGAAGCCGAGGCGGGTGGATCACCTGAGGTCAGACGTTCAAGACTAGCCTGGCCAACATGGTGTAACCCTGTCTCTACTAAAAATACAAAAATTAGCCAGGCGTGGTGGCACATGCCTATAGTCCCAGCTACTAGGGAGGCTGAGGCAGGAGAATCGCTTGAACCCAGGAGGCAGAGGTTGTAGCAAGCCACTGCACTCCAGCCTGGGTGACAGAGCGAGACTCTGTCTCAAAAAAAAAAAAAAAGGATGAACTCCTGTCATACACAACACTGATGAATCACACGGATGTATGTGAAGCTAAAAAAAAACCAGACACAAAATACTGCAGGATTCCATTACATGAGACTCAGAAACAGACACAACCCCAAGATCATGCAATGGGGGAAAACAGCATCTTCAAATGGTACTGGGGTGGCTGGACAACCACATGCTGAAGAATAACTGTGCGCCCCTACCTCACACCATATACAAAAAAATTAACTCAAAATGAATTGAAGGCCTACATGTAAGAACTCAAACTACGAAACACTTAAAACACGGCTGGGCGTGGTGGCTCACACCTATAATCCCAGCACTTTGGGAGGCCGAGGTGAGTGGATCATGAGGTCAAAAGATCAAG
Organism: Homo sapiens; assembly: GCF_000001405.40. NCBI lineage: Eukaryota > Metazoa > Chordata > Mammalia > Primates > Hominidae > Homo > Homo sapiens. The sequence continues at coordinate 103,026,197 of NC_000014.9, forward strand.
ACCATCCTGGCCAACATGGTGAAACCCCGTCTCTACTAACAAAAATTAGCTGGGCATGGTGGCACATGCCTGTAGTCCCAGCTACTCAGGAGACTGAGGCAGGAGAATCGCGTGAACCTGGGAGGCAGAGGTTGCAGTGAGCCGAGATCACGCCATTGCATTCCAGCCTGGTGACAGAGTGAGGTTCCGTCTCAAAAACAAAACAAAACAAAACAAAAAACCACATGTAAATCTTTGTGGCCTTGGATTAGGCAATGGATTCTTACAGGTAAAACATGAAAAACAGGTAAGTTAAACTTCACCAAAATAAAAATCATTCTGTTTTTTAACTACAAACACCAAACCTGAACAAAAAAATGTTCAAAAGAAGCCATTAAGAAAGATGGCTGGGCATGGGTGGCTCACACCTGTAATCCCAGCACTTTGGGAGGCTGAGGTGGGCAGATCACAAGGTCAAGAGATCGAGACCATCCTGGCTAACACAGTGAAACCCCGTCTCTACTAAAAATATTTTTTAAAAAATTAGCCAGGCATGGTGGCGGGTGCCTGTAGTCCCAGCTACTCAGGAGGCTGAGGCAGGAGAATGGCGTGAACCCGGGAGGCGGAGCTTGCAGTGAGCTGAGATCGCGCCACTGCACTCCAGCCTGGGCGACAGAGTGAGACTCCGTCTCATTAAAAAAAAAAAAAAAGTGAGAAGACAAACAACAGAAGCGTAGGAAATATCTGAAATCACATATCTGATAAGGGACTTACATCCAGAATACACAAAAAGCTCTCCCAACTCACTCATAAAGACAAATATCCCAATTTAAAAATGGGCAAAGGATCTGAATCATCATTTCTCCAAAGAAGATATATTAATACAAATGCCCAATATGCACAGAAAAAGATGCTCAAAGTCATTCGCAATCAGGGAAATGCAAATCAAAACTGTAACCAGACCTCACTTCACACCCACTAGGGTAGCTACAATAAAAAAGACAAATCATAACAAGCGTTGGCCATGAGGTGGAGAGATGAACTCTTACACACTGCTAGTGAGATTGTAAAATGATGTAGCCTGGCAGTTCCTCAAAGTGCTAAACACAGTTACTACATGACCCGTCATTCCACCCCTAGGTATATAAACAGGAGAAATCAAAGCATGTCTGCACCAAAACTTGCACACTGCATGTTTACTAAGAACCAGGTTTTAAAAAATTTAATATAAAAAAAATTTGTACATGAATATTCACAGCAGCATCATTCGTAATAGTCAAAAAGTGAAAACCGAAATGTCCATCAACTGATAGCTAAATAAACAGAATGTGGTCTACCTAGACAATGGAATACTACTATTCAGCCAGAGAAAGTAATTAAATAACAATACAACATGGATGAACCTTGAAAAGATTATGCTAAATGAAAGAAGCCAGCTACAAAAGACCACGTATAGTATGATTCCATTTATATAAAATGTCCAGAATAGGCAAATCCATAGAGACAAAAAGTATATTAGTGGTTGCCAGGGGCTGGGGAGAGGGAATGCTAAGTACTGCTAATGGGTACAAGGCTCAGGGGCAATGAAAATGCTCTAGAATTAGACAGCGGTGAGAGCTGCACAAATGTGTGAATAGAGTAAGAACCAATAAATCATACACTTAAATCAAAAAGCCAGGCGTGGTGGATCACGCCTGTAATCCCAGCACTTTGGGAGGCCAAAGCAGGTGGATCACTTGAGGTCAGGAGTTCCAGGCCAGCCTGGCCAACATAGTGAAACCCCATCTCTACTAAAAATACAAAAATTAGCCAGGCGTGGTGGTGCGCACCTGTAGTCCCAGCTGCTTGGGAGGCTGAGGCAGGAGAATTGCTTGAACCTGGGAGGCAGAGGTTGTGATATGCTGAGATTGTGCCACTGCACTCCAGCCTGGGTGACAGAGCAAGACTCCTTCTCAAAAATAAGTAAATAAAACAATAATAAAAAACCAAGCACAACGAATCTGTGATATGGGTCACAACAGTGTGTACCACACATGAGGGGGTCACAACAGAGACTACTTGGGTGCACGATTCATTAATTTATTCAAAAAGTATTAAAGGTATTTAAAAATATTCCTGAAATGAAGCAAGACATTGTGGCTACGAGTAAGCACCTGAGTCCTTCAGACTTCACCGCTTACTGTGTTGCAAAATACTGAGCATGAACTCCAGTTTCCTTGTGGGTAAATTAAGGATAATCCCAGAACTGTGGGTGAATGTGACAGTGGATGTCAACAATGAGCAGTGCCAGGCTCTGAGACAGCCCCAGCACGCAGAGCCAGCCTAATCGTTTTGTGATCACATACGCATCACAGAAGATGTGCTGGGCTTCCCCTTTCCCACAGAAACAGCATGGAAGCCCCTCCCAGGAACACGCCCGTCTGCAGTGCAGCTCAGTGCCTGGTGCACAGCTGGCGCTCAACAGGTGCATGTGAGTGAAAAGAAACCCACAGCTTCCAGAAGGTTCTTCCTACGTCACCTGCCTCCTTCTATATTCTGTGCCCATGAACTTGGACATCCAGAACATACTCTCCTATCTAAATACAAGTACATGCAATTCTCCCTTAATAGGGCTGTTATTTATTTGTATTTTATCTTTTATTATTTTTAAACTCATTCAACTGGAAAATACTAGTGACAAGAAAAACAAATTCATGCCAGGGACTTTTTTTCATCCTAGCATAGATCCTGAGATCAGCAGAGTTGATCTGAGTTGCTGAAACCTTCTGCATATAAACCATTTTCAGCAGGGTTCTTAACAACTGTCCAGAGCCAAGTACTGAATTATCTGAGTCCAACTGCCAATCTTTCTAAATTGAATAGTCAATATGTCAGGAATACTATGGTGTTAAAAAAGAAAAAAAGGATAAAAGTAAACATTTTTATGGGAAATTTTCTCTTATCCAAAATTCCTTCAATCTTTTACCTTATTTAGACATTGACTCTGCATTTCTGCATGAGGAATAAGTATGTCTCTGGAAGAAAAAATACTGTTGCTAATTATATGAAACTTCTAGGACCTAATCCAGCACCAGAGAAGTGAGGCTAAAGAAATGCTAAATTACGCTTGTAATCCCAGCATTTTGGGAGGCCGAGGTGGGTGGATCACGAGGTCAGGAGATCGAAACCATCCTGGCTAACACGGTGAAACCCTGTCTCTACTAAAAAATACAAAAAAATTAGCTGGGCGTGGTGGCAGGCACCTGTAATCCCAGCTACTGAGGAGGCTGAGGCAGGAGAATGGCATGAACCTGGGAGACGGAGCTTGCAGTGAGCCGAGATTGTGCCACTGCACTTCAGCCTGGGCAACAGAGCAAGACTCTGTCTCAAAGGAAAAAAAAAAAAAAGAAATGCTAGATTGGCCAGGCGTGGTGGCTCATGCCTGTAATCCCAGCACTTTGGGAGGCTGACATGGGCGGATCACGAGGTCAAGAGATCGAGAGCATCCTGGCCAACATGGTGAAACCCCGTCTCTACTAAAAATACAAAAAAAAATTAGCTGTGTGTGGTGGTGTGCACCTGTAGTCCCAGCTACTTCGGAGGCTGACGCAGGAGAATTGCTTGAACCCAGGAGGCGGAGGTTGCAGTGAGCCGAGATCGCGCCACTGCACTCCAGCCTAGTGACAGAGGGAGACTCCATCTCCAAAAAAAAAAAAAAAAAAAAAAAAAGAAATGCTAGATTGGAGCCCTCAGTGGCCAGACACGCATGTGAGCGGGAAGCAATATTCAAAACAGCAATAGCAATCCATCCAGCAACTCCAGCCCTCCCAGCACCTGAGGGGCTCTCCAGCCAGCAACTCCAACCCTCCCAGTGCCTAACTGGCTCTCACAGGGTGGCTGCTCCTGAACCAGAGGAAGGGCCACCAAGCAAACCGCCCTCAGAGTGAGGCGCTCACTTTCCTTCCTGAACAGAGGAGAAGCGTGGAGCGGCCAGCCCGGCCTCACCTTGCCCGACAGGAGTGACCAGTAGTCGCCCATCTCCATGGGGCGTGCCCAGCACGGTATCAAAGCCCTCTCATGGCCAATGAGGTTGAAGGTGGAAATGGTACCTCTTTTTAAAACATTTAAGAATGTTTAGAAGAATCTGGTTCTTTTAAAAAAGAGGCAAAGAAAGTTTGAGGAGCATAGTTTGGATAACAATGGCTTCACTCATTTTAAATGTTATTTATTTCAGCCTCAACAATTAAATGTGTTCAGGTGGCCAGGCACAGTGGCTTATGCCTGTAATCTCAGCACTTTGGGAGACCAAGGTGTGTGGATCACCCGAGGTCAGGAGATCAAGACCAGCCTGGCCAACATGGTGAAACCCCATCTCTGCTAAAAATATAAAAATTAGCTGAGTGTGGTGGTGCACGCCTGTAGTCCCAGCTACTTGGGCGGCTGAGGCGGGAGGATCACTTCGACCTGGGAGGTGGAGGTTGCAGTGAGCCCAGATCCCATCACTGCACTCCAGCCTGGGTGACAGAGGGAGGCTCCATCTCAAAAAAAAGTGTTCAGGGCTGGCTCACACCTATAATCCCAGCACTGTGGGAGCTGAGACAGGTAGATCACTTACGCCTAGATGTTCCAGACCAGCCTAGGCAACATGGCGAAAGCCCGTCTCTACAAAAAAATTCACAAAAATTAGGTCAGTGTGGTGGCATGCACCTACAGTCCCAGCTACTCGAGAGGCTGAGACGGGAGGATGGCTTGAGCCCAGGAGGTGGGAATTGCAGTGAGGCAAGACTGAGCCATTGCACTCCAGCCTGGGTGACACGGTGGCACCCTGTCTCTACACACACACAAAAGTGTTCAGATTGGCTGCCAGACTACCCACCTCCAATATGTCACATATCCAACTGAACCTAAGCATTTCTGAGTTACTTTTTTTTTAATTAAAAAAAATATTTTATGCTGATATTTTTCAGTATTATAAAAACGCCGGCATGAAGGAAATGAAATAAAAAAAGTACATGACCCAGACACCAAGCAGAGAAAGATGGCCAGTGTGCTCCTGTATCGTCATCTTTGGCTCACCATCCCCACGTAAACGCAGTAATAAACAGGAAGGAAGGATGTTTTCACAGAAGACTTGAAAATGTTCTTCTGATTTCATGAAAGTAATTGGTAAGCCAGGAAAACTACCCTTTTCACCAGATGCCTAGAGATGAGACACTAAAATCAACAAATGAAAGAGCTTTCCAAATAATCAATAAAACTTTACGGCAAAGTCAGCAAATGTTTAACATTTTGCAAAAGGACATCTAGCTTTGTGCAGTCTGCATTTCCTTTCACAAGCTACAAGAGCTGTCAAAAATGCTTCTCCTTAAACAAACGCTGCAGTAAAAATACAAGATTTATACTACCAGGGTTTATTTGATTATGAAAATTGTACTTTTCCAGAACGTCTGGCGATTTCCAATTTGGGATGAGCCTGGTATTTCTCTACAGGCGCCCACACGCAGGCCTTTCCCCAGTGCTCTCAGCAGGAAGGGCCTGGGGCTCCCAACAGCACCAAGGCCCAGCCTCTGTGCAGCCTGATGTGCAGGTAGAATGCCCAACCCGTCTGGCTTCTAAGGGCTGGATTCCGGAAACCAACTAAAAAGCTGATGTACCAGAGACTACAGCATCACTCACATGGGTGGACAAGTATCAACTAATTTTTCTGAACTTCAATTAAAAAATCAAAAAGCTTAAGATCACATTTTAAAAAGTTGAGTCCTCACTAATTGTCAACTCCAAAGTGTCTCCAGTGAACAACTACTATAAGACCTGCCTTCTATTATTATTATTATTATTTTTTTTTTTTTAAGAAAAATGCCACAAGCCCAGGGCATCCTCACCCAGCAAGCAGCAGAGGGAGCCAAGAGCACCAGCCGGCGGCCAGCCTTGTGGCCTCAGGGCAGCGGCAGGTGTTTCTGATATGAAGGCCTGGAGAAGCAACACGTATTTCATTCACTTCTCCTTGTCCCCCTCTGCTGTCTCAGAGTGACAGATCCAACCTCTCATGCCCACCCACGAGGACCAAGGAGAAGGGAGGTAATAACGCACTTCTCGGCCTCTCTGCAACCCCGCGTGGGTGCACACTTGGGCCTCAGGCCTCACCAGCTCCTGACTGGAATATACTTTACCACTGCAACATCTGAAATGAAATCAGAAATGCCTATTTTTTTTTACATCGATTGAACCCCCAAATAGTTTATTTCCCACAAAATATACTGGGCCAATAGTATAGGAATGATCTGTCAAATGCCAAATTTGTCCAGCTAGGAAAACACTAGAAACCAGTTAAAACTTTTGAACAGGACAGGACAAATGCCAATTCTTCCACAAATAAACTGCAAAAAAAAAAAAAAAAAAAAAGGAGAGAGAAAGAGCTTACAGATTAAAAGAGATTAAGGAGGTGTACAATCCAAATGCCTATAAAACAAATCCACTTTTTTTTTTTTTTTTTTTTGAGACGGAGTCTCGCTCTGTTACTCAGTCTGGAGTGCAGTGGTGTGATCTAGGCTCATTGCGACCTCTGCCTCCCGGGTTCAAGCAATTCTCCTGCCCCAGCCTCCTGAGTAGCTGGGATTACAGGCATGCAGCACCACGCCTGGCTAATTTTTATATTTTAGTAGTTTCATCATGTTACCCAGGCTGGTCTCGAACTCCTGATGATCCACCTGCCTCAGCCTCCCAAAGTGCTAGGATTACAGGCATAATCCACCGTGCCCGGCCACAAATCCACTTTTTTTAAAAAAAAAAAAAAAGGAAATTTAAACAATGACTATTTTATGATATTGAGAAATTACTGTTATTTTTTAATGTCATATTATTATGGCTATGTTTTTAAAGAAAACCCTCATCTTCTTGAGACACACACTGAAATATTTACAAATGAGATGACAGATTTCTGGGATTTTCCTAAAATAATCCTTTTTGGGGAAAGGGAATAAAAGTGAAATACAACTGACTGTGAGTTGATAACTGTTGAAACTGGTGGTTCATTATTCTATATGCTCTACCTCTTTTTGTTTTATTTTTGTTTTTTTGTTTGTTTTGAGACGGAGTATCGCTCTGTCACCCAGGCTGGAGTGCAGTGGCGCCATCTCTGCTCACTGCAAGCCCCGCCTTCTGGGTTCACGCCATTCTCCTGCCTCAGCCTCCCAAGTAGCTGGGACTACAGGCGCCCACCACCATGCCCAGCTAATTTTTTTGTATTTTTAGTAGAGACGGGGTTTCACTGTGTTAGCCAGGATGGTCTCTATCTCCTGACCTCATGATCCACCCACCTCGGCCTCCCAAAGTGCTGGGATTACAGGTGTAAGCCACCGCACCCAGCTGCTCTACTTCTAAAGGTATCTGAAATTTCCTATTTGAAATTTTAAACTTTGAAATTTGAATAGGAAATATTACCAATTACTATCACTTTTATTAATACTCATTACACAAATACCACCATATAAAAAACTCAAGAGACTCCAAAAAAGGAAGAATGACATTTTCATACATGAGCTCATCACTATTTTCAATAATATTTAAATAGAGGATGGCTGAGTGACATGGGATACCAGCTAGAAGTTTCTGAAAAATTAGTTTCCTTTTACAAATACCCAAAACAGGAAGATTGAATCGAAATCACTACAAGCTCCTGCCCCAAACCACACAGCAGTTTCCTCACTGGAAGTGCATTGCGGCAGGAAAATCAGCCCCACGCCTGGTGTATTTGCCATGAGTACGTTTGTTTTATTGCTGGCATTCCTTCTGGGTCATAAAGCAGTTTTATGAGCTGATAAAACTTCTGTACGGATTCTACAAAGCTGCCATGGCAAACAGCTTCAGTATTCAGCGTAACATATCTGTCTCCATCTCCTGCATCTGATTGATACAGGCCCTTTGGACTGACTGGACTTTCAAAAAGTCTAAGATGGCGACTCTCTTACTGTTAAAATGTTTATCTAAGTCTTCCTTTCCAATGTGGTACTGGAGAACGCTTTAGGACAAACAAGAAACATTTAAAATTCTCCATACCAAACTTTATTTTTAAAAACATTTAAGGCCAGGCGTGATGGCTCATGCCTATTCCCAGCGTTTTGGGAGGCCAAGGTGAGAGGATCACTTGAGGCCAGGAGTTTGAGACAAACCTGGGCTCAACTAGTGAGACCTTATCTCATTTTAAAAATACACATTTAAAAAACAGTAAAAATGAAAACATTTAAAGTTCATTTTACTGAGAATATTTCTCTCAAATTATAAATGCAGTATTTTAAGCATCATTAAACTTGCAATACAATCAACAACAGGAATTACCATAGCCGGGAAAAAAATAAACTGTTAAGAAAAGGGAGGTAGAGGCTGGGTGTGGTGGCTCATGCCTGCAATCCCAACACTTTGGGAGGCTGAGGCAGGTGGCTCACATCACCTGAGGTTGGGAGTTCGAGACCAACCTGGCCAACATGGGGAAACCCCATCTCTACTGAAAATACAAAATTAGCCAGGTGTGATGATACACATCTATAATCCCAGCTACTTGGGAGGCTGAGGCAAAAGAATCCCCTGAACCCGGGAGGCGGAGGTTGCAGTGAGCTAAGATCGTGCCACTGCGCTCCAGCCTGGGCGACAGAGTGAGACTCCGTCTCCAAAAAAAAAAAAAAAAGAAAAGAAAAGGGATGTAGAGGGGACTATGAAATGGATACTAATTCAGAATAGCCTGGATTTTTAAAGTTTCTTTCCTTAATATTAAACAAAGTTTTATTTATATTACAAACCAATTATTATTAAAATGCTATTGGAGAAAAACTATAAAATCTGATCAACTGAGGATCTAGCAGTATTCAAAAATACCACCATTCAATAGGGGCAACTAGCAATTAATTCTATACTTTTTTTTTTTTTGAGACGGAGTTTCGCTTTTGTTGCCCAGGCTGGAGTGCAAGTGGCACAACCTCAGCTCACCACAACTTCCGCCACCCAGGTTCCAGCAATTCTCCTGGCTTAGCCTCCCAAGTAGCAGGGATTACAGGCATGTGCCACCATGCCCGGCTAATTTTGTATTTTTAGTAGAGACGGGGTTTCTCCTTGTCGGTCAGGCTGGTCTCAAACTCCTAATCTCAGGTGATCCGCCTGCCTCGGCCTCCCAAAATGCTGGGATTACAGGTGTGAGCCACCGCGCCCAGCTCAAGTGGTTTTATAAATGCATACTTTAAAATTTCACTCTCTAAAATATTTTTCAGGGGTCAGGTGTGGTGGTTTACACCTATAATTCCAGCACTTTGGGAGGCCTGCCAGGCAGGAGGATCACTTGAGCCCAGGAATTGGAGACCAGCCTGGGCAACATAGTAAGACTTCAACTCTACAAAATACTAAAAACAAGGCCAGGCAGCCAGGTGCGGTGGCTCATGCCGGTAATCCCAGCACTTTGGGAGGCCAAGGTGGGTGGATCACGAGGTCAGGAGATTGAGACCATCCTGGCTAACATGGTGAAACCCCATCTCTTCTAAAAATACAAAAAACTAGCTGGATGTGGTGGCGGGCGCCTGTAGTCCCAGCTGCTCAGGAGGCTGAGGCAGGAGAATGGCATGAACCCGGGAGGCGGAGCTTGCAGTGAGCGGAGATCACGCCACTGCATTCCAGCCTGGGTGACAGAGCAAGACTCTGTCTCAAAAAAAATAAAAAATAAAAAAAAATAAGGCCGGGCACAGTGGCTCACACCTGTAATACACCAGCACTTTGGAAGGCCAAGGCAGGAGGATCGCTTTAGCTCAGGAGTTCGAAACCAACCTGGGCAACATGACGAAACCTCATCTGTACAAAAATACAAAAATTAGCCAAGTGTGGTGGCACGCACCTGTAGTACCAGCTACTGGGGATGCTGAGGTGGAAGGATCACCTGAGCCCAGGAGGTCAAGGCTGCAGTGAGCCATGATCATGCCACTGTACTTCTGTCTCAAAAAATAAAAATAAAATAAAATATTCTTTTTTTTTTTTTTTTTGAGTGGGAGTCTCGCTCTGTCGCCCAGGCTGGACTGCAGTGGCGCGATCTCAGCTCACTGCAAGCTCCCCCTCCTGGGTTCACACCATTCTCCTGTCTCAGCCTCCCGAGTAGCTGGGACTACAGGCACCCGCCACCACGCCCGGCTAATTTTTTTTTGTATTTTTAGTAGAGACGGGGTTTCACCATGTTAGCCAGGATGGTCTCGATCTCCTGACCTCGTGATCCACCTGCCTCGGCCTCCCAAAGTGCTGGGATTATAGGCGTGAGCCACCGCGCCCAGCCTAAAATATTCTTAAACACAAGACTGAAAGCTTCTTAATTTTTCCTAAAACTACAGTAATTCTGACGCCAAAATATTCCAAAGATAACATACAAAAGTTAAAACCACAGACTATCTACAGACTACTCCTCATTTGGAAATACAGATTTAAAAAAATAATAAAAAAAATGAATACGATAGGCTCAACTGTGCAGTTAGAGAATAAAATGCCACAGCTAAGCATGTTTTATTCTGGGAATGCACATATGATTCTATAGCATGTATATCAATACAGACAATAAAAAATAGCCAAACTAAAATCACAGTTCTGATACATGCAATAACCATATTTCAACATTAATTTCTCATTAAAAGTCGTGACTTTTTATTTTATTTATTTACTGAGATAATGTCTGGCTCTGTCGCCCAGGCTGCAGTACAGTGGCACAATCATGGTTCACTGCAGCCTCGACCTCCCAGGCTCAAGCAATTCTCCTGCCTCAGCCTCCTGAGTAGCTAGGACACAGGCCCACACCACCACGTCCAGCTAATTTTTGTGTTTTTTTTTGTAGAGACAGGGTTTCGCTATGCTGCCCAGGCTGGACTCAGGTATATCTGCCCACCTCTTATAGGCGTGAGCCACCACGTCTGGCCATCTCAGACTTTTAGACTTATCAAAATCAGCTTTTAATGTTTAAAACAATCTTTCAAATTAACATTCAATTTTAATGGAAAAAGACTAGAACATGCTTTAAAATAAAAAAGCAAGAAAGACAATTATAATAAACTCGGGGGAAGGAGACTTTCACTTTTCGTGGCATACCTACTTCTTGTACTGCTTAAATTTATTTTATCATGAGCACGCTTTTCTTTTTCTTTTTGACAGCGTCTCACTGTGTCACCCAGGCTGGAGTACAGTGGCACAATCATAGCTGACTGCAGCTTCGACCTCCCCAGGCTCAAGCAATCCTCCCATCTCAGCCTCCCGAGCAGCCGGGATTACAGGTGTGCACCACCATGCCCAGCTAATTTTTGTATAATTTGTAGAATCGGGGCCTTGCTATGTCGCTCAGGCTTATTTTCATAATTAAAAAAAATTAAAATAAAAATAGTACTTGCCAAATGTACCTTTTGTGATTGGTATTCTGATACTTTCAATACATGGTATGAGGGGCAATCCCAAATCACAGAAAACCGCAGCTCAGCTTACCTACAACTGCCCTCCAAGGACGGGCCCAAAGCTAAGGGCTTTGTAAAGCCCAAAGCTAAGGGAGGTGGCTCAAGAGATATGTGGAGAGGAGTTTTTAAAGAATTTTAGGCCGGGCGTGGTGGCTCACACCTGTAATCCCAGCACTTTGGGAGGCCGAGGCAGGTGGATCACAAGGTCAGGAGATCGAGACCATCCTGGCTAACACAGTGAAACGCGTCTCTACTAAAAATGCAAAAAATTAGCTGGGCGTGGTGGCGGGCGCCTATAGTCCCAGCTACTTGGGAGGCTGAGGCAGGAGAATGGTGTGAACCCGGGAGACGGAGCTTGCAGTGAGCCGAGATCATGCCACTGCCCTCCAGCCTGGGCAACAGAGCAAGACTCCGTCTCAAAAAAAAAAAAGAATTTTAAAAACTGGCTGGGTGCGGTGGCTCATGCCTGTAATCCCAGCACTTTGGGAGGCCGAGGTGGGTGGATCACGAGGTCGAGAGATCAAGACCATCCTGGTCAACATGGCGAAACCCCGTCTCTACTAAAAATACAAAAATTAGCTGGGCATGGTGGCACATGCCTGTAGTCCCAGCTACTCGGGAGGCTGAGGCAGGAGAATAGCGTGAACCTGGGAGGAGGCGGAGCTTGCAGTGAGCCGAGATCACACCACTGCACTCCAGCCTGGACAACAGAGCGAGCGAGACTCTGTCTCAAAAAAAAAAAAAAAACCAAAACAACTTCAGCACTCCTTAATAGCCCCAAAGCGGGCAACCCAGATGTCCATCAGGAGTGGACAAAGAGAGGGTTGTGAATACAGTGGACACTACACAATAACCACAAGGAACTAAGCTGCAGCTATACCCAATCATGTGGATGGATCTCAGTTACTCTTACTTACAATTACTTTTTATTTTTTGAGACACAGTATCACTCTGTTCCCAGGCTGGAGTGCAGCAGCATGAGCTCGGCTTACTGCAAACTCCACCTCCTGGGTTCAAGCAATCCTCCCACCTCAGCCTCCCGAGTAGCTGAGACTACAGGTGAGCACCACCATGCCCAGCTAATTTTTCTATTTTTTGTAGAGACGGGGGGGGGGGGCGGGTCTCATTATGTTGCCCAAGCTGGTCTCGAACTCCTGGACTCAAGTGATTCGCCCACCTCAGCCTCCCAAAGTACTGGGATTACAGGCTACAATTACCTTTTATTATGGTAAAATATACGTAACATAAAATGTACAATTTTAACCGTTTTTTGAGATTGACCAAGAAAAAAAACAGCAGCAACTCAAATTGCTAGGATGGAAATAAAAGAAGGGACACTACTGACATTAACAGAAGTAAAGAAGATTATTAAGAAAAACTATGAACAACTGTATGCCAACAAATTAGATAATCTAGGTGAAATGGACGAATTTATAAAAAGACACAAACTACCAAAATTGACTCTTGAAGAAAGAGAAAATGTTAATAGATCTACAACAGGCACAAAGATTGAACTAGTAATCAAAAAAATACCAAGAAAGCTATCCAGGCCTGGACAGCTTCACAGGTGCATCTACCAAACATTTAAATAAGAGTTATTACCAATTCTTCACACTCTTCCAGAAAAAGGAGAACACTTCCTAAATCATTCTATAAGGCCAGTATTATCTTGATACCAAACCAAAAAAAAAAAAAAAAAAAAGACATACAAGGAAAGAAAACTAGAATCAATTACCTTTATGAATAGATGCCAAAATCTTTAACAAAATACAATACTAGCAAACGAAATTCACAAACACAGAGAAAGAATTATATACCATGATCAAGTGGGATTCATCCCAGGAATGTGAGGTTGGTTCAACAAACAAAAACCAATTAATGCAATACACCATATCAACAGAAGAAAACGAGCCACACAACTATCTCAATGGATGCAGAAAAATCACGACAAAATCCAACACCCTTTCACATCAAAAACTTAACAAACTAGAAATAGAAGGAAACTTCCTCAACCTGAAAAGGGGCATTTATGAAAACCCGCAGCTAATGCCACACTTAATGGTGAAGGCTACACGCTTTCTCCCTAAGATCAGAAGAAAGACAAGAATGTCCCTAGTGCTGTTTCTACCCTACACTGTACTGAAGGTTCTAGGCAGGGCAAGTAGACAACAAAAAGAAATTAAAGGTATCCAAGTTGAAAAGGAAGAAGCAGAACTATCTGTACTCACAGAGATAATTTTATATATAAAATTTATATGATTTTTTATGTAAAAATTCTAATGAATTCACTAAAAAAACTACTAAAACTAATTAAAAAGTTCAGCAATTTTGCAGGATAAAAGATCAATATATAAAAATCAATTTACCTCAGGAATAAATTTAAGAAAGTAAGTGCAACTCTTACCCCTGCACTGTGAATTTAATTAATGCCACTGAATTGAACACGTAAAAATAGATAAAGTGGCCAGGCGCAGTGGCTCACGCCTGTAATCCCAACACTTTGGGAGGCCAAGGTGGGTGGATCGCCTGAGGTCAAGCGTTCGAGACCAGCCTGGCCAACATGGTGAAACCCTGTCTGTACTAAAAATACAAACATTAGCCAGGCGTCGTGGCGGGTGCCTGCAATCCCAGCTACTCGGGAGGCTGAGGCAGGAGAATCGCTTGGACCCGGGAGGCAGAGGTTGCAGTGAGCCAAGATTGTGCCACTGCACTCTAGCCTGGGCGACAGAGCAAGACTCCGTCTCAAAAAAAAAGTTAAAGCAGCAAACTTTATGTATTTTTACCCCAATTAAAAAGAAAACTAAACAACTCTCACTCTGAAAACTGAAACTTTTTTTCAATTAAATTTAAATTTATTTATTTATTTGAGATGGAGTCTCACTCTGAAGCCCAGGCTGGGGTGCAGTGGCGTGATCTCGACTCACTGCAACCTCTGCCTCCCGGGTTCAGGCGATTCTTTCACCTCAGCCTCCCGAGTAGGTGGGATTACAGGCGGCTGCCAACACACCCAGCTAATTTTTGTATTTTTGTAGAGACAGGGTTTCACCATGTTGGCCAGGCTGGTCTTGAACTCCTAACCTCAGGTGATCCGCCCACCTCGGCCTCCCAAAGTGTTGGGATTACAGGCGTGAGCCACCATAGCCATTCTTTATTTGAATTTTAAAAGTTCTAAATAAGTGGAAAGGCATCTTATGATCGTGGGACAAGAGACTTTAATACTGTTAAGATGGCAATACTCCCCAAATTGACCTACAGATTCAATGAAATCCTTGTAAGAATCCCAGCTGGCTTACTATTAGAAACTGACAAGCTGTTCCTAAAATGCATATGGAAACTCAAAGAACTTAGAAAGAATTGTCAAAACAATCTTGAAAAACAACAAAGTTGGAGGACTCATACTTCCTAATTTGAAAACTTACTACAAAGCAACAGTAACCAAGACAGTGTGGTACTGGCATAAGAAGAGACACATATATTAATGGAATACAACCGAGAGTCCAGAAAGAAACTCATACATTTATGGTCAACTGATTCTGACAAGGATTCTAAGACCATTCAACGGGGGAAAGAATATAGTCTGTTCGACAAACATTGTTGGAACTGGTTATCTGCGTGCAAAAGAATGAATGTAACCCCTCTACCTCGTATCATAGCAAAAATTAATTCAAAATTGATCAAAGAACTAAACGTAAATGCTAAAACTAAAAAACTCTTAGAAGAAAACACATGTATAAAAGAAAACACAGGTATGAAACTTTGTGACCTTGCACTGCCAATGGATTGTTAGATATGACAGCAAAAAAAACAACAAAAAATATTTAAATTTGTTTTCCTGCACAGAAGGGGCTCTAGGCAGCCATGGCGCCCAGCCAGAATGGCATGGAAGCCCCACTTCCACAAGGACTGGCAGCTGGCTCGTGGCCACATGGTTCAACCAGCCGGCCCGAAGATCCGCAGATGCAAGGCCGGGCAAGCTAAAGTGCCCCACATTGCCCTGCACACCGCGTTGGGACCCATCCGGCCCATCGTGTGGTGCCGCACAGTGCGAAATCACACCAAGGTGCGCACCGGCCGCAGCTGCAGCTTGGAGGAGCTCAGGGTGGCTGGCATTCACAAGAAGGTGGCCCAGACCATTAGCATCTCTGTGGATCCAAGGAGGCAGTACGAGTCCACCGAGTCCCTGCAGGCCAAGGTGCGGCGGCTGAAGGAGCACCACTCCAACCTCACCCTCTACCCCAGGAAGCCCTCGGCCACCAGGAAGGGAGACAGTTCTGCTGAAGAACTGAAACTGGCCACCCAGCTGACAGGACCGGTCATGCCCATCCCAAACGTCTGTAAGAAGGAGAAAGCCCAAGTCATCACCGAGGAGAAGAATTTCAAAGCCTTCGCTAGTCTCCACATGGTCCATGCTGACGCCCGGCTCTTTGGCATACCGGCAAAGAGACAAGGAAGCTGAAGAACAGGATGTTGAAGACAAAAAATAAAGCCCTCTTGGGACTTGTAATAAATCAGCAGTTTAAAAAAAATAAGTTAAATTAGACTTCATCAAAATTAAGAACACCTGTGCTTCAAAGGATACCATCAAGATAGTGAAATGACAACCCACAAAATGGGAGAAAATATGTGCAAATCGTATGTCCAATATGGGGCTTGTATCTAGAATATACAGAGAACTCTTAAAATTCAACAAAAACACAACCCAATTTTTTTTTTTTTTGAGACGGAGTCTCACTCTGTCACCCAGGCTGGAGTTCAGTGGCGTGATCTCAGCTCACTGCAAGGCTCCGCCTCCCGGGTTCACGCCGTTCTCCTGCCTCAGCCTCCCGAGTAGCTGGGACTACAGGCGCCTGCCACCATGCCTGGATAATTTTTTGTATTTTTAGTAGAGATGGGGTTTCACCATGTTAGCCAGGATGGTCTCCATCTCCTGACCTCGTGATCTGCCCGCCTCGGCCTCCCAAAGTGCTAGGATTACAGGCGTGAGCCACTATGCCCGGCCAAGACAACCCGATTTTTTAAATGAGTAAAGAACTTGAATAGACATTTATCCAAAGAAGATATACAAATGTCTAATTAACACATGAAAAGATGTTCAACAACATCCGCTATTAGGGAAAAGCAAATCAAAACCACAATGAGAAACGACTTCACACCCACTAGGACAGAAAACAACAAGTGCTGGCAAGGATGCGGAGAAACTGGAACCCTTGTGGGCTGCTGGTGGGAATGTAGACCACTGTAGAAAACAACCTGGCAGTTCCTCAGGATGCTCAACACAGAGCCTTCACACGACCCAGCAATTCCACTCTGAGGTATACACTCGAGGGACATGAAAACATATCCCACAAAAACTTGTACATTAATGTTCAGAGAATAGGTATTAAAAATAAACAAAAGGTACTTTGGGAGGCCCAGGCAGGTGGATCACCTGAGGTCAGGGGTTTGAGACCAGCCTGGCCAACTAGGCGGCCAAAAGCCACCTCTACTAAAAATACAAGAATTAGTCAGGCGTAATCCCAGCTATTTGGGAGGCTGAGGCAGGAGAATCGCTTGAACCCAAGAGATGGAGGTTGCAATGAGCCAAGATCACGCCACTGCACTCCAGCTTGAGAGAGAGAGCAAGACTCCATCTGAAAACAAACAAAAACACCAAATAAATAAACAAAAGGTAAACAGATGTCCATCAACTGATGAATGGATAAACAAAATGAGAGCTGTCCACACAACGGAGTACTATTTGGCCATAAAAAGGGATAATGCACTATATACGCTACAACATGGGATGAACCTTGACAACATGATGTCAGTCATGAAAGACCCATATTATATGACGCCACTTACAGAAAATACCCAGAACAGGCAGATATATAATGAAAGTAGATTTGTGGTTGCTCAGGGCTGGGGTGGGGGTAGAGTTGGGGATAATAGCTAAAGGTTACAGGGTTCCTTTGGCGGTGATGGCGAAGATGGTTGCATGACTCGACGAATATACTAAAACACACCAACACTGAACTGTATGCTTTAAACAGGTAAATCATGCATGACTTGAATCTCGATAAAGCTGTTACAAAAAAAAAAAGGAAAAAAATTATCTGGTAATTGTAAATGGCAGAGAAGCCTTTCTTCTTCACTAAAATAAACTATTAGCAGTATAATTCAACTTAAATTTCTCTATATTGCTGACAGCTGGTTTCTGTTTAAAACTCCTCCTAACATATTATGTCACAAGGATTATCAAAACTTCATAAACACAAATCTTGCTTTTTAAAAAAAATAATTAAATATTTGTAGAAGGAAATATATCCAGGCTTATCATTTTGGTTACATAAAACCATGTCAATGTCTGATGTTTTGAGAAATATTTCTTGTTATGACACAGTATAATATCAATGCCATCCCTGACACCTTAATTAACTGGTAAAACTGGAAATAGAGCATTTCCAGTAACTTCTCAATTCGCTGCTAGTCAGACAGTATTTCCCACATATTTGAATTCAGTTTCATTTTAAAGGTACATCAGAAAGCTGCTCTATTAATAAACAAAGACTTTTCAACAATTTGGTTTCAAATACTTCGGGTTAGAAAACAAATATCCATTTAAGACAGAGCTGCAAAATTATTATTATTACTTTTTGGAGACAGAGTCTCACTCTGTCGCCCATGCTGGAGTGCAGTGGTGCAATCATAGCTCACTGCAGGTTCAACCAATCCTCCCAAGTAGCTGAACTACAGGTGCACACCAACACAGCCGGCACCTTTTTTTTTTTTTTTTTTTTTGAGACAGAGTCTCGCTCTGTCACCCAGGCTCGAGTGCACTGGTGCAATCTCAGCTCACTGCAACCTCCACCTCCCGGGTTCAGGCAATTCTCCCGCCTCAGCCTCCTGAGTAGCTGGGACTACAGGCGCCCGCCACCATGCCCGGCTAACTTTTTGTGTTTTTAGTAGAGATGGGGTTTCACCAACTTGGCCAGGATGGTCTCGATCTCCTGACCTCATGATCCGCCAGCCTCAGTCTCCCAAAGTGCTGGGATTACGGGCGTGAGCCACCACGCCTGGCCCTAATTTTTTTAATTTAATTTTGCAGAGACGGGGGTCTCACTATGTTGCTGAAGCTGGTCTTGAACTCCTGGGCTCAAGCAATCTTCCCACCTCGGCCTCCCAAAGTGCTGGGATTGCAGGCGTGAGCCACCGTGCCCGGCCTCCAAAATTAACCTTTAAGGATTGCTGCATAACCACTGATAAAATCAACATCTTTCTCAATAGTAAAGCATCAGTAGAAATGGTATTTCAAATTGAAGTATAAGATGGGTCAGGTGTGGTGGCTCACACCTGTAATCCCAGCACTTTGGGAGGCCGAGGCAAGAGGATCCCTTGAGCTCTGGAGTTCAAGACCAGCCTGGCCAATATAGGGAGACTCTGTCTCTAAAATAAATAAATAAATAAATAAATAAATAAATATTGAAAAATAAATTCGGCTCACCAGTTTTTTAAACAAAGTGATAGACTGAATTATTTTAATTCAATGATTTTGCACTAACAAGGGTGAAGTACAACACAGCAAGGACCCTGAAGTGCTGTTTTGGGTGCTGTGGCAAGGGAGTTCTAGTCACCTTTGCACCTCGCTACGTTATTTATGTTTTTAGAGAATGATGAGGGGCAAGAATATTTCTTATTCTGCTCTGGTTTATTTTCAATGGGTGATTTCCTACATACCAAAAGCTCTGGAGGTTAAACACAGCTCTATGACATTTCCAGAAAGATGAAGTTTCTATAGGCAACTCCTGCATCACAAAAGCCCAGCTGTGAACAGCCCCACATCACGTGGTCTCCACAGGGACCCCTGCACCCTCCCAGCCCCGAGGAGCAGGCGCTGTCCAGCCACCCGAGGAGCAGGCGCTGTCCAGCCACCGTATTTCCACTTTCAACACTTCCTTCAGGTACTCCCTGCTTCTTCACATTCTCATAACCCCCTTCTCCTCTCCTCCAATGCTTGTACAGCCACGAGAGAAAAAAGAAAAACCTGCTCTCCTGTCGTCCCATTTCCTCCTTCTATTCATGGGGGACTCTTTCAAGTAAGTAAGTGTAAGAATAGAAACAGCAACACATCCAAATCAAAACAAAGAGGAACTACACTCTGACTTCGTGCAGAGTTGAGAGCTGGGGCGTCTCGCACACCTGGAAACCACAGCGGCGCATAATCACACTGCCACGAGCCTCAAGGACAACGTGAGCTCCAGGAGAACAGGAATTTTGTTTTCTTCACTGCTGCAGTGCCTAGCACATCTTAAGTCCTTAAAAAATATTTGCTAAGTGTACGACAAGGGATGACAGCAGACTAGAAATGTCAACACGATTTTGCAGAGTGGGAAAAAGCAAATGGACGAGTGGTATCTAACTCAGCAAAGCCAGAAAACCAGAACTTAACTGCGCAGCAGGGGCAACGAGGCTGGGGAATGAGAAGAGGCGCTCAGATCTCTGAAGGCCTGAGGGTAATGGGCACAAAAGAGCATCCGCTTCAAGTCTGTGGGAGAAGCAGTCAGATCCTCCCCCACCAGCCCTCCTCCACCTCAGCCACCTTCCCAGAAACTGACAGCTATGCCCCCCAACCCCTAAACCCCAAGCAGGAGACTGGAAACTCCTCTCTAGGGAGACTTACAGCCCCAAAATAAAGAATTCTATCACTAACTTCTGGCAGTGGCCCTCAAATTGGCAGGGTCCATGCTCTATTTCCTCATGGTGAGACTCAACACTTAAAGTCGGCCCTATGCATACAGGGAGTTTCCAATCGTCCCATTCATAACCATGGAAAGACAGCCAGTAATCACCAGAGTTTCGGAGAGAAGCCTCTAACAAAGAGAATGACCAAAGTAGAAAACAGGTGAAAAAGAACGCACAGGAAACAGACAAGGTAGGAGGCAAAGGGAAAGAAACATCTACGTAACAAACGTGTGCAGGAATCAATAAAACATTAAACAAAGAAATGTGTCTAAAACGCACTGCCTTCATGAAACAGAAAGAGGATGTTACAAAAAGGAATACTGAGAACAACAACACTTTTTTTTGGAGACAGTCTCTCTCTGTCACCCAGGCTGGTGTGCAGTGGCGTGATCTCGGCTCACTGCAACCTCTGCCTCCTGGGTTCAAGCGATTCTCCTGCCTCAGCCACAAGAGTAGCTGGGATTACAGGCACCTGCCACCATGCCCGGCTAGTTTTTGTATTTTTAGTACAGACGGGGTTTTGCCATGTTGGCCAGGCTGGTCTCCAACTCCTGAGAGTTGATCCACCTGCCTCGGCCTCCCAAAGTGCTGGGATTACAGGCAGGAGCCGCCGCGCCCAGCCTTACATTGAATTTTTGTTTCTGACACTGTATCTTTCATTTTTAAGTGTTCTTGGCTGGGCGCGGCAGCTCATGCCTATAATCCCAAGCACTCTGGGAGGCCAAGGCGGGTGGATCACGAGGTAAGGAGTTCGAGAACAGCTTGGCCAACATGGTGAAATCCCATCTCTACTGAAAATACAAAAATTAGCTGGGCTTGGTGGTGGACGCCTGTAATCCCAGCTACTTGGGAGGCTGAGGCAGGAGAATCACTTGAACCTGGGAGGCGGAGGTTCCTGTGAGCTCAGATCACGCCACTGCACTCCAGCCAGGGCAACAGAGTAATACTCTCAAAAAAAAAAAAAAAAAAAATTAGAACAAACATTAAAACTACAGTATTATCAACAAAAGTTCCCCAGAGCTGAAGGACCCAAGCGTCCCAATCAAAAAGACCCACCAAAGAACATTAGAGATAAACAAGAGTTCCCTGAAAGCTTCCAGAGATTTTACAAAAGAAAAGTCCCACACAGAGACTTGGAAACCATCGTGGTCTCCGACTTCTCATTACCAACACTCTCAGTGTAGACAGCAATGCCTCCATGCTTTCAAACTTCTGAGGAACAATGACTTCCAACCTAGAATTCTGTACGCAGGCAAAGTGCCATTCAAATGTGAGGGAAGAAAGGGCATTTTCAGCCAGGCATGGTGACTCATGCCTGTAATCCTGACACTTGGGGAGGCCGAAGCGGGCAGATTCCCTGAGCTCAGGAGTTCGAGACCAGTCTGGGCAACATGGTGAAACCCTGTCTCTACTAAAATACAAAAAATTAGCTGGGTGTGGTGGTGTGCACCTGCAGTCCCAGCTACTCGGGAGGCTGAGGCAGGAGAACTGCTTGAACCGGGAGGTGGAGGTTGCAGTGAGCCAAGATTGCACCACTGCACTCCAGCCTGGGCAACAGAGCAAGACTCTGTGTCCAAAAAAAAAAGCATTTTCAGACAGACCTGGTTCAAAAAATTCACCTCCGATGAATTCTTTCTCAGGAAGCTACTAGAAGATTCACTCCACCAAAAGATGAAAGACACAGAATCCAGAAAGGGGAATTCAACAGAGGAAAGAGACACGAAGAATCCCTGCAAGGAATGAAAAGCACTCCAAGGAGGACTGCTCAGTAGCAGGCCCGCAGGACACCCGGCCCAGGCTGAAACAGAAAAGTGGCAGGCCTGGAAGGGATGAAGGTGATAAGATTATGTGAGGTGTTTAATGGAGGAGTTCTAGTTAAAAGCCTGGCACTAAATTCATGACTGTACATTGAAAACCAAGCTAAAGAAAATTCGGCCGGGAGCGGTGGCTCACTCCTGTAATCCTAGCACTTCAGGAGGCCAATGCGGGCGGACTGCTTGAGGTCAGGAGTTCAAGATCAGCCTGGCCAACATGGTGAAACCCCATCTGTACTAAAAACACAAAAATTAGCCAGGCATGGCTGGGCGCGGTAGCTCACGCCTATAATCCCAGCACTCTGGGAGGATGAGGCAGGTGGATCACGAGGTCAGGAGATGGAGACCATCCTGGCTAACACGGTGAAACCCTGTTTCTACTAAAAATACAAAAAAAAAAAAAAAAAAAAAAAAAAAAATTAGCCAGGCATGGTGGCGGGCGCCTGTAGTCCCAGCTACTCGAGAGGCTCAGACAGAATGGTGTGAACCCAGGAGGCGGAGCCTGCAGTGAGCCGAGATCGGGCCACTGCACTCCAGCCTGGGCGACAGAGCAAGACTCCGTCTCAAAAAAAAAAAAAAAAATTAGCCAGGTGTGATGGTGGGTGCCTGTAATCCCAGCTACTCGGGAGACTGAGGCAGGAGAATCACTTGAACCCGGGAGGCGGAGGCTGCAGTGAGCCAAGATCATGCCACTGCACTCCAGCCTGGGCAACAGAATGAGCCTCCATCTCCAAAAAAAAAAAAATTTACTCCATGGGATTATTATAAGAAAAGAAAATAAAGAAAATTCACTCCAATAACACAAAACTATTTCCCTTAGTAAACTGTATCTTACATGGCTTAGCTGTGAAGACAGTTACCTAACAATAAGAATGCAGACACTGAATTACCAATTTAAACAAAATTATATAAACATATTTGGAACACAGAAAAAGAGCAAGGGGTGAATGTGTTTCAGGCAGTGGAGGGACAATGTAGAACAGTTCTAAGGCCTCTTCTACAGCAGAAGTCAGCAATGTCTAAAATGGTAAAATCAGAAATTAGCAGTACCAGCATGCTACACAGAAATATGAAATTTAAGGCAGGCATTGCTAAGCACCCACCAATATCCAAGGATCTTCTATAGTAACATCCCACCCCCGGCCTGCTTGGCTGAAGGAGGGTGGGATGGCCACCGTCTCAGATGGTGGCCTGAGGGTGGGAAAAGGCCACAGCCCCGGAGGCCTCTTGGAGCAAGGCTGTCCAACTAGCACTGACTGCTGACACGTCAACTTCACGTGAGAGAAATCAACCTGATTTTATTTAAGTCACTGTCACTTTGTTCTCCATTACTGGCAGCTAAATGTGATCCTAACTAAAATGATAAGTAGAAACAGAGCAGTTAAAAGTGGTAGTCTGTGGGAAGTTGGAGCGCGGAGCAAGCGACTGGTAGAGGGACTGCTGTCTTGCACTACAACCCAGTAGTACCGCTTAGTTTCCAAAACTAAGTAAATGCATTACATTGATAAAAGTTAAATGATGTTAAAAGAAAATCACCCCATGGGGCATGGTGGGAAGTGCTGTTAACCTTAACTTTTTTTATTTATTTGAGACAAAATTTTGCTCTTGTTGCCCACGCTGGAGAGCAATGGCACAATCTCGGCTCACTGCAACCTCCGCCTCCCGGGTTTAAGTGATTCTCCTGCCTCAGCCTCCTGAGTAGCTGGGATTACAGGCGTGCGCCACCAGCCCGGCTAATTTTTGTATTTTTAGTAGAGACGGGGTTTCACCATGTTGGCCAGGCTGGTCTTGAACTACTGACCTTGTGATCCACCCGTCTCGGCCTCCCAAAGTGCTGGGATTACAGGCATGAGCCAACACACCCGGCCATAACCTTAACTTCTAAAGCTAAGATTAGATGCGTCTTTTGGGGTCAATTTCAAATTCTAATACTGAATTGTGGATATCAGACTTTTTATTTTAAAGGCAACAGAATATGAAGGCATTGTAGTTTTGGAAAGGCAGAGTGATGAAGAGAGTTTGAGACTGATCTGGCAGAGGTATTTAAAACTTCAAGTGGGAAAGGCATTCATTTAGGCCTGAGGACCTGAGAGCTTTACCTAGGTCCCTGACAATGAGAATAGAAAGAAAAGGCTAAAATAAAATAAAGATATTTCAAAGCAGGCACCTGCAAGGAGGCCTGAGGCTGACCGCAGTCCTGTGAAGGACAGAAATGCTGGTTAGAGGGCTGTTTGCCCAGAAACGGTTAGGGAAAATGCTCAGAACCTGGTTTACCCAACCTGAGTGGGGAGTGGGCTGGAGGGCAGGTTAACATGACCTCCCCAAATTCCTAACATAGCGGAGCGCAGTGGCTCACACTTATAATCCCAACATTTGGGAGGCCAAGGTAGGAGGATTACTTGAGCCTGAGTTCAATTCCACCCTGGGCAACACAGCAAGACCTCGTTTCCACAAAAAATAAAAAATTAGCCAGGTGTAGCGGTGTATGCCTATTGTCCCAGCTATTCAGGAGGCTGAGGCTGGAGGACTGCCTGAGCCTGGGAAGTCAAGGCTGCAGTGAGACATGACAGAGCCACTACACTCCAGCCTGGGTAACAGAGCAAGACCCTGTCTTGGGGGGAAAAAAAAAAATTCTTAACAGTTTTCCAACCTATGACTCTGCAATTTTGGAGGTCAGGGAAATCATCACCTAAATTAACACTGGGAATCACCTTACAATAGGTCCCAAATGTTCTCCAAAGACTCTCCAATCCAAGGACCGAATTTGAATGAAATTATATCATTCCATTCAAATTTATGTTTGAATTTCTAATTCCTAAGAAAAACAAAAATCCAAAGAAGTTCTCTATTACACATCGATTTTTTGCAGTTTTAATCAAAAAACAATTTTGTTGCCACTGTTACCTACCAATCAATAAAACTAACCAAAAACCTAACCCCCAACACAGATTGTTTAAAATCAAACTGAAACTTGACCTTTATCTCCCAGTTAGTGGCTAGTGTATTTGGGGCGGGGGGGCGGGAGATTACTACACGCAGTTCACATTGCCAAAACACTTCTGATTTTAGATTTAAGGAGAGGGTGTTTCCTCTCATCCATTCTCATTAGCAAGAGAGGCTTTCTGTGAGCTTCTCACACAAATTTAAGGTAACCATAACATACCGTCATCCCATAACACTAAGAATCTAAGAAAAAAACAAACGTGGTCAAGGACTAATAGGTATTATGTTATGGGTTTTGGGATGAGATTACATGGTAACATTGTTTTTAGTCTCTTCCAGCTAAAAAAAAAAAAAAAAAAGCTTTGTCTCTTTTCAGAGAAAAGCATTTGACAGTTTCACTGTATTTAATATAGTTTGGAATTAACAGTCCTGTGTGCCTGCCTGTTTATCCAGTATCACTAATGTCAGCGCAACCAGGAGACATCTAAGGGCACCTGGCTTGCGACAAGAGGCAGGGCGGAGGCAAGCAGAGGAGCTCTCTGTCAACCCTGCAGTGTTGTGAGTTCTGTAATTTACATGCATTTGAGTATTTTGCCTGAAGGGCAATTCACTGCACATTTTAAACTTTTTCAGGTAGCTCACACAGTGGTATCCTGAAGTGAGAACTATTTCTTCAAATCCAATTTTATTTCTTTGAAGTCTAGATTTAAGAGAGACACTGCTGCTCACTGTGAAGCCCAACTGTCATGGAAGGAAGAGGTTTTTTGTTTTTTTTTTGGAGACAGGGTCTTGCTCTGTTGCCCAGGCTGGTGTGCAGTGGCGCAATCTCAGCTCACCGCAACCTCTGCCTCCTGGGTTCATGAGATCCTCCTGCCTCAGCCTCCCAAGTAGGTGGGACTATGCGTGCCACCACACCCGGCTAATTTTTGTATTTTTAGTACAGACGGGTTTTCACCTTGTTGGCCAGGCTGGTCTCAAACTCCTGATCCACTCACCTTGGCCTCCCAAAGTGCTGGGATTACAGGTGTGAGCCACCACACCCGGCCTGAAGTTTTAAGACAGAAAAGGTAGGGCTGGGTTGTTAATGTTTAATGGTTTCAGCTGTCCTATCTCATGCTATTATAGTCAGTATCAAACAGCTACCATAGAATCTACATGATCTAAATTAGGTTAAACTAATTTTTATCATGCAATCCTAACATTTCCCTATAATTCAGATCTTACTCAAAAGATCTATTTCTTAAGTCTGTTATTTTTAAAAAGTGTTCCCATGTTATGCAAATATTCTATCCAGAGAAATCATTAAGATAAAAATGTATTTGAGCCGGGCACAGTGGCTCACGCCTGTAATCCCAGCACTTTTTATTATGAGATGTTTAGCACCGTGTCAGTTAAGCCTTACTTATTAAATTCGGTGGCATCATCCCACTCACACCTTGGGCTGGCCATTCCCACACTAACAGCTATGGGCATTCACATCCATGGAGGAGGACCGTGAGAAGATACTATCACACTCATGGTGAGAAAAGCCACAAATGAGGAACCACCCAGAAGACTAGGAGGATTAATTCTATTCATGAAGAGGAAGCACATCTCGAGAGAAGATGCCCGGACTGGGGACTGGAAACCCACGGTCCGCCTCTGTGACACCAGCATCAAGCCTGAGGCCTCCCTCCTGGTCTGACGGCCACACAGCAGCCAGGGCAGAGGACCACTGTGGCCTGTCCAATGCCCATAGGCTAGGATTTCAAACATCAGCTCCATCCAAACGCAACATTAGCTGTTACAAATAAGCTGTGGGAAAAATATTTAACACATAAGACAGTATTTGTATATGACAAAGATGAAAGACAACAAATTCATCTCACTGGGTTGTCCGTATTTGTTGCTATTTACTTTTGGAAACTGTAAAGTGTTTCATATGTTCTGCTTCAAATGGTATCAAGATATTTTCAAAATAGCTTAAAGAAATATACATGCAAGGCCAGGCGTGGTGGCTCACGCCTGTAATCCCAGCACTTTGAGAGGCCGAGGAGGGTGGATCACGAGGTCAGGACTTTAAGACCAGCCTGGCCAAGATGGTGAAACCCCGTCTTTACTAAAAATACAAAAATTAGCCAGGCGTGGTGGCAGGCACCTATAATCCCAGCTACTCGGGAGACTGAGGCAGAGAATTGCTTGAACCCGGGAGGCGGAGGTTGCAGTGAGCCAAGATCGCACCACTGCACTTCAGCCTGGGCAACAGAGTGAGACTCCGTCTCAAAAAAAAAAGAAAAGAAAAGAAAAGAATACACACGCAAAGCTGGGCATTAAGGTTCAAGATTTCATAGAGGAAACCAATCAAGCTATAGGAAAATTAAAGACAAAAACCTACAATGAAAGTTGAAATGACTCGGCCAGGCACGGTGGCTCACACCTGTAATCCAAGAACTTTGGGAGGCCAAGGGGGGCAGATCACGAGGTCTGGAGATCGAGACCATCCTGGCTAACACGGTGAAACCCCGTCTCTACTAAAAATACAAAAAAATTAGCCAGGCGTGATGGCGGGCGCCTGTAGTCCCAGCTACTCAGGAGGCTGAGGCAGGAGAACAACGTGAACCCGGGAGGCAGAGCTTGCAGTGAGCCGAGATCCCGCCACTGCACTCCAGCCTGGGCGACAGAGTGAGACTCCGTCTCAAAAAAAAAAAAAAAAGTTGAAATGACTCTTGTCCCATGCGACCACTGTGGCAATAAGAAAATATGAGCCAAAAATAATCATATTTTATTTATTTTTGAGACAGGGTCTCACTCTGTTGCCCAGGCTGGAGTGTAGTGGCATGATCATTGCTCATTGCAGCCTTGACCTCCCAGGCTCAAGTGATCCACCCACCTCAGCCTCCAGAGTAACTGGGACTACAGGTGTGCGCCACCATGCCCAGCTAATTTTTATATTTTTATAAAATTTTATTTTGACATTTATTATAGATACTGGGTTTTGTCAGGTTGCTCAGGCTGGTCTTGTCTTCCTGAGTTCAACCAATCCTCCACCTTGGCCTCCCAAAGTGCTGGGATTACAGGCATGAGCCACTGCACCAGGCCATAATCTTCCTTTAAAACTTAAAAAGTTTACTACCTATACTTTCCAAATTTCCTCACATATTCCCCATTAAGCCTCCAAATCTGGGCTGAATCAGCTACTTTTCTTCCTTAAGTTTCAAGAATTCTCCATAATTGTCATTAGATACCTGGCAAGATTTGGGAAGTGGGGAAAGGTTGGCTTTTCCACGTGACAGGAATCGACATATCAGAGGTTTCAAATGTCATGGAGTGGTGAATCCAAAAACTGAACAGTCCACTGATGGACAGCCTATATGTGTTTCCTGAGCAGAAGTAATTCCACTTGGAAGTTAGAGTACCTAATATTGCTCTATAAATAGTTTTATTCAAAAACATTATTCTGTGCTTTCCAATCGAAACAACCAGGCAATTCCAAGCAACATTAAATACTAACTGCACACATGTTAACTAGAAATACACCACTTTAGAGTTACAATGACGTATATGTTAACATAAATGAGTTTAAATACTTGTAAAATATATTGATATTTCATTAAAACACCACCTTCTAAGTCCATTCTTCCCTATAATTGAAAGTTTATACTTTTGTGCAAACTGAGTTCCTGAGAATAATGTAGTTTGTAATCACAATTTCCAAAGAGCCAGAATACAACTTTGAAAATATGTCTATGTTACAGCACAGTTCCCGTTTAGATTTGGAAAGGCCAGATCTCATAAAATATGACCTCCACACATGCTGACAAGAGCTTCCTCCAGGGAAGCCCACCAGTAATGCCTGGTGGAGAGAGGTGGCTGCACAATGGCCCCCAGGGCCCCCGCCCTCAGACTAATCTTCTAGGTCCCAGGCCAGAGGCCAGTGGGACCACATCTTCCCAGCAAAACCAACTTTCCCTCTGCTTCCTCTTCCCAGTCACACTCACAGGTGGTGCACCAAGTTGAACCTGACAGTGGAACTGTGTGGGTTTCAAGATCGAGTGATCAGAAAGGAACGGTAAACAAGCTGGGTGCAGTGGCTCACGCCTGTAATCCCAGCACTTTGGGAGGCCGAGGCAGGTGGATCACCCGAGGTCAGGAGTACAAGACCAGCCTGGCCAACACTGTGAAACCCCTTCTCCACTAAAAATACAAAAATGAGCCGGGC
Organism: Homo sapiens; assembly: GCF_000001405.40. Taxonomy (NCBI): domain Eukaryota; kingdom Metazoa; phylum Chordata; class Mammalia; order Primates; family Hominidae; genus Homo; species Homo sapiens. Next base: position 103,055,284 of record NC_000014.9, read on the forward strand.
ATGCTGGTGCGTGCCTGTAGTCCCAGCTACTCGGGAGGCTGAGGCAGGAGAATTACTTGAACCCAGGAGATGGAGGTTGTAGTGAGCCAAGATCATGCCACTGCACTCCAGCCTAGGCAACACAGTGAGACTCGTCTCCAAAGAAAAGAAAGAAAAGGTAAACAAAATATTCAGATTTTAACATGCACCAAAGACCTCACTTTCAAAGCAACGGTGAAGTCAATTAATTATTCAGTTGGAAATCGTGTCACTGACAAAGGACGCTAGAAAGCAAATACTCTTAATTTACTGATACTATAAGTAACCAAGAATGGTGGTTCCCACGGAAATAAAGCATCACAGGCTGTCCTTGATCTCAGGACCTCTTTCTACTGCTGCTCTCACAAGATACCGTGTAACATTTCACTACAGAGTAATCCAACAGAAGCCCTCTAAAGAATATTGCAACTTAAGTTTTATTTGTAAACAAAATTCCAAATTCCAGTCACCAATCTGGCAGAGTAGAGTAGGAGGCCTGGAGGCCTCACTGTGGAACACTTTCATTTGTTTCTTCGTATAAATATCAGCTTTATCAGCCCCAAAGATTAGAAATTACTGGTTCGAACTGAACAGTCCTAGCCCAGTGACGCAAATGACCCAAGGATAAGGTTTTCATAGGTTTGGCCTGAACATACGCATTTCCTCCTCCTACTCAGTGGTTTTAGGTGAGACAGTCTGAGGGTCTTGACCGGCACACCCGTTAGGGAGAGATGAAGTAAAAGAGTTTCACGCTGCACTTTTACCTGTCTTTAGGATCCTAATTATCGTTAAATGGTTTAATCAAATTTTTGTCCTAAAAAAGCATAATAGGTTAGCTGACCAATGATTAAAACATTATAGATCCGGAACGAACTAGAGAAGGCATGCAAAATTCAGATGAGAAAGTTTCTAAGTGATAGCTCCAGCTACCCCTCCAAATATCACAAAGGTCTAGCAGAATTGGAATTAAAAAAAAAAAGTCCTCTTGCACGGTTTATTTAAAATAAAGCCTTAACCTTAAAATTCCCTTGAAGGTGTTACAGCAAAGTAGGTATTCAGGCTCTGACCAACAAGGGGATGTAGACAGGCTGTCACCCAGGAGGGGCCGTTAGAGCTGGGCTCCCTGGGGATGCAAGGGGGTCCCACGGGGCAGTGGGCGAGGCAGATGCAGAAAGCACACCCAGCTGCCCCCACAACGCAGAGAAGCGTGGGGTGGGGAAAGGGAACTAATTCCACACTGCCTCCGGACCCCAAAGGCGAGGTGCGGGGGCGGGGGCGGGGGCGGGGGCGGATATCCCAGTGAGTGCTGCAGGAAATGATATCCAGACTCGGAGGGTGGATCTAGGAAGCCGCCAGGGCGAGGGCCCGGCGGGGGGGAGGGGGTGGGAGTGGGAACGTAGGATGTGGCTCCAAGGGGCAGGATGAGGGGGCGGGACGATCGAACGCGGATGTCGAGCCTAGGGAGGGCAAGGAGGGATGAAAAGCTAGCGGAGGGACGAGGGTGCAAGGAGCGGCTGGAGAGAGATGGGCTGCGGGCCTGGGGGCGCTGCCAGAGCGAGAGGAGGCGAAGCCCACGAGCTGGGTGGGCAGGAGGGCGGCAGGGTCTGTCCGGGCGGGGATGGGCGGGCGTGGGGATGCGCGGGCTGGGGCGCGGGGGTCGCAGAGCCGCAGGTCCGGCCCTGCCGGCGCGCACTTACCCCACTCGAGGAACTCGGCCACGTACTTGTCGCGGCGCAGGGCCGAGTGGCTGCACTCGGTGTACAGGCAGACGAGCACGTCGAGCAGCGTTTCCACGCTCAGGGCGCTCTCGTTGCGCCAGGGCCCGTCCAGGAGCAGCTGCTCCAGCTTCTTGAGCCGCACCTTGGCCGACATGGTGCCGCGCGGCCCGCTCCCGACGCGCCGGCCTCTCACCGCCGGCTCGGCCAGTCCGTCAGGGCGCGCCCTCGGGGGCTCGGCGGCTGCGAGCCCCGGCAGCAGCGGCGCCTCCTCGCCGCCCCGTCCGCGTCGTCGCGCCCCGGCCTAGGCCGACATCTTGGGCTCCGTCCCGACGGCGCAGAGTCTGGGGCGCCGGGCCCCGCGGGTCCATGGGCCGCTCTCCTCCCCTCGGCGCCGCCGCCCTCCCAGCTCGGGCGGCCCGCCCCCGCCGCCCTCAGCCCCGCCCGCGGCCGCGCCCTCCCCGCCGCCGCCGCCGCAGACTAGGAGCGGCGAGGAGCCTAGCGCTGCGCAAGCCCGGCCGGCGCCCGAGCCCGACCCCAGCCCCGACCCGGCGGCCCAGCCCCGCGGCCCGCAGCCAACCAGGGCGCGGCCAGCACCAGCGCAGCCAACCACTACGGGGCCGGCCGCCGCCGCGCTGACCTCAGCGCGCCGCCCCGCCCCGCGCCCGGCTCCCTGCTCCCGGCGGGCTCGGGCCTCGCCGCTTGCCGTAGGGAGCCGGGATGCTGGGAAGGCAGGGCCGGGCCTGGGGAGCGGCGCGGGGTGGGGGTGGGGGGGGCGGGGCGGGGCGAGTGGGCCGCTGAGATTGCGGAGCCCGCGCATGCGCAGAGCGCGCCTGGTGGGCGTGTGCGCCTTCGCCCTGCGGACCCGGTGCCTTCAGTATTCGGGGTCCGACCGCGCGCGTCGCGGATCCCGGGGCCGAAGACGACCCCAAGTATCGGAGAGGCAGAGTCGCGATCTCAGGCCGTCGAGCCCCGTCCCGCAGTCCGCGGGCCCATGTTGCCTGCGGGGCCTCGGACCTGCCCGGCCGAGGTGGGGGTCGAGGGCGGCCCGGCAGGCGCAGCTCTGATGGCCTCGGCGGGTTGTGGGCTATTTAAAACGGCTTGTCCCAGCTCGAAGCGGTCCTGGAAGACTCGGGCCCTACCCCTGACTTTACCGATGAGAGACTGAGGCCCAGACGGTGTGGGGTCAGGGCCCAGGCTTCTGGGGGATGCTGCCAAGGCGGGAGCCAGCGTCCCCAGTGCCCGGTGGATTCGTGATGGCTTGCAGAGGGTTTCAGTTTCCACTGTCCAGCCCTCCCTGCAGACCAATGCCTAGGTGTGACAGTTTGGTAGGAAAGGGGCCGGATATTTGTCTCCAGGCTGGGTTTGCCTAGCGAGTCGCTGCATTTACTAAGATTGTTGGTTAATTTGGGTGGCTGGGGGAGGGAGGCTGATGGAGATACCCCCCAACCCCAACAAACCCTTGGCGTCAGGAGAGGAGGGGCTTTTCCTGGAGCTTGCGGAAGGTCACCGAAATCGTGGGGGTATCTGAGAGCTTCTGGGGCGCGCGGGTGCAGGGGAAGGGGTCATGCTTCCGTGGAAGCGGTGGCCTCCAGGTGGAGCCGATGAAGGGGCAGATAGGGGTTTGAAGCAGGACGTTAAGGGAGCCTGAAGCAAAACTAATCTCTGGAGCTAAAAATAGGAGTGGGCCTGGCGCGGTGGCTCACACCTGTAATCCCAGCACTTTAGGAGGCCGAGGTGGGCGGATTGCCTGAGCTCAGGACTTCGAGACCAGCCTGGGCAACACGGTGAAACCCCGTCTCTACTAAAATACAAAAAACTAGCCGGGCGTGGTGGCGCGCGCCTGTAGTCCCAGCTACTCGAGAGGCTAAGGCAGGAGAATTACTTGAACCCGGGAGGCGAAAGTGCAGTGAGCCAAGATCGCTCCACTGCACTCCAGCATGGGCAACAGAGCACGACTCCGTCTTAATAATAGTAATAATAATAAGAAGAAGAAGAAGAAGAAGAGGAGTGGCTGCCTATGCCGGAGTTGTTGACTGGAACAAGAGGAGGAACCTTCTGGGCTGCTGGTAATGTTCTATGCCTGGATTTGGGTAGTAGTTACATGGGAGCACGCATAAGTAAACATTCTTCAAACTGTCTTCTTAAGATGAGTGCATGTCACTGTGTGTATGTATATATAATACCTTCATTTCTTAAAGGCAGGTGAGAACAATCTGGCGTTAGAGGTGAGAGTACTGGTTGCCTTTGGGGTATCAACTGGAAGGAGGCACAAGGAGAGGCCTCTAGGGGGCTGGGAACATTCTGTATCTTCAGCACAGCCGTTTTGTAACGTTGGGTCTGTAAATGTGTATAAATTCATCAAACTGTATTCTAAATATTTGCATGTTACTATTTGTGTATGACACCTTAAAAGTTTTTTTTAAAAAGTCTGAGCAGATCACCTGGCTCAAAATCAAAGTTAAATCTTCCCCCTTGGACCCCTTAGGGCCTGAGATGAGCAAGGGGAAAGGGGGCTGTGCCTGGTGCCATCTCCTTCCCCAAACCTCCCTCGGCTCGCTCAGCCCACTTCCACCCATCTAGAACCACCACCGGGAAGGGAGAAAGGGAGAAGTGGGGAAGGGCTCCAATCCCATCTGGATTGGCAGAGGGTAAAGCTGACCCTGTCTCTCCTGGGAACATTCATGGGCTCCTCGGTGGTTCCCTGCTGCTTTGTCTCCTGAAGTCCCCTTAACTCAAGCAGATGTGCCACTGGGTGGATGCTTACCTGGTGGCTGTGGAGGGGAGGGGCCCTCTGCCCTTCCTGAGGGACTTTTGGACAGGACCTAAATGGATCCATGGGTCTTGTGCTTGCTCATCCACCCAGCTCACATCTGTCCTCAGGAAACACTGGCACACTCCTCGCCCCAACATTAGTGAACAGGTGGGTCCCAGCACAGCAGCATAGCTCTGCCTCTGAAACAGCACATGAGCCCTTCCTGCCACTGTGCCCTCCAAATTGAGTGCCAAATATTGAGCTCTCTGAGAAATCCCTTGGAAGCCACCCTCACAGGCTTAAAGTGAAGGAAGGAGTGCCTGTCCTCTGTGTCCCCTGGCAGGATCACCTGACCAAACTTTCTCTTCCACTCTCATCTTTTATTCCTGAGTGTGGGACAGATTCCCAAACATTTCTCTTGACAATCTGCCCATGGCGATCTGACATAGCATTTGAGAATTCCACATCTGCTCTCTCTTCTTGCCTCCTGGAAATTTCCATTTACTGTTCTTATACATTTACAAATGTACAACAAAGGTCATCGTGCCTTTGGTGGACAGTCCTTGTATTCGTCTGCCCTCGCTTTCTCTCTCTCCTGAGCCCCATGCCCTGTGAGTCTGTGCTCCAGCTCCACTCTGATCATAGGATTCTAGAGGGGCTGGCACCAGGGTGGACATGTGACCCAAGACCCTAGCAGCACTTCATCCCCCTTCAGTCATGTGACTGAAGCCAGGCCAATCAGAGAACTTATTTGTTTATGTATTCATTTATCTATTTATTTTTTAGAGACATGGTCTTGCTCCGTCATACAGGCTGAAGTGACTTGGCACAATCATAGCTCACTGCAGCCTTGAACTGCCAGGCTCAAGTAATCCTCCCATCTCAGCCTCCACAGTAGTGGGGACTACAGGTGTATGCCACCACATCTGGCTAATTTAAAAAAATTTTTTTAGAGAAGGAGTCTTGCTATGTCGCCCCGGTTGGTCTTGAACTCCTGGTCTCAAACAATCTTGCTCCCTCAGCAGATAACTTATTTAGAATGTTTTATACTGGCTGGGTGTGGTGGCTCACACATGTAATCCCAGCATTTTGGGAGGCCAAGGCGGGCAGATCATTTGAGGTCAGGAGTTCGAGACCAGCCTGACCAAAATGGTGAAACCTTGTCTCTACTAAAAATACCAAAAATAAAAATAAAAAATTAGCTGGGTGTGGTTGTGCACACCTGTAATCTCAGCTACTTTAGAGAATGAGGCAGGAAAACTACTTGAACCCAGGAGGCAGAGGTTGCAGTGAGTCAAGATGGCGCCACTGCACTCCAGCCTGGGTGACAGAGCGAGACTCCATCTCAAAAAGAAAAAGAAAAAGAAAAAGAAGGCCGGGCGCAGTGGCTCACGCCTGTAATCCCAGCATTTTGGGAGACCGAGCTGGGTGGATCACTTGAGGTCAGGAGTTTAAGACCAGCCTGGCCAACATGGTGAAACCCCGTCTCTACTAAAAATATAAAAATTAGCGGGGCATGGTGGCGCATGCCTGTAATCCCAGCTACTTGGGAGGCTGAGGCAGGATAATCACTTGAACCCGGAAAGCGGAGGGTGCAGTGAGCAGAGATTGCACCAGTGCACTCCAGCCTGGACAACAGAACAAGACTCCATCTCAAAGATAGTAATAATGATAAATAAAATAAAAAATAAAAAGAATGTTTCATACTAAAACTGGGAGAGAGAATTTCTTGTCCTTTCCTTTAGACCAGGGGCGGGTAAACTTTTTCTGTAAAAGGCCAGAGAGTAAATGTTTCAGGTTTTATGAACCCTACAGTCTCTGCATCTACCATTATAGCAAGAAAGCAGCCATAGACAATGTAGAAACAAATGAGCATGACTGTGTGCCGGTAAAACTTTATTTACAAAACAAGCAGCAGGCTAAATTTGGCCTGCAGACCCGTAGCTTGCTGCTCCTTGCTTTACAACACAAGCTATGATGGTGAGACTTCAGCTCAACAGCCACAACACCTGTTAGAGAAAGAAAGAGAAAAATGAGAGAGAGATCTGGTTACATGAAACAATAAATTTTCCTTTTCTCTTGGCCAGGTGTAGTGGCTCATGCCTGTTAATCTCAGCATTTTGGGAGGCCAAGGCGGGCAGATTGCTTGAGCTCAGGAGTTCAAGACCAGCCCAGGCAACGTGGCAAAACCCCGTCTCTACAAAAAATGCAAAAATTGGCCAGGTGTGGTGGCGTGTGCCTATGGTCCCAGCTACTTGGGAGGCTGAGGTGGAAGCATCACTTGAGCCCAGGAGGCAGAGGTTGTAGTGAGCCAAGATCACACCACTGCATTCCAGCCTGGGTGACAGAGCAAGCAAGACTCTGCCTCAAAAAGAAAAAGCAAATTAATTTCTGCTTCTAGCCTAGATGGTGTGATCAGGACCAGATTTACTCTCTTACCTGAAACAATGAAAATAAAAGAGAAAGAAAATGGACAAAACACTTAAAACAAGGATTTTCATGACACTAGAAATCAGGCATCAAAGGACAGTAATCAGCCAGGTGTGGTGGTATGCACCTGTAGCTCCAGCTACTCTGGAAGCTGAGATGGGAGGATGGCTTCAGTCCAGGGGTTCAAGGCTGCAGTGAGTCATGCTTGCACTACTGCACTCCAGCCTGGGCGACAGAGCAAGACTCTGTCTCAAAAAATGCATAATTTTGAAAAAGGACAGTGATCCCTATCCCCGAGACACAGGAAAGAGGTGGCTCTGTGACTGCCCTGCCAGGAAGGGTAAAGAGGTGGCTCTATGACTGCCCTGCCAGGGAGGATAAAGAGGTGGCTCTATGACTGCCCTGCCAGGGAGGGTAAAGAGGTGGCTCTATGACTGCCCTGCCAGGGAGGGTAAAGAGGTGGCTCTATGACTGCCCTGCCAGGGAGGGTAAAGAGGTGGCTCTATGACTGCCCTGCCAGGGAGGGTAAAGAGGTGGCTCTATGACTGCCCTGCCAGGGAGGGTAAAGAGGTGGCTCTATGACTGCCCTGCCAGGGAGGGTAAAGAGGTGGCTCTATGACTGCCCTGCCAGGGAGGGTAAAGAGGTGGCTCTATGACTGCCCTGCCAGGGAGGGGCAACTGAGGTGGAGCTCAGTGGACTCCCTGAGGCGAGGAGACAGAGCAGAAACTGAAGAGACCAAGGCAGCTAGACCTCTCAGGACAGAGTACCATAAATGAGTGAGCTGCACAGAGAAAGCCCTGGAGATGGGTAGAGAGTCTCCTCAGGCATCCAGCAGCACACTGGCCAGTGCTCACGCGGATGGAAGCTACCGCAGGCTGGATTAGGGGAAATAGTGCCAAAAAAGATTGGAGGAAATGGTGCCTGATGCTCACACAGACTGAGAGTAGTGTTGTTTTCCACTGGCCAGACTGGAAAAACTAATAATTCACAGGCATTGGGTAGAATTCTCAAGAAAGTTGTACCTTGGTAATAGGATTCTACCACTAGGAAGTCATGCACTTGCCTTTCCCCCAGCATCCCAGAAAAAGCTCTAGACTGAGCACTGCTCCGGCTCTGCCTAACGAATTACAAATATGAGACACAAAAGTATTAAACAGTTTCCAAGTAATTTCATCCCAGAACAAAGCTCAAGAAAATGTATAGGAATACAAAATATTTAGCACCCAAAAAGGTAAAATCACAATGTCTGGTATCCAGTCAGAGATTACCAGACATTCAAAACACAACCTATGATGAGGATGCCGTCAATTAATCAAAACCAACCCAGAACTTACACAGATGTTAGCATTATCAGAAAAAGATATTAAATGTTATTATAACTGTATTTCATGTGTTTGAAAAAGCTAATAGAATTATGAAAATCATTTTTTAAAACTGTAATAGAATTTCTAAAGATAAGAAAACTATTTCTGGGATTTAAGATATACTGTATGGGATTCATGGCAGATTAGACATTACTTAACAAAAGGTTAGTGAATTTGAAGAAATAGCAATAGAACTTATCCAGAATAAGACAGTGAGAGAAAACAAAAACAAAAACATGAACAGAGCATCAGTGAACTGTGGGACTATTTCAAGTGGCCTGATACATGGATAATTGGGATCCTGAAGGAGAAGAGCAAGAAAGAGGAGGAACAGAAAAAATATTTGAAGAAATTACTGAAAAATTTCCAAACACAATGAAAATTACAATCTCACAAATTCAAGAAGTTCAGTTAATCCTGAGAACAGGAAATATGAAAAACAACAACAACAACAACAAAGCACCGAAGCACATCATCATCAAATTGCTCAAAACCAGTGATAAAGAAACAAAATAGGCCAGGCATGGTGGCTCATGCCTGTAATCCCAGCACTTTGGGAGGCCAAGGCAGGCGGATCACCTGAGGTCGGGAGTTCGAGACCAGCTTGACCATCATGGAGAAACCCTGTCTCTATAAAAAATACAAAATTAGCCAGGCGTGGTAGGCACATACCTGCAATCCCAGCTACTCTGGAGGCTGACACAGGAGAATCACTTGAACCCGGGATGTGGAGGTTGCGGTGAGCCAAGATTGCACCATTACAGTCCAGCCTGGGCAACAAGAGCAAAACTCCATCTCAAAAAAAAAGAAACAAAACAAAACAAAACAAAAAACCAAACACATCCAGAGAAATAAGACACATTACATACAGGGAAACAGAGGTAAGAGTGACACCAAATTTCTTATTGGGAACCACTAAGTGAGAAGACATTGAACCACATCTTTATTTATTTATTTATTATTTTATTTATTTATTTTTTTGAGATGGAGTCTCACTCTGTCGCAAAACACACACGTACACACACACACACACACACACACACACACCTAGCAGCATTCCATTGTAAGATGAGAGTAGGCCCAAACATTTCTGGGAGGAACAAGTAAACTTCCTGAGTAGGTGCCTTAGACTCTAATAGTATTTGCTCCTACTGTTTTGCAACATTTCTTTTCTTTTTCTTTTCTTTTTTTTTTTTTTTGAGACACTGTCTCACTCTGTCATCCAGGCTGTAGTGCAAAGACACAATCTCGGCTCACTGAGACCTCCGCCTCCTAGGTTCAAGGATTCTCCTGCCTCAGCCTCCCAAGTACTGGGATTACAGGCGTGTGCCACCACACCTGGCTAATTTTTGTATTTTTAGTAGAGATGGGATTTCACCATGTTGGCCAGGGTGGTCTCGAGTCAACCTCAGGTGATGCGCCCACCTCGGCCTCCCAAGCATGAACCACTGTGCCCAGACATTTTGCAACATTTCTTTTTCTTTTTCTTTTCTTTTCTTTTTTTTCTTTTGAGATAGAGTCTTGCTCTATCGCCCAGGCTGGAGTGCAGTGGCGTGCTCTTGGCTCATTACAACCTCTGCCTCCCAGTTTCAAGCAATTCTCACTTCTCAGCCTCTCGAGCAGCTGGAATTACAGGCATGCACCGCCACGCCCAGCTAACTTTTGTATTTTTAGTAGAGACAGGGTTTCACCATGTTGGTCAGGTTGGTCTCGAACTCCTGGCATCAAGTGATCCGCCCACCTTAGCCTCCCAAAATGCTGGGATTGCAGGTGTGAATCATTGCGCCCGGCCCTGCGACATTTCTTAACCTGCAACTACACCCTAATGGAAAATACTTTGTTGTGATCAGTCAACAGAAAATGAAAAAGTGGGTCTGGCCCACAAATTTTTCTGCCTGGAGTGCTAGCTCCCGTCAGAGGTAGACAACTAGTGCTTTACAGACAAAGGAGAGGCCCAGAAAGCCAGCATTGAAGAAAAATCCTTGCAGAAGGCAAAACTTGTACATTGATTCACAGGCTATAGCTAATGGGTTGGCTGGACAATTAGACACTTGAATAAAATTCTCCAGGTGGCCTAGGGGACAGGCAAGGGGATGGACTTCTCAGAATGGGCACAGAGTACCCATGGGAATGAATGCTTATTCATTCATGGGCACTTACTGGGGAGGAGGCTCTCAGTACCCAGGTGGACAAGACAGCCTCTTCTGAGGACATCCATTGGCCTCCTCCCTCCCCTTCCCAATGCTGCTCAAACAGCCCGTGGGCAGCTGACTGAGGCAGCAGAGATGAAGGCTATGTAGGGACTCAGAAGCATGACCTTTCCTCACGAGGCTGATTTGGTATCCATTTGGCTGAGTGATTTGGTATCCATATGGCTGAGTGCCCAACCCTCACAGCAGGGACCCACCCTAAGCTCCTAATGTGGTGCCATTCCCACAAGGTGCAGTTGCCCGGTGGCCAGCTTGATGACATTGGACCCCTTCTGTCATGGAAAGGGCAGTGATTTATCCTCACGTGTTTTATGTAAGGACTTGTTTTTCCAGCCACATCACTTCTCTCAGCACTACCATTTGTGGACTCGGACAACGCTTTATTTATCCCTCATCATGGCAACACAAACACCATCACTTTGGACTGAGGGACTCATTTCGTGTTGAAGGAAGTGTGGCGGAGAGCTCATGGCCATGAAATTCCCTGAATTTACCATGCTCCCCATTACCCAGAAGCAGCTGGTTTGGGAGAATGGAGGAATCATCTGCAGAAGACTCCGTTAAGGTGCCGGATGAGAGCCAATAGCCTATGAGGTTAAGCTGCCATCCTACAGGGTGTGGTGCATGCCTCAACCCAGCAAATGGTATGCGGTGCCATCCCCCGACACCTCAAATGCATGGGTCCAGGAACTGAGCAGTGGAGGCAGGAGGGGCCCTTCCCATTATTACACCAAATAACATACTGGAGGAATTTTGCCTTCCTTCCTGTGTGTGACCTTGGGCCAGTGTCCAGGAAAATGTTTCCATCAGGAAACACAGTCATGGTTTCGATGGATTACGGTGGAACTGCCCCTCCCCCAACTGGCAATTTCCGGTTCCTTGTGCCGCTGAACCAACAGGCAGAGAAGGGATCACTGTGCTGGCTGGGATGACAATCCCCATCCTCAGAGGGAGTTTGCATTGAATTGATTCTCACACCGAGGGAAGGCACGACTTAACCACAGTCATGCACCACGTAATGATGTTTTGGTCAGAGACTACCGCATCCATGACAGTAGTCCCATAAGATTATAATATTTTACGTATATATTTTTTTCTTTTTTTTTTTGAGACAGAGTCTCGCTCTGTTGCCCAGGCTGGAGTGCAGAGGCGTGATCTCGGCTCACTGCAAGCTCCGCCTCCTGGGTTCACACCATTCTCCTGCCTCAGCCTCTCGATTAGCTGGAATTACAGGCATGCACCACCACGCCCAGCCAACTTTTGTATTTTTAGTAGACACAGGGTTTCACCATGTTGGTCAGGTTGGTCTCGAACTCTTGGCCTCAAGTGATCCACCCACCTCAGCCTCCCAAAGTGCTGGGATTACAGGTGTAAGCCACCGCGCCCAGCCAATATTATATTTTTACTGGACCTCTTCTATGTTTAGAGACATAAATTCTTGCCATTGGGATATAGTTGCCTACAGTGTTCAGTACAGAAACGTGCTGCACAGGTTTGTAGCCTAAGAGCAAGAGCCTGTACCATGTAGCCTGGGTGTGTCCATCTAAGTTTGTGTAAGTTCACTCTCTGATGTTCACACAACAACACTGCCTAATGACACATTTCTCAGAATGCATACCTGCCACTAAGTGACGCATGACTAATTTTTTTTTTTTTTTTTTGATACAGGTCTTGCTCTGCCGCCCAGGCTGGAGTACAGTGGCACAATCTTGGCTCACTGCATCCCTGACCTTCCGCACTCAAGTGATCCTCCCACCTTGGCACCAACACCCCACCCCCTGCCCCTTCTCACGTAGCTGGGACTACTGGTATACACCACCATACTTGGCTTTTTTTTTTTTTTTTTTGCATTTTTTTGCAGAGTTAGAGTTTCATCATTTTGCCCAGGCTGGTCCCAAACTCCCAGGCTCAAGTGATCTGCCTGCCTTGGTCTCCCAAAGTGCTGGGATTACAGGCATGAGCCACCACACCCAGCTGTGACTGTACTTCTTGCTCAATGTTTTTTATTATCAGGAAAAGGGAAGGGAGCTCATTAAAGACAAGTCATAAAGGAATCAGATTCTGAAGGAACAAAAGTTTGGGTTATCTCACTAAGGCTGTAAAAAAACAAAAAGGGCTGGCCAGGCGCGGTGGCCAGCACTTTGGGAGGCCGAGGCAGGCAGATCACTTGAGCCCAGGAGCTAGAGACCAGCCTGAACAACCTAGTGAGACCCCCCTCTCAAAAAAATACAAAAGCTAGCCAGGTGCACTGGCTCATGCCTATAATCCCAGCACTTTGGGAGGCCGAGGCAGGCAGATCATGAGGTCAGGAGTTCAAGAACAGCCTGGCCAACATAGTGAAACCCCATCTCTACTAAAAATACAAAAATTAGCCAGGCGTGGTGATGAGTGTCTGTAGTCCCAGCTACTCGGGAGGCTGAGGCAGGAGAATCGCTTGAACCCGGGAAGGCTGAGGTGGGAGGATCACCTGAGCCTGGGAGGTGGAGGCTGCAGTGAGCCGTGATTACACCACTGCACTGCAGCCTGGGCGACAGAGTAAGACCCTGTCTCAAAAGAGAGAGAAAAAAAGTGTTGCTGCGGAGCCAGCCGAGGGGAGGGGCCATAGGATGGCGGCTGAGGAGCGCTGCCTAGGCAGCATGGCTGGGGGGCATCCGTCAGCGGGCTGCTTCCCTCCTGCCCATTCCCACCCCCTCCCACCTTAGTGAAGAGGCTGGCAGTGCCGGGCTCTCAGCCTTCAGGTTGGTGCACACACAGTCGAGGGTGATGGGACGTCATTTGCCCTGGGTGCTGAAGACACAGGGCAAGGGTGGAGACCAAAGGTCAGCAGGGTGGATAGCTGCTGGATAGCTGCCTCTGCCCCTCCAGACCCACTCTCCATCCTGCTCTGTACCCCAGGTGGGCTGCGCCCACAGGCCACCTGGCCCCCTGACTGCTGGGTTTGGCCAATGGGGCCTCTGGCATGTGGCTGGGAGCTGGGGGAGAGGGAGGGAATACTCGTTCCCCACGTTCCCCAGGAGCTGCGCCTTGGCCACATCTTTCTTCTGAAGTCTGGGGTCCCTCTCCTCGGAGCTCCTCTCTCCAGGATCCGGCCACTCCTCCCTCTTGCCGTCCTCAGAGGACCCAAAGGTGGAAACAGCTCCCACCCCTGCCTGACTTGCTGGCACCCTGCCCACACCTCGGTAAGGTGGCCTCTCTCATCCTCTCCTCCATCCCCTGCGTCAGTGTGACCCCTTCTGGGACTGCCTAAGACGCGACATGCACAGTGACACTCATAGCGGTGCTCCTCGTTTTAAAAACGAAAGCTTAGGCCAGGCACGGTGGCTCACGCCTGTAATCCCAGCAATTCAGGAGGCTGAGGCAGGCAGATCACGAGGTCAGGAGTTCGAGACCAGCCTGGCCAATATAGTGAAACCCCATCTCTACTAAAAAATATGTAAAAATTAGCCAGGCATGGTGGCATGCTCCTGCAGTCCTAGCTATGCGGGAGGCTGAGACAGAAGAATCGCTTGAACTCGGGAGGCGGAGGTTGCAGTGAGCTGAGATGGAGCCACACTCCAGCCTGGGCGACAGGGCGAGACTCCTTCTCAAAAAAAAATAAAGGCCGGGCGAGGTGGCTCACGCTTGTAATCCCAGCACTTTGGGAGGCTGAGGCGGGCGGATCATGAGGTCAGGAGATCAAGACCATCCTGGCTAACACGGTGAAACCCCGTCTCTACTAAAAATACAAAAAAATTAGCCGGGTGTGGTGGCGGGCACCTGTAGTCCCAGCTACTTGGGAGGCTGAGGCAGGAGAATGGCATGAACCCAGGAAGGTGGAGGATGCAGTGAGCTGAGATTGCGCCACTGCACTCCAGCCTGGGCGACAGAGCAAGACTCCATCTCAGAAAAATAAAAATAAAAATAAAATAAATAAATTAAAATTAAAATATATTAAAATAAAATAAAAATAAAAACAAAAAGCTAAGTGTCCATTGATAGATAAACAGGTAAAGAAATTACGGTGCATCTATCACATGGAACCCATGTAGCACTAGAGACGTAAGGCAGGGTCACTTGTTCCAGCAACCCAGAGTGGCTGCCACCCACGGCGTGCACGGTTCTGGGTGCTGAGGACTCCAGGGTGTCCCTTCTGGTCTAGGGGCGACAGGCTGTACACCAGGACACAGGGGAGTAAAAGAGAGAATCTGGGAGAGGGATGAGGGTTGCGAGGACAGCGGATGGGGCAACTGGTGTGTGAGGGGTGCCTGCCTTACAGATGGGGGACGCCAGGAAGCCTCTATCCAGCGGCGACCTTTTAGGGAGATGCAAACAGCCAGGAGGAGTCAGCCCTGTGCGGCCTTCCAGGCACAGCAAAGCTCAGGACACAGATGGGAGCAGAAGGTGGCTGCCCTGGGATGCTGGGGAGGTGCGCAGGGCCAGTCCCGCAGGCCTGGACGAGCACGGCTGGGCCTCACAGGTGGGAGTCTCTGCAGCTCCCCCTTCCCTGCCCGGCATGGAGGAGTCCCCAGGCCTGCGGCCATGTGACCCTGCCATTGGTTCCTAGGGTTTCCTGCTGCCTGACTCTGCGGCACTTCTGAAGGGTGTCTCTCCTCCTCATTCTCAACATCCATGCTGACCACATTGAAGGTCAAGGGCGTGGGCCAATACCCTGCCAGGGCCAGGTACAAAGAGAGTGCCCACAGAAATGTCTGTGAGATGGAAGGAGGCAGAGAGCCAGTGATGAGGGAGGCAGGAGGGGATGCAAGGGGCCATAAGTGCTGCGGGAGGTGGGGGGCCATCTGGAAGGTGGCTGGGTGCATCAGGTGGTGGGGTAGGGGGGGCGACAGCCTCTCTCCTCCTCTTTGTTCTGCTCTGCAGTGGTGGTGGTGGGCCAGGGAGTCAGGGGAGCCATTATCTTGGAGGCCCAAGTAGCCAGGGACAAATGCATAGTCTCAGAGAGCCAGGAGGCCGGTCCTGGAGACCCCACCAGGGCCCAGGAGAGGGGAGCCAGGCTGGAGACAGCCTCGGAGCAAAGCTGGACTGTGGGCCAGTGGCCCTGCATGCAGGCTTAAAACTTTCCTGTCAACCAGGGTCCCAGTAGGAAAGAGCTGGCACCCTCAAATTAGGGTAAGTCTAGGTGGGTCTATTTGGAAAGAGCCCAATGAGGGGGACCACCAGGGCTGGTGCAGGAAGGAGCTGGCAGCAGCACGGCTGTCACCACCCATGTACCACGTCTTCCAATGTCCCCAGGGCCACTGCCACCTCTCTCCTGGCTGTGTGTCTGGGAGGCCACCTGTGTGGGCGCCATCGGCCTGGGTCGTCTGGTTTGCACTTGGTGTCAGCTCCTGCAAGTCCTGATGGAGGCCGGGAGGGAGGGAGGAGACAGTAGAGGGTGTCGGTCTCCTGGCTCCTTCCCTGCTGCATGGCGCCGGGCAGTGACCCCGGCCAGAAGTCACTGTCCTGTCCAGACAGCCAAGAGTCAGCGACGCTGTCTGCTCTGTGTTCCAGTCTCTGCGGCCTTCACTTCTTCCTTCCAGCCGAGGGTGGGGCCAGCCTGTTCTCTCCCAGCCCCAGGGCTGGCGGCGCTGCCCGGCCTACGCTGTCCTTTCTGAGCCTGCTGCCTGTTGCTTCTAGGCACCCTGGTCTAGCCCTGGCCACAAGCCCTGCCCTCATGATCCCCTCGCAAATGTCCTTCAGGGCAACGCCCCACTGCAGCCAGGAATGTTCCCTGCATTGAAGAGCAGTGAAGCCAGCAGGGCCCACCTGAGACGCCCTGTGGGTCGGGGAGAGGGCTCACCCACTGACTCTGTGACCTCCGTGACCTCCAGTGCCTCCCCTGAAAGGGGAGGAGGAGCTGGAGGTCACAAAGTCTCCCGAAAGGGGAAGAGGAGCCTCTATTGTCATCCTCGTGAGGCTTCACGGAGGTTGCGGGTGCAGCCCGCAGTCACACTGGGGACAGAACGTACAGACAGCCTTCTGTGGTGCTAACAGGCAGCAGCCGATGACATGACGCAAGGTGAGAGGCTGGAGGCACTGACCAGCGCCGCCTGCGCAACCCGTCTGAGTGCCACTGCGCTCCCCTCCCCAGCGGCCTCGCCCAGCTTCCCTGGGCCGCCCGAGGCATCTTTCCCGAGGCTGGCGAAGCAGGCTTCTCTCCTGCCCAGAAGCCTGCCTGGGTCCTCACTGCCTTGGGGATAAAGCGGGGCTCCTGGGCCTCCATCCAGGCCCTTTGGAGCCTCTGATCTAGGATTTCCCTTCCCAGAGCCCACAGCACGACCTGAGGGAATTACTCACGCCCGGGTGGGGCGGGTGTGGAGGCTGGGCCAGGAACTCAAGGAGGGGCAGATGGAGAGGGCCGTTAGGAGGTACTAAGGATTCAGTCATGGCTGCAAACACTGCACATCAAGCCTGTCCAACCTGCCGCGGCCGAACGGGGCTCAGGATGACTTTGGATACAGCCCAACACAAATTCGTAAACTTCCTTTAAAAAAGGCCGGGCACAGTGGCTCACGCCTGTAATCCCAGCACTTTGGGAGGCTGAGGTGGGCAGATCACCTGAGGTCAGGAGTTTGAGACCATCCTGGCCAACATGGTGAAACCCCGTCTCTACTAAAAATTCAAAAATTAGCTGGGCGTGGTGGCACACACCTGTAGTTCCCAGCTACTCGGGAGGCTGAGGCAGGAGAATTGCTGGAACTTGAGAGGCGGAGGTTGCAGTGAGCCGAGGTCACACCTTTGCACTCCAGCCTGGCAACAGAGCGAGACTCTGTCTCAAAAACAAACAAACAAGCAAACAAACAAACAAACAAGAGCACTCATCTCAACAGCCTCTGTGTGCCCAGCGCTTCCCTCTCACCTGCTCAAATAGCTGCACGTGGCCTTGCTCCCCTCCTCACTGTGCAGATAAGGAAACTGAGGCTCAGAGTGGGCGAGAGACTCGCTCAGGGGCACACGGTGAACTGAGGGAGGTGCCTGGACTTCATCTAAGCTGGCGTGGTTGGCAGAGGCCGGGCATCGCCCCTGAGCATGGAGATGTCCACAGAGGCTTCAAGGCTGGCATATCCTGTCTGGGGTGCGGACTGAGGAGGCCCACTCTCTGGGAGAGGCGGTCTGAGGACACTCCTGTCCCTCTGGCCACCTTGTGCTTCTCAGAGAGTCGTCTCCAGATAGGACTGGCGGCAGCAGCGCCTGGAAACTTGTTTGAAATGCACCCCAGACCCACTCACCCAGAGTCACTGGGGCTGGGCCAGAGGGCTGTAGGCGATTCTGCTGCACACTCCAGGTTGACAGCCCCCGCTGTGGGCTCTAGAGTGACACCTGCGGTGCAGTTTCCCTCGAGGGCCTCTGCTGTTGGCCAGGACAGGCACTCACCTACCTCCTATTCCCAGCACCACCCTCCATCTCTGGTCAGGGCGAAGCAAGAGTGGAGGGAGGGAGGTTTGGGGACGTTCAGGGTGATATCAAGTCTGGACAGCTGCCATGGCCAGTCCACCACCTCCCTTGTCTGAGCCAGGGGCAGATCATACACTCATCAGCAGATTATTACTCATCTGTTAATGGGTAACACCTCGGCCCCACCATGCAAGGCTGAGAGGCCAGCGTGAGATTCTGCACTGAGCGGGGGTAGGGGTACTCCACACCCCAGGTCTCCATCAGTCACCACCATCGTGGGTCTGGCTCCTATCCCTCCCCAGCATTCAGAGGATAATCTCCCTACATGGCCTTGGACACCCAGCTCACTGGGTCGGGTAGCCTGAGGCCGGGATGCCAGGCCTTTGCACAGAGACTGTCTCAGAGGCCACCCCTCCCACCAGCGCTTTGGACCTTTCTCCACCTTTACACCCCACCCAGCCAACCCAGGCTGCACACCCCTCGGGCGCAGTGTTGGCACTGAGTCTGGTGACCGCTCGCTGGGAGGAAATGTTGGCCTGCATGACTGAGTGACCTGACTGCTGGGAGGCCGGGGCTGGGGGAGACGGGATGCCGGGGAAATGGGTGCCCAGGCCAGGACAGAGTGCGCACAAGCAGCCTAGCCTCAGGCATCCGTTCTCCCTGACTGCTCTGGGGCACAGAGGCAGGGCAGGGCCCAGGATGTCAGGCCCCACCCTGCAGCCATGATGCGGGACTGAGGCTAGCCGGGCCTTGAATCCTACCCCAAACCCCCGCAGGTGGGGCCAGGGCCATGAAGGGCTGGACCCCTATCTCCCTGGCGGCCACAGTCACATCTTTGCCCCTAGGGCTCAGGGGATTCCCTTGGAGGCTTTTAGAGCTCAGCAAGAATCAGTTCAACCTGTGGCTGCTGGGGTGTGGGCGGGTTCTGCATGATTTGCGGGCCCAGCACCCATCATGCCTGTCCGCAGGGCTCAGCGCCCCTGGTGCAGGAGGAGAGGGAGGGCAACAGGGCTCCCCTGTGGGCCGCTGGCCTTGGGGGTTCCTCCCTTGGCTCTGGGCTTCTCCAGCTGTGGTTCCAGGGCAAGCCTCTTTCCCTCCCAGTCTCAGTATGTGTTCCTGTACCGCCCCAGTGCTGTCCTGGGACTGGAGGTCTCCAGGCCCCAGCTGGGGTGTGGCCAGTGTCAATGTAGCTGCAGTGACGGGGTGTCTCCCCACCCCGGCACCTTCCTGCCTCCGGGGCCCCGCAGCCCAGTGCACAGTGTCATGGTGCACTCCAGGACGGAGCTCTCCCCTCACAAGCTCTGTGACCCCAGGCAGGCTCTTCAGCCTCTCGGTCCCTGGTTTCCTCCCTGTAAATGGGATACTACGCCATCTTTATAGGGCTTCCATGATTCAGTGAAGCCATCTGGTTTCAGGCCAATTGCCTGGAGAGTGCCTGCTCACAGGACATGCGGTGTGAGCTGAGCTAGGATTATGGCGTAGCTCTCCAGCACACTTGTGCACTATACACACACATACCATTTCCGTCTTACCCACCACCGTACTAAGGAGGACTTTTTAAGAAGGGGCACACACTTTAGAGTTAATGTTTGTTACACAAAGGTGGCCCACGACAATTAGTGCTCATTTAGCACGTGCCTGGCAGCAGGACCTTGCCCACCTCTGTGAACAGGAGCTGCCCCTTAGTGAGGTGAGACTGTGCTGGCCACACGGCAGGACCTGGCCATCCCCAGAGCTTCCCAGCTGGAGGCTGCCAGCTGCTGCCCTCAGCAGTGAGGAGTCCTCAGAGGCTCTGGAAGTTACAACCCTGACCCTCCGCCTGAGACCTGAGCCCTGCCAGGCCTGTCTGTGTGCACAGCACCAGGGTTAAAGTGGGGCCAAGTAGGGCAGGCGACAAGCAAGGTCCCCTGCGGTGGGCGGGCTGAGGGTGGGGCAGGCTGAACTCTGCCAGCCCAGGGCGGGCCGGATGACCTCAGCTCCGGGTGACACCGGTGGGCGTCGGGTGTGGCCTCAGACAGCTCCCTTCCTCCCCGGCTGGTTGCCAGGTCAACACCGGGTGGGACTAGCCTCTGGTGTCGGCAGTAGCCCCATGCTCCCGGCCTTTGGGTTCTTGCATGCGCCGTCCCCATCACCTGGCTGCCCCTCTCACTTCCGTCTCCACCTGTCCCGGGTCACCTGTCCTTCAAGCCAGAAATTAAGGACAGCACCCCCTCCCAGACCGCCTGGCTGCAGTCCCGGGATGGGCGCTCCTAGTCGCCTAGATCGGGCCCCCGCTGAGCCCGATCCCCCTCCCCGCTCCGCGCCGGAGCCGAGCTCCCTGCGCCGGACCAGCAAGCGCCCGGGCCTCGACTTCCCCTTCCGTGCAATGGGAAGCAAGCCTCGCTTTCCTATGAGCAGGGTGTCGGCTCCGCGCGGGCCCCGGCCCTGGATCCTGCTTGGCTTTGCCTGGAGCCTCATTCTCTCCGGCTGTGCCGGGGGAGGCTGGAGGCGGCGGCGAGGGGGACAGGAGTGTCGCCCGGCTCCTCCGCCCGCGGCCGCCGAGGGACGTGGTCGGGCGTTCCTCTCTCGAGCCGGGAGGGGGCGCTGGAGCACCGGGAACCCGGGGCCGTTAGCACCGCCCCTCCTGCCGACGCCCCGCCTCCGGCCGCGTTTCCCCGGGCCTGGTCCCGCTCCGCTCCGCGGCGCCTCCTCTCCGCAACTCCCACTAGGAGGGCAGACCCTCAGCCGGAGCCGAGGCCGCGCCCCGCAGCCGCGCCCCGGGGCTGCCCCTGTGGGTGGAGCCTCTTAGGACGACATCCAAACACCCCGGGCGGGCGCGGGACTCACGCCGGGAATCCCAGCACTTTGGGAGGCCGAGGCGGGCGGATCACCTGAGGTCAGCAGATCGAGACCAGCCTGAGCAAGATGGTGAAACCCCGTCTCTGCTAAAAATACAAAATTAGCCTGGCGTGGTGGTGGGTGCCTGTAATCCCAGCTACTCAGGAGGCTGAGGCAGGAGAATCGCTTGAACCTGGGAGGCGGAGGTTGCAGTGAGCTGAGATCACGCCACTCTGCACTCCAACCTGGGCGACTGAGCGAGACTTCGTCCCAAAACAAACAAACAAAAAAACCCACCAAAAAATAAAAAACTGAAACCGTATTTTTTTTTTCGACAGGGTCTTGCTCTGTAACCCAAGCTGGAGTGCAGTGATGCGATCACGGCTCAATGCAACCTCAACCTCTCCGGGCTCAAGTGATCCTCCCACCTCAGCCTCCCAAGTAGCTGGGACTACAGGCGCCGCCACTCCTGGCTCCTTTTTTTTTTTCTTTTTTGAGACGGAGTCTGCCTCTATCGCCCAGGCTGGAGTGCAGTGGCTCGATCTCGGCTCACTGCAACCTCCACCTCCCAGGTCCAAGCAATTCTTCTGCCTCAGCCTCCCGAGTAGCTGGGACTACAGGCGTGTACCACCGTGCCCGGCGAATTTTTGTATTTTCAGTAGAGAGGGGTTTCACCGTGTTGCTCAGGCTGGTCTCTCTCTCGTGACCTCCAGATGATCCGCCCGCATGGTCCTCCCAAAATGCTGGGATTACAGGCGAGAGCCACCGTGCTTGGCTAATTTTTTTTTTTTTTAGATGGAGTCTCTATCTGTCGCCTGGGCTGGAGTGCAGTGGCGTGATCTTGGCTCACATCAAGCTCTGCCTCCTCGGTTCACGCCATTCTCCTGCCTCAGCCTCCTGAGTAGCTGGGACTATAGGCGCCCACCACCACGCCCGGCTAATTTTTGTATTTTTAGTAGAGACGGGGTTTCACTGTGTTAGCCAGGATGGTCTCAATCTCCTGACCTCGTGATCCGCCCGTCTCGGCCTCCCAAAGTGCTGGGATTACAGGCGTGAGCCACCGCGCCCGGCCAATTTTTGTATTTTTAGTAGAGACGGGGTTTCACCATCTTGGCCAGGCTGGTCTTCAACTCCTCACCTCGTGATCCACCCGCCTCCGCATCCCAAAGTGCTGGGATTACAGGTGTGAGCCACCGTGCCCAGCCTACTTTTTAAAAAAAATAATAATTTTTTAGAGATGGGGGGGATCTCACTATGTTGCCCAGGCTGGTCTCGAGCTCCTGGGCTCAAGCGATCTGCCCGCCTTGGCCTTCCAAATTACAGTCGTGAGACACTGCTCCTGGCCATAAAAAACCCCTCTGAAACTGGGTGATTTGTAACACATCCAGAGGGAAACGTCTGGAAACTGCTGTCAACCAATACTTAGGGGCTGGGGATTTAGTGTGGGAGAAGACAGCTGGAAGTCCTTGCACCAGGGCTTCCTAGCAGGGTGAGATAGTCCCAGGAGAGGCTGGAGGCCTCTTCCAGTCACCTTCTTCTTTCACTCTCCATCCACCCGCCTGGCCCCTCCAACCTCCACCAGGGTTATTTATTTATTTATTTATTATTTATTTATTATTTATTTTTTGTTTTTGAGACAGAGTCTCCCTCTGTCGTCCAGGCTGGAGTACAGTGGCGCGATCTCCGCTCGCTGCAAGCTCCGCCTCCCAGGTTCACGCCATTCTCCTGCCTCAGCCTCCGGAGTAGCTGGGACTACAGGCGCCCGCCATCACGCCCGGAGAATTTTTTGTATTTTTAGTGGAGACGGGGTTTCACCGTGTTAGCCAGGATGGTCTCGATCTCCTGACTTCGTGATCCACCCGCCTCGGCCTCCCAAAGTGCTGGGATTACAGGCGTGAGCCACCGCGCCCGGCCCCAGGGTCATTTATTTAGGACCCCCTGCCTGCCAGTCTGCCAAGGGGCACAGGAGTTGGTCCTGGACCTGCCCTGTCAGAGGATCATCACGATCCTGTGGCATAGGGCCACAGTGCTCACATGGCCCAGCCTGGTGGCATGAGCCTGTGCAGTCCCAGCTACTCCAGAGGCCGGGGTGGGAGGATCTCTTCAGCCTAGGAGTTCGAGGCCAGATTGGGAAACAGCAAGGCTGCATCTGTTAAAAAAAAAAAAAGAAAGAAGGGAAGAAAGAAAAAAAGGAAGGAAGGGAGTAGCAGAGAGGAAGGAAGGAGGGAAGCAGAGGAAGGGGAGGAAGGGAGGAAGGAAGGAACGATTATATGTAGCAGAGACATGCATATAAAACACCCAAAGGAAGGAAGGAAGGAGGGAGGGAGGGAGGGAGAGAAAGAAGGAAGGAAGGAAGAAGGGAGGAAGGAAGGAAGGATTATATGTAGCAGAGACATGCAGGTAAAACACCGAAGTGGTGTATTGTCACTGCGCAGTCCTTGATGTTGCCCAGGCAGTCTGCGGTGTCTTACTCCAAGACGGCCACAAGAGGGTACTGAGAGCAAGCCTTTCTGGCCCAGGGCCAGGCTTTCCGCTTCCAGTGGAGCACCCCAGTAGATGCAGATGCCGCCCTCACCTCCGTTCTTTTTTTTTTTTTTTTTTTTGAGATGGTCTCACTTCATCGCCCAGGCTGGAAAATGCAGTAGTAGGGCAATCACGGCTCACGGTAGCCTCAACCTCCTGGGCTCAAGTGATCCTCCCAACTCAGCCTCCTCAGTAGCTGGGATTACCAGCATGCACCACCACACTCAGATAATTTTTTTCGTATTTTTTGTGGTCCACTATATTGCCTAGGCTGGTCTTGAACTCCTGGGCTTAAGTGATCCTCCTACTTCAGCTACCCAAAGTGCTGGGATTACAGGCATGAGCCACCGTGAGCAGCCTGTTCAAGCTTTGGAAGGTGTGGAGGCTGGGGAGCAGGGCTGGGAGAGGGTAACGATAGCCTCAGTGCAGCCAGAGGATGTGAGGGACGCTGCTTCTTCACTTAGTCCACCCCATGCCTTTACTGCATTGGCAGGGATGGGGAGGCCCAGAGAGGGCCAGGGGCTCCATAGACACACAGCAGACGCTGGGCATGGCCAGGCACAGCTCCTGCCTCTGGATCTGCCAGTCTCCTGTAGAGAAAGGCCCATGGCAGTGGCAGGAGAGAGGGGGAGAAGCAGCGTATCCGAGGCTCGAGGCAAAAACGGGCCCTGAGGCCAACTGTGCAGCTCAGCTATGAGCTCCAGGCCTGTCTTTACAGATGCTCCCTGCCCCAGACTCAATGGCTTGGTGGCTCAAGGGACTTGAGCATTTCCTGAGTACCCTATGCCCCATTGGGAGCAAGCCCTAGAAGCTGGGAGGCCCCTGCCTACCAACACCTTGGATGACAACTAACACCTTAGGTGATAGTTACCACTTGCACTAACAAGTTGGGAGAGCAATTTCTGCCCAAGTGGCAAGGGGGCGGGGTGGCCTTTTGGGGGATAGGGCGATGGAAGGGGAGCATGCCAGCTGACTTTCTGACGTGAGGGTGTCTGGGTCTTCAGAGGGTGCGGTTGCAGCCACAGTGATAAGGGTGTGAGGTGTCTGACCTACTCTGGCATTGGTGTGTGACACTAGGCCAGGCCCCTGTCCTTCTGGTCTGTGCTCTTGCCTGGAGCAGTGTACAGATGTGGGGAGCCCCTTCTCAGAATGTAGATGACTGGGGTTCTTGTCTGCCTCAAACCCTCCCAGAGCTCCTTGCTGCCCCCACATCAGGGATTGACCCCTCTGCTGGGCATTCTCAGCTTTGCACAATCTCTGCTACCTTCTTTTTCCAGTCTCACCTCCCGCTATGCCCACATCATCAGATCTCCTGAGCTGCAGCCACAGTGCCCAGGTCAGGCCTCCACCTACCCTGCTGTGATGCCCCCTTGCCCATCTTCCTCCTGGAGAACTTGTGCAAAGAGCTCTATCCATCCCACATCCAGGAGAACCCAATTCGCATTTTCACAAAGACACTTCTCTGCCTGACCTGGTTCTCCGTTTTGGACCATTGGATCGTGAATTTGGATTGGGTCTTATTTCTCTCAATGATCCCAGAATCCAGCATTGACATGGAGTCAATAATGCTTAATATTAATATTTATTAATACATGAATGTATTGTTTATGAATGAATGGGCAAAAGAATGGTGAGAAGATGGATGGATGAATGATGGGGATGGGTGGCGGTGAGATGAAGTGAGGACAGTGGACTGATGTTTATGTATGTGGATAATATAAGAATATAACTTAAGGGTAATAGATGAACACATGGACGAGTTAATTACTAGGTGGCTGGCTGATTGGTGGGGGATGAATAACTGTCTGTGTGAGTGATAGTGGATGAACGATGGACATAATGATGGAATGAGTATGTGGTGGGTAGAAGAATGTATGGCTAATGATTGGATGGGCACTGGAAGCATGGTAGAGGGTGATCCTAGATGGTGGATGGATATAATATGATGGATGGTAGATGCATCTATGTAGTTGGTGATTGATTAAGTGATGAAGAATAGATAAATACACAGTAGATTGATAGATGGAAAATGGACGGACGTGGATGCTGAATTGTTGGATCGATGGATACCACATGAATCCATACATAGTGGATATAAACTGCAGGCAATAAGTATTAATAGTAGATGGTGGATGCTTAGTGGGTAGATACATCATGGAAGTGTGGATGGATGGTGGATAAATAGTAGTGGATGATTGTGATGGATCTATCCACAGAGAATGGATGGGCAGATGGGACAGAAATACCAATGAGTATATGACTGATGGATGGATCATGAGTGGTGGACAAGTAAATGGTGGCTGCCTGGTGCATGAATGGGGACTGGATGGCAAATAAATGAATGATTGCTAGCTGGATGAATAATGGGTTGTGTGCTGTGGAGGTACAAATGGAAGGTGGATGTGGATAGATAACAACTGGATGGAATCTGGATGACTAATGATGAACAGGTGCTGAGCGGATGGATGAAGGTTTAAACAGTAGGTGGCTACAACTTGGAAAAGTGATGCATGAAAGATGAATGGTGGGTGTGTAGATGGAGAGGTGGTAAATGGATGCTTTAATGTACAGATGGAGGAAGATGGATACATAGCAAGTGGGTAGAGTGGATGATGAATGAAGATGGATACCGAATGGAGAAAGAATAACGAGTGTGGGATGGGCATGAATAGTGACTGGATGGATGGTGAGTGGATTGTAATGGTCGATGGATAATGGCAAATAAATGCTCACTGCTGTCTCTCTACTCTGTCCTCAGCACCTAAAACAATGTTTGGCACATAGAAGGCAGTCAATATTTTTTTCTAGAATGGATGAATATGAATGGATGCTAGATGGTACTTGGATGGATTTTGGATGAATAGTGAATTTTGGCTGGATGATGGGTGGATAGATAGAGGATGTTGTGAGATGGATAGTGAATGAATGGATACGTGGTGGATATGGATAAGAGATGGTGATGGTAGGCTGGGTGTGGTGGCTCACGCCTGTAATCCCAGCACTTTGGGAAGCCATGGCGGGTGGATCACCTGAGGTCAGGAGATCGAGACCAGCCTGGCCAACATAGAGAAACCCCGTCTCTACTAAAAATACAAAAATTAGCTGGGTGTGGTGGGCACCTATAATCTCAGCTACTTGGGAGGCTGAGGTAGGAGAATTGCTTGAATCCAGAGGCAGAGGTTGCAGTGAGCCGAGACTGCGCCATTGCCCTCCAGACTGGGTGACAGAGAGAGACTCTGCCTCAAACGAACGAACAAACAAACAAACAAATAAACACCAAAAAAGAGATGGTGATGGTAGATGGTTGGTGGATGGATGGAGGAATACAGTTAATAGAAATATGAATGGATGGCAAATGGTGAATGACTGGTGGGTGAATTGTAGATGGGTGACTTGTTGCTGATTGGATGGAGGTTAAGGGATAAATCAGGACAAATGAATAGTAGAGTGATGATTCACAATTAGATATGTGGATGGAGATGTGAATGGTAGATGGATGTGTTAAATATCTGATGGAAAGCTGTTACATAGTGAGTGATGGATGGATAGGTGGTGGATGGATCGATGGTGAATGAATGTTGGATCAATGGGTATTTAGTGGTGTATTGATGCTTGGTAAATGGTGGGTGCTGGTGGTGAATGGATGGGTGCATGATGGATGGGTGGTGGTTGCATATGGGATGGTGACTGGAGATGGATGGTTAATGGACATTGGATACTGGACGGTGGTTGAATGGTGGATTGTGAATGGATGGCTGGTGGTTGCATGGGGGAAGGTAGATGGTGGATTGTGGATGAGATGGATGTTGGGTTATTGATGGTAGATGGTGGACTGTGGATGGGATGGATGTTGGGGTATTGATGGTAGATGGTGGATGGTGGACGGGATGGATGTTGGGTTATTGAAGGTAGATGGTGGACTGTGGATGGGACGGATGTTGGGTTATTGAAGGTAGACGGTGGACTGTGGATGGGATGGATGTTGGGTTATTGAACGTAGATGGTGGGCCGGGCGCGGTGGCTCACACCTGTAACCCCAGCACTTTGGGAGGCCGAGGCAGGTGGATCACGAGGTCAGGAGTTCAAGACCAGCCTAGCCAAGATGGTGAAACCCCATCTCTACTAAAAATACAAAAATCAGCCAGGCGTGATGGTGGGTGCTTGTAATCCCAGCTACTCAGGAGGCTGTGGCAGATAATTGCTTGAACCCGTGAGGCGGAGGTTGCAGTGAGCCGAGATCTTCCCACTGCACTCCAGCCTGGGGAACAGAGCGAGACTCCATCTCAAAACAAACAAACAAACAAACAAACAAACAAACAAACAAACGGACGTAGATGGTGGACTGTGGACAGGATGGATGTTGGGTTATTGAAGGCAGATGGTGGACTGTGGATGGGATGGATGTTGGGTTATTGAAGGCAGATGGTGGACTGTGGATGGGATGGATGTTGGATTATTGAAGGTAGGTAGTGGACTGTGGACAGGATGGATGTTGGGTTATTGAAGGTAGATGGTGGATTGTGGACGGGATGGATGTTGGGTTATTGAAGGTAGATGGTGGATTGTGGACGGGATGGATGTTGGGTTATTGAAGGTAGATGGTGGATTGTGGACGGGATGGATGTTGGGTTATTGAAGGTAGATGGTGAATTGTGGACGGGATGGATGTTGGGTTATTGATGGTAGTGGTGGATTGTGGATGAGGTGGATGTTGGGTTATTGATGGTGGATGATGGATGGCAGATGGTGGGTCTCAGATGGTGGCGGGATGGCAAAAGATAGATGAATAGCTGTGAATGGTAGACGGACCGTGGCTGGACTGTGGGTATTGAATGGAAGTGGGATGTTAGATAACTGACGGTGGAGGCTTCCTGGTTGCAGGGTAGGAATTACATGGACCAGAGATTATGCACCTTGGCTCAGGTGTCAGGTCTGTGCACTGGGCTGAATGAGACAGCTTGTCCCAGGGCTGTTTTGCTCCTTTTTGGGAATGGAACTGGAAAGATGAGAGGGGGGCTGAGGGGTGACCCCCTCCCCCCCCCCCCCCCTGCTTCCTGCAGCGCATCCCAGTTTGGGTTTTTAGGTTTTTTTTTTTTTTTTTTTTTGAGACAGAATCTCAGTCTGTCACCCAGGATGGAGTGCAGTGGCACGATCCCGGCTAAGTGCAACGTCTGCCTCCTGGGTTCAAGAGATTCTCCTGCCTCAGCCTCCCAAGTAGCTGGGACTACAGGCACCTGCCACCGCGCCTGGCTAATTTTTTTTTTTTTTTGTATTTTTAGTAGAGACGGGGTTTCACCATATTGGCCAGGCTAATCTCGAACTCCTGACCTCAGGTGATCTGCCCGCCTCGGCCTCCCAAAGTGCTGGGATTACAGGCGTGAGCTACTGCGCCCGGCAGTTTGGGTTTTTTTTTTTTTTTTGGTCCTTTTTACTCCTGTCTTTATTCCCCAATAGGAAGGAGTCCTCTTTCCATGTATCTGGCCCCACCGAATTCTGCACCTCAAATTTCTGGACGCCAATCTTGAGGCTCAGTCTCAAGTGGCCAGGGGCAGGCCCTGGGGGAGGGGTCGGCTCAAGGGAAGATGAGGCCGGGCCCTTGCTGGGGGCTGGAGCTGGGAGGGCGCGGGCGCTGAGGACCGGCGGCCAGCCCCGCGGTGGGCGTGAGTGCGAGGGAGGCCGGGAGAGCGCGTGTGGGCGGGGAGCGCGAGAAGGAGAGCGAGCCGGGAGAGCGCGGAGCCAGCGGAGCGCGGAGGCCCCAGCGCCAGCACCCGCGCGGGCGGTGAGCGTGAGTGTGGCGCAGGGTCGCCCCTCCCCAGCCTGGCCCCGGCAGTGCGGGCCCCGGGAGCGCCCTGACGGCTAGGTGCGGGGTGGTTGGGAGCGGGAGGAGCATGGGGGGGGATTTGGGAGTTTTGAGTCGAGCTCCTTGGGGAACGGGACGGCGTGGGTTCGCGGGGTCAGCCCGGCTGTGGAACGCCATGCCTCCGCGCGCTTGTGTCCCCGGGGCTGTGCCCAGCAAGACCTGGGATCCCGCGGCGCTGGGGGTGGTGGGTGCCCTCGATGTGTGGTGCCCCGGCTGGCACTGGACCCTGGCGCCGGGCAGGGCAAGGCAGCCCTTGGGCACTTGTTCCCTGCTTGCCTGCCCCCGCCTGGCTCAAGCTGACAGCTCTATCATCTGCCTCTGTCATCCCTCTCTCT
The DNA here is from genome assembly GCF_000001405.40 of Homo sapiens. NCBI lineage: Eukaryota > Metazoa > Chordata > Mammalia > Primates > Hominidae > Homo > Homo sapiens. Next base: position 103,084,683 of record NC_000014.9, read on the forward strand.
CTGGGCCAAGTGTCATCTGTGGGTCTGTTTCTGTCTCTCTCTCTCTCTCTCTTCTCCTCTGTCTCCAGCTCAGTCACCTCTCGCCTGGTCTCTGTGGCAGTATTTTTCTTGCCTCTCCCTCTGCCTCCTTCCCAAGGCTGGCTGGGTCTCTGTCCTGGCTGCCCTGGACTCTAACCTGAGTTCTGGGGTCCTGGGATGGGATCCAGAAGAGGCTTGATGGAGGGCCGGACCTGGGAGCAGTGGGGCACTGAGACATCCCTGGGCTTTGGGGTTGGGCAGAGGAGCCAGAGGTTGTGGCTTCACTGCCCGCTGCCCCGAGAGGCCTCCTGCAGTGTGTGCCCCTCCTAGCCCTCCCTGGGCCTCAGTGGGACCCCAGCTGACCTGAGTGGGGTGTTTGGTGAAAGAAACCTCATTTCTCAGAATAGCAGCCCTCTGCTTTGCTGGCGGCCACAGGACCACCCTCACCCACCCCAGCAGGACGTCACAGGCATTCCATCCTGCTGGTCTCTGCTCTCCCACTGCCTTGTCCCCTTCCTGCAGGGCTGCCCCCGCCCGTGGCCCCCTACTGCCTGCATGCCAGCCACTGCCACACCCCACCCCCATTTCTACCTCTGACCAGGGCGTAGCCCCAAGAGCCCACACGGCCCGAGCGCAGGTGAAGGGTCTGGCTGGTGCCAACTCCTGCCAGGGGCTCTCTTCCCAGAGCCCTTGCTGCCAGGGCTCCAGTGGGGCTCCCCCTGCTGTGGCCAGCCTGAGTGGGTGCGGCCAAGTGCAGGGGCAGGACTTCATTTCCCCCTGGGCTGTGGGTGCTGAGGGCCTGGCCCGGGGTGTGCAGGGTGCATGCTCTCGAGGAGGAAATGGGCACCTTGGCCTCTGGCTGACTTGAACCCAGTCCCTACTACTCCCAGCCTCCCGTCTCAGGAACGTTTAGGTCCCTAGGACACTCCGTGTCCTTCCTGCACTATTCCTGTCTCAGAATGTGCTTCTGTCCTCCCAGCTGGCCTAGCTACCTCCTGCTCACCTCTCAGGCCTCAGATCAGCAGACTTCTTCCAGGAAGCCTTCCCAGGTCTCCCCTCCTGCCTGTGCCCTCTTGCAGGCACACTGTGCGGCCAGGGTCCAGTGCCCCCTCTGGCGGCGGGCTCAGGCAGGGAGCAGTGCAATATAGGTCCAGCTGGAGCCATGGGCACTGGGCCTGGGCTGGGGTGGAGTGGGGTGGGCTTAGCACCTGAAGCCTTCGGGGGAGTGTGGATCCAGCATCAGGCCAACAGCAGACACCCCATTTCTGCTCCCAGTCCTCGTGCAGCTTAGTGGCGCAGTGGCGGCAGCAGCATGAGCACCCCCCGGCCTGCTCCACCACAGCCAGGCGCTGCTGAGGGGGCTGGAGGCCCAGAAGGGAAGGTATGCGCTCGGGACCCTGGGGGGGTCGGGAGGGAGCAAGCCTCAAACTCTGTCCCATGACTTGGGGCATGCCTTGCCTTGCTGCTGGCCTCAGTTTACCCATCTGGGTGGGGGAGATCATTGCTTATTTATTTATTTATTTATTTTTGACACAGAGTCTTGCTCTGTTGCCCAGGCTGGAGTGTAATGGCGTGATCTTGGCTCACTGCAGCCTCCGCCTCCGGGGTTCAAGCAATTCTCCTGCCTCAGCCTCTGGAGTAGCTGGGATTACAGGTGCCCACCACTATGCCCAGTTAATTTTTGTATTTTTAGTAGACTCGGGTTTCACCATGTTGGCCAGGCTGGTTTCCAACTCCTGACCTCAGGTGATCCACCTGCCTTGGCCTCCCAAAGTGCTGGGATTACAGGCGTGAGCCACTGTGCCCGGCTTGTTGCTCTTTTATAAAGGTATAATGGATAAAAAAAATTGAAGGCCAGCATTCCTGGCTTACTTAGCACTCCTTCCTGACCTGAGGACCCCAGGGATTGTCCCCAAGGCACGCTTTGCTCTCTGCTGAGTGAGGAAATGCCAGGGTTCCCTGCCCCTAGTGTCACCTTTTGGCAGGGGATGGGGAGGTGCTGATGAAACTAAAAAAAAAAAAACAAGCTCCCTACACAGGGTCGCAGCCTTAGTATTCTGAGTGCTAGAGCCCAGCTAGAGCCCAGCCATTCTCCTTGTTGGGGAGCAGTGGGGCTAGAGAGGGGGACCAGCCTGGAGTCATATAGGGACCAGTCTGGAACTTGGGGTTGCAGACACAGCCTCCCAGGCAGGGTGGACAGAGGTGAGCACCAGGACTCCGAGCTGCAAACGCTGCTGGCCTGGACCTCGTTCACCCCAGTGGGCAGACTTGGAGAGGAGCACCCTTGGTTGGGGGCAGGAAGGAGAATGGCACGTGGGGAGGGAGAGCAGGCTGGGGGATGAGCCCCCCTGGCTGGCAATGCCAGCATGAGGGTGGCCCCTGGGAGGATCCAGCCTTTGGGGTAGGGATGGGGTCCCTGCTCTGCTGTCCTCTGACAGCTCCTTCATTCCACAGACATCCCAGTCCAGTGACACCTGTTCTCACACTTGAGGGTCACATATGGTCCGTGGTTAAAAGAGAGTCTGGGCTGGAGCTCAGGAATGTGCACTGTTCAGGGATCTTGCTGCAGTGGCCGAGGGCCATTCAGCTAAGTCCCCCCTGCTGCGTGGCTGTCCTTCCTCGAGGCCCTTGTGCTCTTTTGGGAAGGTGGACCCAGCAGCTTCCCTTCTAGGTGGAGAAATGGGAGACAGGGAGCTCCAGGCAGGGCCATCTGCCCGAGCACAGGCGTGGGGGTGGGACAGGGCAGGCAAGTCAGGGCCACCGGGGCGCTGAGGGACAGAGTTCTGCACGTAGCACTGCAGCCTCAAAGACCTTGAACGGGAGGTGGAGATGCTGAGGGCACCGGGAAGGCCTGGGGACGCAGCCCCCGCAGGCTCCTGTGGGCACTGAACAATGAGCCAAGAGCAAGCCCAGAGCCAGCCGTTTGGGTTGCCATGGCAACTGCTTCCCAGCTCCTCTGAGCCTGGAGGAGGCCAAGGGCCCAGCAGGGAAGACCCCAGGAAGGGACTGGCAGGAGTCTGGGTGCAGGAGGCAGCTGGGGGTGCGCAGAAGCCTGGGCTCATTCCTGGTGACCTTGGCCTCTCCGGCCTCAGGCTCTGGCTGTGCAATGGGCTTCTGGAGCTGAGCACAGCTGCGTCCTATGGTGCCTCCTGAGAGCTGTGACCCCAGGGGCTGAGCACCCTACCCCCAGGGTTGGGACTGGGTAGGGCCTGGGACCTGTCTCAGGGATGTTCCTGTGTGAATACACATGTGCCCATCCCTGCCCTGGGGACTGGGTGGGAAGGGTCTCTGATCTCCCTAGTGGGGCAGTGTGCAGGACAGGGGTAGGGGGGAATAGGAGTGCCAGGCCTGGCATGGCCATGATCCTGCCCATCCTCCTTGCAGGCTGTGGCAGGTGCCTGGGAGAAGGGCCCTCGGCTGGGCCAGCGGCTGCCCTCAATCGTGGTGGAGCCCAGCGAGGCGGACCCTGTGGAAAGTGGGGAGCTGCGCTGGCCCCTGGAGAGTGCCCAGAGGGGCCCCTCTCAGAGCCGGGCTGCTGCTGGTAAGTGAGGGTGCCTGTGGGGGTGCTGAGAGGAGGAAGTGGCCACTGCCAGGGTCAGAAGCGGGGCGTGCTTCCTGCGGCTCCAGCAAGCAAGGCCTTCCCGCCTCCTGCCTGTTCACACTCCATCCTCCGCCCGCCTTGGAGTCTCTGCCTGAGACTCTAGGTGCTGCCTGGCCTTAACCCCCCTCCCTAGCACCGTCCTCCCTCCCACCTGCAAATGAGGTCCCTCATCCACTCTCAGCCGCAGGCCTGGGCACGGGAGGTGCACGGTGCATAATTGTTGAATGAGTGATGCCACATTCTCGCCCCTCCTTATCCAGTGCACCCTCGTCATCACCTCTGGAGCAAGTGTGCCTTGCTCACTAGGGCCTGGGAGGCTGTGAGCCTACAGGTGCTTGTGGTGGGGGGATGGGCTGGCCTGTTGGCAGGCTCCATCCCGCTGCAGGTGCCCTGTTTAAAGGCTGAAAGCAGGCCAGGCGCGGTGGCTCATGCCTATAATCCCAGCACTTTGGGAGGCTGAGGCAGGTGGATCAGTTGAGGTCAGGAGTTCGAGACTAGCCTGGCCAACATGGTGAAACCCCATCTCTACTAAAAATACAAAAATTAGCCAGGCATGGTGGCGGGCGCCTGTAATCCCAGCTACTCTGAAGGCTGAGGCAGGAGAATCGCTTGAACCCTGGAGGCAGAGGTTGCAGTGAGCTGAGATCGTGCCACTGCACTCCAGCCTGGGCGATAGAGTGAGACTCCATCTCAAAATAAAAGCTGAAACTTCTGGGAGGATTGTGTGAGCAGGAGGGGGCAGCCGGCGCCAGGCCCAAGGAACAGGAGAGGCAGCAGGCTGGGCTGTGGGGGCCTTGTGAATGGCTCTGAGGGCCACTGGGGGCTGGGCAAGGGGCATGAGGTGTGCCCTGTGCCCTGGGAGATGTTGTCCCCTGGAGACCCCTGGGAGTCTATTCCCTGAGGAGGAAGTGAATTCAGCCGCAGCTGGGGCCGCTCAGCACCTTGCCTGCCCTCTTCCCATCCCCAGACCTCAGCCTGTACTGGCCAGAAAACCCCCTTTTCATTGTGGCCAGAGGGGTTATCTGTCTGGACCCATAACCCCCACCTCTGCCCAAAGCCTCTTGTCAGTTTCTGCCCAGGGCCCAGGACAGCATCAGGGACCACCACTCGGGTAACCCCTGGGACTTGGGCTCTGGGGATATCCTTGAGTCTGCCCTGGACTTCCCTTCCCTCTGCCACCCCATCATCTGGTGGATGTGGGAGCTGCCCCTGCTCGCAGAGCCCAGCCTCATTCTGCCTCCCTGGCCGAGCACCCCTCCCGCTTCTCATCACCCGAGGGGACCTCCTGGCCTGCCCCAGCCCAGTTGCCTGCCAAACGCTCATTTCGGGCCCCTGGGATCCTCTCAGGCTGCACTCCCCCCGCCGACCAACACGGCCGCCTTTATGTTTCTGCAGCCCCCTCGCCGAGTCTGCCCGGAGAACCAGGGAAAGCTGCAGATAACGCTGGCAGCGAGTGTGCCTGCTCCGAGGACCCAGCAGCCCCGGCCCGGGGATAGGACAAGGACGTGGCTGGGCTCTGCTGTCTGACTGCTGAGGGCCTCTGCCCCAGGGTGGCCGGGCTGATGCACAGGAGGGCCGGGCCTGCCCAGCCTGGAAAGCCCAGAGGCTGCTTCCTGTGTCACAGGGTCTGGACCGCAGCCCTGCCCTCTTCTGCCCATGGCCCAGGTCTGGATCACACCCCGCTTTGTTCCGTGGTTTGAAGCAGAAATAAAGGCACTTCCTGGTGGCCAGTAGGCACACTTGATGGGGATGCAAGGGACTGAGGACAGTTTGGGCTCTGCCTGTGGCCTTCCAGGTGAGGGCCTCAGCTCCCAGCCCAGGCTGGCCAGTCCAGAGCGCCTCTTGGGTGACCACTTGGGCCTGGCACTGGGGCAGGCTGGGCAGGGCTGAGCTGGCTCTGTGGCTGGTGCCTCTGCCCAGGGACCCTCTCTCTGCTTTGGCCAAGGCTGTCCAGGGCAGAACCAGCCTCCTCCAGGTGGCCTCCCAACCCTCCGTGGGGCCTTCTTGGGGCCAGGGCCGGACCCTGAGGGCCTGCTACCCACTTGCCCCGGGTGTAGGAAAGCACAGCGATGGTGCCTGGGGTGGGCCGCCCCATTCCAGGTTGGATCTCGTTAAATCTTCGTGAAGGTCCCATTTTACACGTGTAGGAACTGAGGTGCAAAGCGAGGTGCTCAAGGCAAGCGGCTACGGAGGGAATTCCTGAGGTCAGGAAGCCACTGGGCTGCCACAGAACCTGCATCAGAGGCTGGTGGAGCAGGCATCTCTTCCTGCCCCATGTGGGGGTCCTGTCCCTCCACTGGGTCCATCGACATTGTCTCTGGACTCTGTTCTACTACAGGAGGGGAGCCCTGCTGCCTGGTTGCAGCTGGCATGGGGGCAGAGCCCCGAGTGTAACCCAGGGCCCCCTCCCCAGGTGTGTCCCCCCAACCTGGCCCTCTGCCCTTGGCCAGCCTGGGCCAGGATGAGGAAGCTTAGGGCCGGGCAGTGGTACACTCCATAAATGTCAGCTGTGCCAAGTCCATGGCCTTTCTGTGGCCCGGGCAGGTGTGCCAGGGGCCCATGAGAGGAGGGAGGCAGGAGACACTGCCCCTTTGTGCTTTCCCGCTGCCTCGCCAGCCTCCAGGACGAAGATGCACTTTTCAGATGCACTTTCTCCCACCGCCTTCCTTCTAAAAATAGCCAACCCCCCAATGCGGGAAAGGTGGGAGGTGAGGTGCGGAAGCTGGCCTGGCAGCCCGCTTCAGTTTTAAACCGCAGGACCCCGTGGGCCCTCCCCGGACTATAGCTCAGGTGAGGGGTGGGGCGGCCCTTCAGTCCTCTCCGTCCTCCTCCAGTCCTTCCCATCGGTCCTGAAGCCAGGGAGGGAGAGGCTTGACCAGGCTGGGGGACATGGGGGTAGTGTTGTGAAAGGGGACAGACATCTCGCAGGATGCCTTGCAGGCACGTGGGATGTGGGGTGCAGGGAGGCCGGCACGTGGGTGGGCGATGACGCCATTTACTGAGATTTGATCCCCACCACACGGCTCCGGGGTGAGAATTATGACATCTGGCTCAACACGGCTGCCCGGGACCCACACAGCCGAGCGGCCGAGCTCGGGCGGAGTCCCAGGGCGCCCACAGCACCCCGCCAGCGCGCCCCGTCCAGCAGGGCAGCTTTTGGGCGGAGGCGACCCCCACCGCAGGTCCCAGGACCCTGCGTGCTCTTGAGCCAGGGGTGGAGAGGCCCGACCGCGGGGGGCTGCCCCACCCCGCCGCCCTTCACCGCGAGCCGGGGCCCAGACCGCCCAGCCACGCCCAGAGCCCGCGGGCGGAGACGCCAGGGGCGGTGCCAGCGAGGTCCCGTCCCCGGTACCCCGTCCCGCCCCCCCACACGCGGTGACCTGGGGACGCCCCGCGGGAGTCGTTCTGCGGCTCCCCCTGGCGTCGGCTGGGGCCACCGCCCGGGCTCCCACCTCAACCCTGCAATATGGGGTTGGGGCAGAGTGGTCTGCTGCCCGCTGCCCGCAGCCGCTTCCGGTTAGGGAGGGAGCCTGGGCCTCTGGGTGCTCACGCTGCGCTTAACGCTGGTCCCGGCAGCAGTGAGGGTGGAAGCGGCCGCCTCTGGCTTCTACACCCCGGGTGTGACAGCCTGGCCTCTCAGTGAGCCCCAGATCAGGCAAGCATTTGGTGGTGGGGGTCCTGCTCCCTGGCCTTCCCTACCTGGGAGCCAGGTCCTCAGCCAAGGTGAACCCATTTGATCCCGACGACAATCCCATTTTCTGGAGGAGTAAACTGGGGCTCAGAGATTGAGGTGCCTCTCCAAGGTCGTGGGGAGCTGGGCTTGCCCTCTGGTGGGTGTCCCTGGCTAGGCCTCTCCCTCCTAACGGCTCCCCACCCGGCCTTCTCCTGACCCCAGACCAACCTCGTGACCCAGGCTTCTTTGAGATAAGGCTGGGGTTTTTCCAAAGGGATTTTACTGAGAAACTTCGGGAAAACATGGACATAGCATGAAAGAAACATTGCAACCTCATGCTGAAAAGCGGGCACAGGCTCAGGTGCCTGTGGAGAGCAGATGGGAGTTGAGGGGACTTCCAGGAGCAGTCCCCAGGCCCTGGGCACCACCAGCTTTTCAGGCACCTGTGTATTGAATGGAGCGACCCATAATTGGAGGTCCCAGGACCCCAACATGCCCTGGGAGCTGGGGGGCGGGTGGGAGAATTAGACCGGGAAGTCTCCAGTCCACCAAGGCCTGGCTGTATGGGAAGACCCAGTCCACAGAGCCAGAGACCTAGGTCGCAGTCCTGGCCTCTCTGGGCACCTGTGTGGCCGAGAGCAGGTCACTGAGCCCTGGGGAGCCAGCCACCTTGGACCCCGGCTGTCTCTGCTCAGTTTTGCTTATTCCCTGTTACCCCTCATCTCTGCCTGTTGGAGACAGGTGGGGTGGGACTCAGGCCAGCAGGTGGGACTGGGCTGGGAGGAAGGGCCTATGGGCTGCTGGGCACCTCTCGGGCTTGAAGTGGGACTCTTAGCACCCCACTTCACAGAGGGAACCCAGGGCTCAGGGTAGTGACTCAAGTGGTTAATTGGAGGGCTTCCTGGAGGAGGTGCTGGCATCTTTGAGTCTAATTTGGCCCCTCTGCAGATGGTGCTGCAGCATCTCAGGCACCTTCCAGTCTGTTATGGGCTGCTTTTCCCCCATAAAATTCGTATGTTGGGCTGGGCGCGGTGGCTCACGCCTGTAATCCCAGCACTTTGGGAGGCCTAGGCAGTCCAATCACCTGAGGTCAGGAGTTCAAGACCAGCCTGGCCAACATGGTGAAACCCCGACTCTACTAAAAATACAAAAATTAGCCGGGTGTGGTGGTGCGTGCCTGTAATCACAGCTACTCAGGAGGCTGAGGCAGGAGAATCACTTGAATCCAGGAGAATCACTTGAATCCAGGAGGCAGAGGTTGCAGTGAGCTGAGATCGCGCCACTGTACTTCAGCCTGGGTGACAGAGAGAGACTCCGTCTCCAAAAAAAAAAAAAATTCGTATGTTGAAGTCCCAATCTTAGAATGTGACCTTATTTGGAAAATTCCTTATAAAAACACGTGACCTTTAAAGAGGTAATAAGTTAAAATTAAGTCATTCGGGTGGACCCCAACCCATATGAAGAGGAAATATGGACACAGACACGAAGTGGGAAGGCCCTGTGTTGACCCAGGAAGAAGGGGGGGCGCTACCCACAGACCCAGAAAACAGCCCCAGGAGAAACCAGCCCCACACATGCCTTGACTGTGGGCCTCTGGCTTCCAGAACTGGGAGAGAATAAACGTCTGTTGTTGAGGCTCAGTCCCTGGTCCTGTCGTGGCAGCCCTAGGACACTGGATGCATGGGGCCGTCCCTGCCCTCAGCCCTAGGATGCTGGTGCACTGGCCTGTCTCTGCCCTCAGCCCTAGGACAGTGGGTGCATGGGGCCGTCCCTGCCCTCAGTCCTAGGATGCTGGTGCACCGGCCTGTCTCTGCCCTCAGCCCTAGGACACTGGGTGCATGGGGCCTTCCCTGCCCTCAGTCCTAGGATGCTGCTGCACGGGGCCACCTCTGCCCTCAGCCAGAGGATGCTGGTGCAGGAGGCTATTTCTGCCCACCTCAGCACCCTGCAGCAGCCCCATCACACACCCTGGTGGCCCCAGCCCAGGTTGGGACAGGCCTGGATCCGTTCTCCTTGGATTTTCCCTGAGTTGTTTCCTAAGACGCTCGCTGCGGAATCCCCCTATGCAGGGGTGAGGCTGCCTCTTCTGGGAAGTGTCAGTGGCCCTCCCTGCGGCACGTTGCCCGCCTGACCCCCTGGTGTGGGGAGTGGGGCCCCGCCTCCACATCTTTGCCCCTGCCCAGGATGCCGTCCCTTCTCACTTCTGAGTGTGTCCTGTCTGTCCCTAGGGCCCCATCCCTTTCTCTAGCTCCTGAAGCCCCCAGGAATGGCATGTGGCTCTCAACTGCTGCCTTTGCTGTCACCGTGAGCTTCCCTGACAGGCAGGGTGCAGGGGTCTCGGGATGAACTCGATGGACTGGCCCAGTGCTAGAGCCTCTGTCCTGGAGGGAGGGGTCCTTCTGGGCTCCGGCACTGTGGGCTGAGTGTCCCCCGAGGCCAGCGCCTGCTTCCGCTGGCCTCTGAGCAAAGGAGAGGTTGGTGGTGTTTTGGGTGGCAGGCAGCGTCCACCCCCTGCTGCCTCGAGACCCTGAGTGCCGAGCTCCGCAGCCTTCCCCTCCCTTGTTCTCTGACCCTTGGACTGAGCCCTGAGCTGTCTGGAATGGAAAGCTGGAGTGACTGCCTCCGGAACGAAAAGGAAGTGGGAACTTCTCTGAAAGTGAAAGTATGGGGTCCTGGTGGAGGGTAGGGCTGTGGGTGGGGCCGGGTGGGCCTGGCAGGCGCTGACCATGGCTGGGAAGTCCCAGCTGTTGGTCACTCGCTCAGGCTGCTCTAGAGGCCCCATAGCCAGGGCCCGGCTCTGAGGGCCCCACGGGCCAGCTTCTCAGGGGGCTGTGTTCTTCCTGGGCCAAGGCTGCGTGCTCAGCAGGTATGTTCTGGGCAGGTGGAGCAGGAGGGCATGGGGTGCTGTGGGCGGGCTTGAGGACCATTCCGGCTCTGCGTGTGGCCTTCCAGGCCAAGGGCCTCACTCAGAGCCCAGGCCGACCAGGCCAGAGGGCCAGCGCAAATCACAGTGGACACACACACACCCGATACACAGGCAGACACACTCAGGTAGAAAGCACAGATAGACAGACACAGAAGACACCAAGATGGGCATGCAGGCACAGACACAGACTCAGAAGCACTGGCAGACCCTCTGGGGACACTCCAGGGCAGAGTCATGCACATACAGGGAGACACTCTCAGGCCAACACACAGATGTGCAAAACCGACGCCCAGAAAAGTGTGTATATGCCCGCGCGCTCAAGCTCAGGCATCAGATTCACTTTCCTGGTTTCCCCGGGAAAGTGCCGAGTACTAGCCATGGCTGGGGGCTGAGTCAGGCTCACTCCCTGCCTTGCGGGTCTCCTGGTCTCCAGGCTCTGTAACTGTCCCTCCGTCATGGCAGGTGTGCCCAGGGCTGGGATCAGGCCCACAGCAGGAGGTGCCGAACATGGTATGGGCTCAGCTGGTCCGGGAAGGCTTCTTGGGGGAGGAGCCATTTCTGCTGAGCCTTCAATGAGTTGACAACTGAAGAAGGAGGGGCTGAGGTCATTGTAGGCAGAGAGGATGGCCTGTGCAAAGGTGTGGAGGAGAGGTGGGTACTTCTGAGTGATCAGAGTGAGGGAATGAGTTGGGACTGAAGCCAGAGGGGTCATTAGGAGAGGCCTTGAATGCCAAGCTAAGGATGGAGCTGTGCTTCTTCCGAGGGCAGCAGCGGCTCAGGGGGCTTATGCTTTGTTGCTACTGTGAAGGGAAGTCTTTTAAGTGTCTCTTTCTAATAGGCTTTGCTAGGGTATAGGAAAGGTGTTGCTTGTATTTACATAATCAATGCACAAAATTTACTAAACCCTTTTATTAGCTCCAATAATTTTCAGCCTCAGATTTTCTAAGCCAACAATCATATCACCTATGAATAATGACAGTTTAATCTGCTCCTTCCCAGTGTTTACATCTCTTATTTATTTTTCTTTCCTTATTGCCTTAACTAGTTCTTCCAGCCAAATGTTGAGGAGTAAGAATGGTGAGAACAAACATCCTTGTCATTTTCCTTATTTGCAGGGGCTGGAAGGAAAAGGAAAGCTTGCAAGGAAAGCTTTCAAAGGAGGTTTATAGGGCCGGGCATGGTGGCTCACTCCTGTAATCCCAGCACTTTGGGAGGCTGAGGCAGGAGGATTATTTGAGGCCAGAAGTTTGAGACCAGCCTGGGCACACATAATGAGACCCCTGTCTCTACAAAAAATATAAAAATTAGCCAGGCATGGTGTTGCGCACCTGTAGTCCCAGCTACTTGGGACGCTTAGGTGGGAGGACTGCTTGAGTCCAGGAGTTTGAGGCTGTGGTGAGCTATGATCGCATCCCTGCACTCCAGCAGTGGGTGAAGTGACACAGCGAGACCTCGTCTCTAAAAACAATAAACAAAGGAGGTTGACGTTTTGGCAAGATTCTTTTTTTTTTTGCAATTGTAAGATTTAGTAGAGTGAAAACAGAGCTCCTATACAAAAGGAGGGGACCCAAAGAGGGTAGCTGTTGCCAGCTCAAATGCCTGGGTTTATATCCCGATCATTGTCCCTCCCACTGTGCTCTCAGGCGATAGATGATTGGCTATTTGTTTACCTCCTGTTTTTGCCTAATTAGCATTTCTGTGAGCTCTCTTTAATACCTGATTGGTCGGGTGTGAGCTAAGTTGCAAGCCCCATGTTTAAAGATGGATGCAGTCACCTTCCCAGCTAGGCTTAGGCATTCTTAGTCGGACTAGGAAATCCAGCTAGTTCTGTCTCAGTCCCCCCTCTCAACAGGAAAACCCAAGTGCTGTTGGGGAGGTTGGCCAACGACCGTCTAAGTGCTAGGCAAGATTCTTATGACTGATCCGAGGAGGCAGCATTGAGGGGGCCTGGGAAGGAGAGCAGCTCGGAGGCTGTGATCAGGTGAAGGTGGATGGCAGGTGGGGAAGTGAGAGGGGACAAGCCCCGCACAGGGCTTCGGCCCAGGGCACAGTACAGGCAGTCACCTGCAAGAGGCTCCTTTGGAGCGTTGAGGAGTGGAGCGATGGTCCAGTCCCAGCGTAGTTGGGGAGGCTGGGGAGTGGGTGAGCACTGCAGAGTGATTGGGAGGATGAGGAGCAGCTACGGGAGGGAAGGTCTAGGGGAAAGCGGGGAGTAGAAGCTGAGGCTGGGGGTAGGGAGGGTGGGGAAGTTCGGACTTGACTTCTCGGACACAGCTAGGGTGGCCCAGGGTGGGAGCTCTCAGTGACTGTGTCTCTGGGTGGTTTCTTGCCCCTGCTGCTGGCCCCACAAAGGGTGTATTAGCCTGACCTGGGGAGAGTGGGACCCGGGGCTCAGGCCGGGCGTCAGTCTCTGGGGCCTTGCAATCAGGGAGCGGCAGCATAGGAGCCGGGGCCCCCTGGACTCTCCGGGCACTGGGGACAGAGAGACGCAGAGAGAAAAGAGAGCCAGAGAGAGTCCATGGGGGTGTGGGGAGGCAGGCACAGGGACAGGCCAGGCGAGAGCCTTGGGAGGTGGAGGGGGGAGTTGAGAGGGGCCTTCAGGTCTCAGCCCCGCAGGCGCCAGCATGGCAGCAGGCAGGCCAGCCGGGGGTGGCAGGGCGACCCTGATACCGATGTTCCGCCTGCTTCCAGGCTGTGCTCAGGGGTGACCGGGGTAGATGGACAGAGGCTGCCAGCCCAGTGCAGGAGGGCCACATCATCACAGGGACAGTGCCGAGTACCCACTGAGCAGATAGATGGTGACGGCCGGTGGTGCAAGGCATCTGAACCCCGAGGTCCTGAAACCCAAGTCAGGTTTGGAGAACAAACAGGGGCCAGGAAAGGGAATGGCCGGAGGGGAAGCTGGAGGCTGGGCGTGCAGCCGGGAGGACAGAGAAGAAGCTGGGTGGGGTGCAGGTTGTCCGTGAACCCCAGGGGAAGCTGGTGAGGTGTCATCAGCGGGAGGTGGGGGGTGGAGGAAGGAGGTTCCAGGATGGATGCCCGGCTGTGGGGCTCGGGCAGGAGGGAACCATGGAAGGGCTTAAAGCAGGGGAGTGACCTGGCTGGACTTTTGCTTTGGGAAGGTCGAGAATAGCTTGGGAAGCTGTTGGGAGCTGCAGGGTCGAAGGTGGCATGGCTGGAGGCTGAGGGGCCATCTGGGGACCTCACTGGCCCTTCAGCGAAGTTCTGGTTTGGGACAAAAGCAGGCTGAGTGACCCCCAAGCCTCTGCCTATGTAACCTCCTAAGAGATTCACCGCACAGCTGCCCCTCCTTACCCGGCGCTCGTCTGGGCTTCCTGGGAGAGAACCTCCACATCTGACCCCACTCTGGGACCTGCTGACACCTTGGGTCTCTCCGCCGGGAGGGGAGCTTCTGGGCGGCAGTTCTGAGTCCCTGGGGGTGGAGACGTGGCAGGTCCCGCCTCTGCTCCCAGCTCCAAGCAGGCTCCCCAGCCTGAGTGCGCGGCCAGGGGCAGACTCTGTCCCTCTGTGAGCCTCAGGTTCCTCATCTGTGAAATGGGCAAATGACAACCCCTAACTTTGATGTCACAGTAGCTGATCTGTGTCAGGCATCGAGCTGGGCACACAGTAGGTGCTTACTAAGTGTGAGTTCTCCCAAACAAGAAGGCGGGGCCTGGCTTGTCCTTCCCCACATCCCCGCCTCCGTCCTCTTGACAGCGGTGGATGCAGCATGTGCTGAACCGTTCTCTTCACAACACCCCTGCCCTGCTGGGCGCCGGCCCCCATGCCAAGCATGAAGGGGCACCGGGGAGAGAGAAGCGAGTGGAGGCTGGGACAGATGGTGCCCTGAAGTGTGGGTCAAGTCCGAATCAGGCAGGGTCCCTGAACCCTGGCGCTGGGGGAAGTCGCCGACCTGTGGCCAGGGCGGGGCTGATAAAGCTCCATCAATCACTTGACTGTCTCTCCTTCCTCGGGCCTCCATCCAGCTGCTTAGCCGCCTCTGGGAACCTCAAGGAAGGTAGGTAGGCTGCAGCTGGGCCCAGCAGGCACCTTGCTGGAGGGCGAGGGTGGGTGGGGGTCTGGGCCCTGCCCACTTTGGTGTCATTCCACCGCAGCAAACTGGGGCCTGGGGAGGCACACTTCCTGCCCGATGTCACCCAAGGGTTGGGTGGTGGGTCAGGCGGGTGCTTTGGTCCTGGCACCTGGGTGGGGGGCCCTGGGGCTGGGCTAGGGGCAGGTCCAGCCCTTCTTTGGCCCCAGTTTCTCCCAGAGGAAAGTGAGGTTTTGCTGGCCTAATGCCCTCCCCCACCCATGGCCCAGCTTGTGCAATGGGGTGGGTGGGAGGCCCCTCCCCTCTCCCAACCTAAAGCCAGGAAAGCAAACACAGCTCCTAACGCTGGAAGGGGGTGTGGGTGGAGCCTGGCAGGCCACGGTGCCGAGGGCCCTGGGGGAGCAGGAGCAGCCGCAGCTCAGCCACCCCCATGTCCCTGGGACACCCCCTCCATTCCCTGTGTTGGGGAGGGGCCAGAGCATGCTATGGTGGAGAGGGAGAGGAGTGGGGGGAGGAGGAGAGGCAATGGGTGGGAAACAGCATTGAGAACCCCCCCAGTCCCTGGTTAAATATAGACCCGAGGCTCCTCCTTCTGCCGCCCCTGTGGCTGCATGGCCATGATAAGCCGCAGGGTGGCCTTGGCCACTGCCCTCAGGCCCCACACCTCCTCGGCGGGCTCTGTGACACCCAGGGAAGGGGGTGGGCTCCCATGGGGGTCCCTGCCCTCCCCGTTGAGCCAAAGTAGTCAGGCCTTTTGGGCTGAAGGCGGGTGAGCTGAGGGACCTGGAGGGCAGTGAAGGAGCTGGTGGGGGCTGGGGGGAGGGTTTTAGGCCTCAGGACCTAACATCTGGGAAGGCCTAGATGTGGCTGCTGGTCCTGCCCTCGGGTGTTGTGAGCTGTGGTCTGGACTGGGCCCCAGAACTGCATGTCAGTGCCCTCCTCCAATTCTAATGGGAGGGTCTGGCCTGGCAGAGGCCGAGTGACGGTGGGCACCTGCGGAGACCCTTTTTGGGGGATGGTCTCAGGAAAGGCTCCTGATGGAAGCAGCTGTCTATATCTCCGTGCCCAGCTGCGGCCTGGCACACTGAGGGCTCTCGCCAAGAGAGTGGCCTGGTGATGCTTCCTTTTGACAGCCTGAGGGCTGCCTCCTCTGGAGAGCCTTCCTTGACCAAGCCCCTGGGTGTGGCCAGGCCCCACAGGGCCACAACAGGTTTCTGCATCTGCTCCTATGGCCACTCCTTCTTGCCCCCAGCTCTCCTGCTGCCAAGATGCCATCACCACAGACAGACACTCCTGGGCCGGAGCTGCAGAGTCCCAAGGAGGCTGAGGAGCCACAGACTCCAGCTCAGGGCTCCCGGCGAACAAGCAGCAGGAAAGAGCCCAATGCCCACCGCAAGGATGGCACAAGGCTGGGCCTGGGCTCCCTGAGGCAGGCCTTCTCCCGGGCCAGCCAGCGGGCTTTGACCCAGGTCTCCAAGGAAGATACGGGCCTGTTCCGGCGAAGCTCCTGCTCCCTGTTCCGGTCCTTCCGGCAAGCCCTGAATGACGGCCCAGCTACCGGCCATTCCCAGGCCACTCCTGAGGTGCCCTCGGGGGTCATGAATGGTGTCAGCCAGCAGGCATCCACTGGGGCAGCGTCTGAGGAACTGAAACCCGAGGCAGGTAAGGGCCTCAGAAACAACACGAAGCATGAAAGGAAACGGGCCAGAGGTCAGGGCAGCTCAGCTGAGGTTTCCGGAAAGGCTGTCCTCCCTAGCTCCCCAAACCCTGCCCCCGAACATGTGCAATTCTTTATTTATTTGAGACAGGGTCTCCACTCTGTCACCCAGGCTGGCATGCAGTGGTGCAATCACAGCTCACTGCGACCTTGGCCTCCTGGGCTCAAGCGATCCTCCCACCTCAACTTTCTGAGTAGCTGGGACTACAGGTGTAAGCCACTGCACCCGGCTAATTTTTTTTTTTTTTTTTTGACACTGACTCTCACTCTATCACCCAGGCTGGAGTGCAGTGACGCAATCTTGGCTCACTGCAACCTCCACCTCCCAGGTTCAAGTGATTCTTCTGCCTCAGGCCCCCAAGTCACTAGGACTACAGGTGCGTGCCAACACACCTGGTTAATTTTTTTTTTTGCATTTTTAGTAAGACGGGGTTTCACCATATTGGCCAGCCTGGTCTTGAGCTCCTGACCTCGCGATCCGCCCCCTCAGCCTCCCAAAGTGCTGGGATTACAGGCGTGAACCACTGTGCCTGGCCTAATTTTTTAAATTTGTTTTTATTTTTTTGTAGAGATATGGTCTTGCTATGTTGCCCAGGCTGGTCTCAAACTCCTGAGCTCACCCAATCCTCCTGCCTTGGCTTCCTGAAGTGCTGGGATTACAGGCGTGAGCCACCATGCCCAGCTGGACAATTGCACTTTAAATTCTTGCAGCATCTCTGCAATGGGAGCCCCCCCATTGGGCAGATAAGAAAAGTGAGGCTCAGAGAGGTGGAGTGACTTGCCTCAAGTCTCACAGCGTGGAGAATGGGACCTGAACCCAGATATGCATGGCCCTAGATCCCCACCTCTCCATGGCCTTTCACAGCCTGGCTCCTGGTCAAACTAGGGCCATGCACACAGCTGATCACAGGGTTGCAGAGGGTGCAAGGCTCGCAGAGGTACCAGGAGGGGAGGTCAGGGGGATTGCCCAGAGGAGGATACACTGGGGTGGGAAGAGGGGGACATGGAGGTGGAGAGCTCTTGTCGGGTGGAGGCTGGCGGAGAGTGGGGAGCAGCAGGAATGTAAAGCTGGACACGGGCAGGACACGCCCTGCCTGAGCTCCGACCCTATTAGACCTGCAATCAGGGCTGAGCATGAGGCTATCAGGTCCGGCTCAGCCGGGAGTGGAAGGTGGGTGTGGGATCCAGGCGGAAGGTAGGGGTTGACCCAAATTGCTCTGTTCAGCCAGGCTTGGGGCCCCAGGTTCTGCCTCTTCAAAGGTGACTCTAAGGGAGGGCTCCTGGCAGCTGGGGCCTGTTGTTCCTGGAGCAGGCCTTCAGCTGTGCTGGGGCATCTGGCAGAGGACAGACAATCCAGCCCCGATGGATTGAGCCGTGGCCTGCAGGTCTTCGTCCAGGTTCGGGTCTTGGGGCGGTCCCTCTCACCGCCCTTCTCGCCCGCCTGTGCAGAAGGCAAATCCGTGGCCGACCTCATTACTGAACGGCAACTGCTGGCGGCCTTCGAACAGCTTCTGCGCCTGGAGACGCTGCTGGTGGCCGAGAAGGCCTCGCGCACCTTTGAGCAGGACCCTACGGCCTTCGCGCGGCGCGCTATGGACGTGTGCCTGCTTTACGACGGGCTGGCAGCCGAGATCGGCGCCATCGTGCGCGAGACGCTGGACAGCGACGGTGTGGACGCGGCCGCGCTGGCCGAGCTGGCCCGCGTGGTGAGCGCGGAGGAGGAAGCCCACCCTTCTCCCCCCGACGACGGCGACTTCCTGCGCACGCCGCGCCGCTGGCGCCAGCACTGGGAGGAGGCGGTGCGGCGAAGCGCTCAGGAGCGCGTGCGGCGGCCGGGCGCGGGGTGGGCCTTCGGGGAGGCGGAGGGCGCGTCGGGTTTGGCCCAGCTTCTGGCCGAGCTGGGTGGCTTGGTTCGCCGCGACCTGCAGAAGGTGCGGCAGGAGGTGCAGCCCGCGTATGCGGCGGCCGGCTTCCCAGCGTGGGAGGTCTATCTGCGTGCCTTCCACAGCGCCGTGGCCCAGCGCCTCCAGGAGCTCGCGCGCGACGCCCGCGGCTGCGAGCAGCTCTATATCCTGCTGGACTGGGCCGCCAACGTCTACGGCAGGTGAGTCTCGGCCAGGGCGCCCAGTGGCGAGGACAGCTGCCGCTTCCTCCGCAGGCCTTGGGGAGCCGGCTTTGAGGAGCACCGGACCTTTCTTCTCTGTTCCCTCCCTGGGAGAGGGCTGAGAGCCGAGGGCTTCGACATGCTTTCCTCGGCGGGTTAGGCCGTGGGGCGCTCCCGCCCCAGGTTTTCTAGGGGTCACCCATACACAGTTCCAGAATTTGAAAAGTTTCCGCGGGGAGGTTCCCATGGGAGCAGGGCCTGTGCTGGTTCCACCAGGTGCCTTTGGGCGCATCAGAAAAGGGCACATCTTGGCCAGGCGCCATGGCTCACGCCTGTAATCCCAGCATTTTGGGAGGCTGAGGCGGCCGATCACCTGAGGTCAGGAGTTCGAAATCAGCCTGGCCAACACGGTGAAACCCCGTCTCTACAAAAATTAGCCGGGCATGGTGGCACGCACCTGTAATCTCAGCTATTCCGGAGGCTGAGGTAGGAGAATCGCTTGAACCCGGGAGGCGGAGGTTGCAGTGAGCCGAGGTCGCGCTATTGCACTCCAGCATGGGCGACAGAGCAAGACTCTGTCTCAAAAAAAAAAAAAAAAAGAAAGAAAGAAAGAAAAGAAAAAAGAAAAGGGCACCCCGTTAGGCCAGACGGGCATCTGGGTTCAGGGTACAGCCTGCGGGGAGCGGCCACCTCCCGCTCTCTGCCTGGGATGAGGATGGATTGCCTTCCCCGCGGAGCGGTTCCCAGCCCCACCGGCAGGAGCGCCCACGGAGGTGGGGGAGGTTGCCTGAAGTCCCGCACTCCTTAAATTGCTCCTTAAATTGTGTGGGGTCAGACCCGTGTCCGCCCTGCTGTGGGCCTCCGTGCTGCGGGTTGGAGGGTGGCCGATTCCTGAGCTGTGTTTGAGGAGAGGGCGGAGTGCCATCTGGGTAGCCGTCCTTCAGCGTTCTGCAGGAAGGCAGGAACCCAGCTGTCAGAGGCTTCCCGGGAGGGGGTGTGGCATGGCAGCCTAGAGGCGCGCGCGCGTGTGTGTGTGTGTGTGTGTGTGTGTGTGTGTACAGATGCCCAGGTTCGGGATTGGCGTTAGACTTTGAGCCTGGCCAGAAGAGGGGCAGCGGCTGCCGCATCAGAGCCGCTCCCGCCCCCAGCCCCCTGCCCTGTCTTCCAGTCCTGACTTCCTGGGCGCCCCGGGGCTGGCGCTGCCCGCCGAGCCGCTGCCTCCGCTCCTGGCGCCGGACGTGTGGGCCCGACTGGAGAGCGACTACACCAGCTTCCTGGAGGTCAGGCCGGGCGGGTCAGGCTGGGCGGGCCAGGCTGGAGGGGGCGGGCCCTGGGGGGATGTGCGGCGCCCAGGCTATCGGCGGCCAGAGCTGGCTCTGGTTCACCCTGTGGCCCCCGGCGCGGGCTTGTGACCCGACAGGGCGGCCCTCATCCCGGACGGCGCGGGACGGGGTCTGGGAGGGTCTCACCACGGCCCATCCCTTCTCCCCCCAGGCCAAGATCGCAAGCTGCTTCGACAGCATCTTGCAGCTGGAGCAGAGTCACTGGGCGGCCGCCGAGGTCCCCGAGGTGCTGCAGGGCCTCTACCAGGCGCCGCTGTCCATGGACGTCCATATGGTGCGGCCCGGGAGCAGGGGCTGAGAAGGGGCGTCTGTTCAAGCCTCACGCACACGGTGGCGATTTCCAGAACGAATTCCTATCCAGTCCCAACCAACCCTTCCGTTAGATGGGAGCCTGAGGCCCCACGCGGGGGGAAATCGGGGACCCCCGGCGCGCCGACGGGCAGGGAGGCTGCTGGATGGGAGTTTGCGGGAGTTGACTCTCCAGTTGGGCGGCTGAAAGCTGGAGGGGCCAAGACTGACAGGCACAGCGGGGCGGGCTGGAGGCGCAGCGGGGGCTACCAGGGGACCCGCGGCCTCAGGTCGGGGGCTGGGAGGCACGCTCAGTGCGGGGCTTCGCTCGCAGCTCGTGGCCGAGCACGTGAAGGCGGCCGGCGCCATCTCCGCGGAGCTGGAGGCCACCACCCTGCGAATCTGCACGCGGGCGCTCGGCCTCTTCGTGCCCAGGTGCGGACGCATCCTCAGTAGGGGAGCGACCTGGCCGGGTGCGCTCTGCAGGTGGGAGGGAGGAGTCTGCGTAGGGACCTGATTGGGAGGGTGGACCCAGGGTCATCGCGCAGCTAGGGAGGGTCCCCAAAGGCTCTGTGTATCCCGCCCCAGGTTTGAAAAGGCTTTTCTGGCGTCGGAGGCGGTGAGCGAGCCGCACCTGGGCGCCTACATCAACGCCTGCGAGGAGCTCAGGTAGGGCTCGCCCGCTCCTGTGCGGGCGCAGCGTGGCCAGCAGGGGGCGCGCGAGCGCCGGGAACCTGGATGGAGGGGAGTGCGCGCGCGTGGAGGGGGCAGAGGTGAGGAGTGTGTGTGTGTGTTTGTGTCTGTGTGTTGGTGGATCTGAGGGGTGTGTGTGCGTGTGTGTGTAGCAGAGTTGGGGGGTGTGTGTGCGTGTGTGATGGAGCTGAGGGTGTGTGCCTGTGTGTGCATGCGTGGAGAGCTGAGGCTGTGTGTGTGCGTGTTTGGCAGAGCTGAGGGCTGTGTGTGTGTGTGTGTGTGTGTGTTGGAGCTAAGAGGTGTTTATGCATGTGCGTGTAGGGGTGGAGCTGAGTGGTGTGTGTGTGTCAGAGCCTAGATGCGTGTGTCTTGTGTGTGTGTGTCCATCCGAGCAGGGGCCCTGGGGGAGTGTGGATGGCTCTTCAAGGCTGAGCAGAGGCCGAGGGGTTCCAGCTCCCTGCCTGCTGCCCTGGGCTCCATTTTTCCCTCCCTTCATCCCAGGCAGCATTTCTTCCATCTTGGGACACCTCCTTCTCTGGGAAGCCTCCCTCAGCCTGCACCCTGGGCTTTGCTGGGGTGAGGTCTGGGTCTCTGTGTCCCCAGAAGGCAGACGCCCTCCCTGTGGGCTGGCAGTAGCTGTTGGCCTTCCGTGCCCTCAGCTCCAGGCCAGGCCTCAGCAGATGCGGCAGCGCCAGAGGCACAGACTGAGCCTCCCCATCTGGGTTTATCCTTTTTTAAAAGTGTGTAAATTTTAGTGTCCCGAAGTACTTCTCATTTGTCTGACTTCAAAGAACAGCTGTGCCACCTGCTGGCTGTGTGCTCCGGGACAAGCCACCTCCCCTCTGTGGCTCTTTTGCCACCTGTCAAATAGGATCAGAGCACCTGCTCCCTGGGGTGGTGTGGGACCTCTGTGCCTCAGGGGACTCAGTTCCCATTGGCTCTTTGTGAGCACTTCTCAGTGCCAGGCACTTTGTGGGTGCCTTCCCTGCCTGACACGTCTCATCCCAAGCGCAGTATACCCACGCACAGGTGCAGAGCACAGGCCTGGAAAGGAGGTGCCACTTGCCCGTGGCCACGTAGCCAGGAAGTGGTGGAGCTGGGACTTGAACTAGGCCTGCCTAAATCCAAAGCATGACCATCAGGCACTGCTTCTCCAACACTCTCGTCCTTAATCTGTGCCAGGCTTGTCCTTGGTGCTGGGACCCTGGGGTTTCAGCTCCAGGGAGCGTTCTCTGCCCCTTGGTAGGCAGCCTCTGGCCAAACCCTTGATGGAACTCCAGCCTGCTCTACTGTGTCCCTGGCTGCGGGGACTGCGTATAGCCTGGCCCTCAGTTTCCTCAACAGTGAAATAGGGACATGGTCACCTTCAGGGGGCAGTTATAAGGCTCAGGGTAGGGTATGTTCCAGGCATGGCTATGCCGCACTGTTTATCACCAAGAGGGATGGAAGGTCTGTCCCAGAGCTGCCAGAGGGGAACGGGTCAGCCACCCCTGACCCACCCCTTTGTGACTGGCTCCCTGGGCTTCTGTGCTGTCCCCCACTTGACTCTGCTCGCAGACAGCTACAATGGGGAGCCCCACGGGCTGCCCTTCACATTGTAGTCTAAGTGAGTGGAGCTGTGTGCCCGGCTCTATTCCCCAGCCTGGTCTCCCTTGCCCACCTCATCGCTGGTCCTGGCCCCTCCCCAGGACCAGTCTTCTCTCCAGGTTCCCAGGAACCCAAGAGGAGCTGGAGAAGCCCCTGGTGACGGCCACCTGCAGCTTCCAGAAGCACTTGCTTCAGGGCTTGCAGCGTGAGTTGCAGGTGACTGTGATAGGCCCTCTCTCCCTACTTCCCATGCCCAGCAGGCACCCCCTATTTCCTAGAGCCTGGGGGCCCAGGTCACAGCATTCATTTATTCCAGGGTGAGCTCATGGGTGTGTGTGTAGGGTAGTGGGCAGGGGACCCAGGTGAGGTCCCAGCTGAGCAGGGGCGGCTGGGAGACGCCTGCCTTCTCACTTCAGTCTCCAGCTCTTAGTGGTCACCCCCGAAGCCTGGGATGGTGGGTCCACGGATCCAGGCCCAGGGTCCTCACCCAGTCCCTCAAGGCTTCTCCAGGGCATGCCCTGAGCAGATCTGACTGCACAGACTCAAACCCTGCCCCTAGAGCTTGGGGCCTGGGAGAGGCATTCTGGGAAAGGGCTCGTGACATAACCTGTGGCTAGGAGAGGGAATGGCACCCCAAACCCAGGAGGGAAGGGGTCAGGAGTGGCACACTGGGCTTCGAGGGAGGGGTTACGTTGCGGGCGTAGTGCACATTTGCAGACTCCCAGCCCCTCTGTCCCCAGCCGCTCTTCAGGGTTGTGTGCACCAGGGACTGGCTGACGCAGGACTGGCTGCATCCCCTCATGGACAAGGTGGTGACCTTCGCCGGTCATCTCCAGCGTGTGGCCCGGCCGCGGGCACAGGTACCACAAGGGGGAGGGCCCTGGCAGGGCTGTGCCCAGGATTGGGGCTGTTGACCCTGACCCTGACCCTGACCCTGGGCCGCCCAGGAGACTCTGCAGGAGGTGCACCGGTTCGTGGTCCGCGAGTACCTGGCGCGGGCGCTGAGGCCACGGGAGCGGTTCCGGGGCATGGAGCGCATGCATGGCTCCCAGAAGATGAGCCTGGATGCCCAGGCCATCAGCGACACCTTCCAGGGCCTGGTAGGGGCGGCATGACTGCCCTTCGGTGCTCGCCTCTGTGTGGGGAGTGGTGGCAGTGACTAGGGCCTTAGCGCCGGGAGGGCTTTTGGCAGGAGTGGTTCTCCCCACTCTGGATCAGGTGGAACAGGGACTGGGGCGCCTGTGGGGCTGGGGGGTGGAGGGAACCAGGTGGGAGGGCGGCACTTTGCATACATTTGCATACAGTTTGCAGGGGTGCGGGGAAGGGGCGAGGGTCACAGCCCCATCTCACGGTCAGGGCCTTTGGGAGGTGTCCCCCACCTCAGGCCAGAGCCCTCAGAGTGGAGGCACCAGCGCCCCTGCACACCCCTCGTCTGCCCCCTAGCAGTGCTTTCAGGCTGGCCTCGGTTTTCCTGTCCAAGCAGGATGGGATCGGAGGGGAGATGAAGGCTGTGTAGCCAGCCCATGAGCCCTCGGTGCCCAGGCACGCTCCCGTTCTGTTTTGGGGGAGGCAGTCCCGGCACCGAGCCAGAGTGACTACAGGAGGGCTGACGCTGCGGGAGGGCTGACCTCGCACTGACCTCGCGCTCTTGCAGGAGTTGGAGCAGCGGTGGGGAGAGGGCTGTTGGGGCAGGCGGTGGCTCTGTCTCGCAGGGTTCCGAGGCCACATGGTTGGACCAAGCCATCCAGTGCGTGGCTGAGATCCTGGGCGAGACCTACAAAGATGACATCCAGCGGCACCTGGAGACTCTTATCCGGAGCTACCCCGACATCAGGTGTGTACCCCACCTGCTTCCACTAGCTTCCTACCAGAGCTTCAGGGCCAAGGGGGCTGGTATTGGAGCAACCCCAGCCCAGACCTGACTGCCCAGGGGCCTGAAGACCAGAGGCAGGAGGTAGGCCTTGGACCCTCAGACCCTCAAGGCTGGAGGGGGAATGGAGAGAGCCCCTTCTCCTAATCTGCTCTTGGCCATCCTCCATCAGCCCCACCAGGGGTGGGCACGCCTCCAGTCCTGGAATCTGAGGGGGAGGCGGACCCCCCACCCCTGGGGAGAAAGCCCTCTCTGAAAGCCAGGGGATTCTGAGACCTGGTCAGGAGGAAGGAGGTTTTGATCCCGGGTTGTGCTGGGGGGTCGGTGAGTCATCCAAGCCTTTGGAAATCCCAGCTCGAATCTCTCCAAGTCCATTCTTTTGGAGATTCTGGGATGTGGAGCTCACAGAAAGCCCCTGGTTCATCCCCTTCCCCAGGCCACCCTGCCATGGGGTGGGGAAGGATTCCCCATCCCCAGCAGGCCTGTCTTCCAGGCTGTGGCTCAGAGAGAGTGGCCCTTACATCACCCTGGGAGTTCCCCTCCAACTACTCCCCAACCCCGTTGGCCCCGTCACCCGCAGCTGCATCACCCCCTCCCTCCCTCTCCACCACCTGTCCCCCGGTCTCCCTCTCTCCCTCGCCACCCTGTCCCCATGTCTCCCTCCCTCCCTCCCTCTCCACCCTGTCCCCGTGTCTCCCTCCCTCCCTCCCTCTCCACCCTGTCCCCATGTCTCCCTCCCTCCCTCCCTCTCCACCCTGCCCCCATGTCTCCCTCCTCCCTCCCTCTCCACCCTGCCCCCATGTCTCCCTCCTCCCTCCCTCTCCACCCTGCCCCCATGTCTCCCTCCTCCCTCCCTCTCCACCCTGCCCCCATGTCTCCCTCCTCCCTCCCTCTCCACCCTGCCCCCATGTCTCCCTCCTCCCTCCCTCTCCACCCTGCCCCCATGTCTCCCTCCTCCCTCCCTCTCCACCCTGTCCCCATGTCTCCCTCCCTCCCTCCCTCTCCACCCTGCCCCCATGTCTCCCTCCTCCCTCCCTCTCCACCCTGCCCCCATGTCTCCCTCCTCCCTCCCTCTCCACCCTGCCCCCATGTCTCCCTCCTCCCTCCCTCTCCACCCTGCCCCCATGTCTCCCTCCCTCCCTCCCTCTCCACCCTGTCCCTGGGTCTCCCTCTCTCTCCAGCCTGGGTCTCTCCACCCGGTCCCCAGGTCTCCCTCCACGCCTTTGCGTGGGCTCTTTCCCACTCTGCACACCCCTCTCCTGTGCCCCTTCAAGCCCAGCTATGGTGTCCCCCAGGCCCACGCCCTGCCCCCTCCCCCAGCACAGCTCTTCCTGGCCTCAGTCAATCTGACCTCCCTGACCATCCTGGAATGCAGAGTGACTCATACTAACTCCCAAGCCCGTGGGTTCGCCTCATGCTGGGGCTGGGGGTGTTGCGGAGGTGTAGGTCTGCAGTGAGTGCCCGCATGTCTCTGCAGGCGGGACCACATACTGGCCATTCTGGCGCTGCGCCGACTGGGCCGCCAGCGGAACCAGCATCTCTTGCAGCACACTCAAGACCTGCTGAGAGCTGCGGCCGGGGCGGCGGGTGCGGAGGCCCCTCGGGGCCGCGTGCTCTTCGAGGAGATCAAGGTGCCCAGTGCCATGGCTGTGCTGATCACCTGCGTCTAGTTCTCTCTGGCTCGAGGGGGGGCCGGCCGCTGGCAGGGAGCTGTGGTCAGTGGGGGTCAGCCAGGAGCCCAGGGAGTCACTCTGGGCCCTGCCCCCAACTCTGACACTGCAGTTAGGGAATTTTTGTCGTCAGCAGCCAAGCGCAGCTGTCAGGCCAGAAGGAGCAGCCGTGCAGGAGGCATTTCAGGCATCGTTGAGGGGAGTGTTTTGGGGCCGCAGAGCTCTCAATGCTGCCTATCGGGCGGGGGGGGGCCTCCCGCCCGACTGTCCAGCTTCACCCTCCAGTCTGAAAGTGAAGAGCAGAGTATTTATTTAAAAAATAAATGTGAATTAAAATGGTGCCTCCCTAAGGAGTGGGCAGGGGATGGGAGACCTGGGTCCCGGTGTGCTGAAGGGCCAGGCCGGAGGCTGTCTGGTGACACTATTTGGTGGGTGGCCCTCTCATGCCTGTGGAAGCCACGGGAAGACTGAGGCAGGTCCAGAGCAGGGAAGGCCCATGCCTGTGGCTGCCCCCACCACGGCCCGGATCCACTGGCCTTGTGCCTGGTCAGCCTTGTCCCAGCCAAAGCAGACTCGGGGCTTCCTGGGAACAAAAAGAGGATAAGGCTGGTTCTGCAGCTTGAAGAATTTGGGTTAGATGTAGGAGGGACTTCTCAGCAGTGGAAGTTGTCAAGTTACTGCAGGGGGTGTGTCACCCATGGAGTGTGTGTCCGGGGGTGACCCTGAGGTGTCAGCAATGGAGGCAAGCGTAAGGAGACTGCTCCAGCGTGCACCTGCGTCCCCGCTTCTCTCTGCAAAGCTGCCGCTGAAATTTGGCGGCAGCTGCGGGCTGGGGTGCTGGGAAACCTATTTGCATTGGCAGCCGGGCTGGCTGGGGAGGCTGAAAGTTGAGATGGGGAGATTTCCAGAGAGCAGCTGAGACAGGTGGTGACAGGTGCCCCTCCCAGCCCTCCACAGTGGGCCCCCATAGTGTCTCTGGGCCTGACCCTGACCCTGGCGGGAGTGGGGGGCAGGTGACTGCAGGTGGGCCAAGGTTCCAAGAGCTCCACAAACTTGGGTCGCCTGAGGACAGGGTAAGGAGTCTGAAAGGCTGTGGTGCCAGGCAAGCAGGGGGCGTGTCTATCCCCACTCCCTCCAGGCCCCCTCCCTGCACTGTGGACAGTCAGGGGGCAGTTCCCCGGGCAGACCTGCCCCGGTTCCTATGCCAGGGCTGGGGCCTGGAGCCTGAGTCTTGCTGGGGCCTAGAGCCTGGGGGTTGAGTGCCTGGGGCTTGTCTGTCTCTTCTGGGAGCAAGTGCTGGGGCAGTGCCCTCCTCCATGGGGGCACCAGGGCTGGAGGTCAGGAGCAGGGCAGGCCAGGGCAAGGGAATATCCAGACCTCCCCTGGCAGGGTGGGGCAGGTGGGGCAGGAATGAGGAAGTGGGAGGGTTGGGGTTCCCCATCTCCAGGGCTGGGGTGGGGGCAGGTATGTGATGCTGGTGCCAATAAGCGGTCCCGTCCCTGATGGGAAAACAGGCTGGCAGATGCTCAGGATCCTCCCAGCCAGGGGCCAGAGGGGCATGTCTTTTCCCAGGGGAGGGGTCCAAGAGGGGGCAGGTGATTGACAGGTCAGCCTGTCCCCTGCTTGACCCCACCCCTGACCTGGTGGCCATGAGTGTCCCAGGCAGGGTGCATGGGAGGGGAGAAGGGAGGGCTTGGCCTGGTCTGGTCCTGGTCAGGTTCTCCCCAAGGAGCCCCTGCCACCCCCTTCCCCACCCTTCTGTCTCAAGCTCCTCACTGAGCCACTTGGCTGGAGCCAGAGGGTCCTGGGGCAGGGCTGTGGGGTTAAGGAGGGGGTTCCGTCCTGGCTCTGCCACTTCCCACCTGTGAGAATGCAGGCAGGTTCTTTTATCTCACTGCTTCATTTTTTTTCCAGCTGTGAAATGGGGGTGCTGTTAGTGCCTCCTCGGCTGGGGAGGGTGAAGTCAGAGCCAGCCATAAGGCCGGGGGCCTGGCCTCCCTGTGACCCCATGTTCCCAGAGGCCCACCTACGGGAAGGCCTTGGGCACCCTGGGGTTGGGGTGGTGGGGTGCTGAGGCTGGAGCAAAACCTGAGTTGAGTGGAGGTCACTGGGAGTGGGAGGCCCCAAGAGAGGCTGGGAAGAGGTGCTGAAGGCTGAGCGGCTTGTGGCAGAGGGAGGGGGCCCGGCTTAGACCCTGAGGGTTCCTAGGCCCGGAGACAGGAAGTCAGGGTTTTCCTGGCAGGAACTGTGTGCACATGTGCACCTGTATCTCCATGCCAGGAGGGTGTGTATGCCATGTGTGCAGATCCTCCTGAACCCAGCGGTGGCTGGGGCTGGGACTTCCCAGGCCAAGCCAGGCCGAGCTGGGGGTGGGATGGCAGCTCCTAGAGGATGCAGTCAGGGAGGCTGGGGGCAGAGGCGGGGCTGAGACCGGGGCACCCTGGGTGCCTCAGTCCTGGGGTCTGGCCACTGGCCTTTCTGCTCTAAGGGGTGGAGGCTGAGCCCATGAGACCTTGCAATGAGCCTGCAGTGCTTCCTTGGCCATCTGTTGTCCAGGCCAAGCCTGCAGGGTGCCGGTGGGGGTGGGGCTGGCTCTCAGAGAGGTACTTGGGTTCTCATTGGCCAGGTCACCTGGCTGATAAGTGTGTGTGTGTGTGTGTGTGTGTCTGTGCACGTGTACCTATGTGCACCAGCCCCTGTCAGCACCCCCAGGATGGAGGCCCTTGCCTAGTCTCCTCACTCCTCTCAGAAAGCAGGACAGCCTGGAACCATCCTACTTGCCCCCAAGCTCAGCCCCCAGGCCCTGCCTGCCGGCCCCTGGCCCGCAGCCTTGGCCAGTGCCTGTTCCCTGCTGCATGGCCCAGGTCTCCTCCCTCTTCAGGGCCAGCTGGGCTTCCCCCAGTGCCACCGTGGCCTGGGGCTCCTGCATGTCCTGGGGTTCCCTCTGGTCTCTGTCCCTGAGCTTGAGGTCCTTGAGACTGGGTCTGCTCTGTGAATCTTCTGGGGCCCCACCCCAGGCCCAACTGGGAGGGCAGAGAGAAACCACAGAGAACCCACATGCCCCAGACCCGCACACTCTGGTCTGCAGAGATGATCCACTGTGTGTGTGTGTGTATATATGTATGTATGTGTGTGTGTGTGTGTGTGTGTGTATGTGTGTGTGTATATGTGTGTGTGTATGTGTGTGTGTGTGCACACACACACACCTGCTGGCCCAGCGACAGCGTGTGTGGGGTGAGAGGAGACTGGGGAGCTGCCTCCCCCAGCTCAGGCTGGGGCCCAGCAGCCCTCCGAGGCCATCTCTCCCTCCTGGTGTCTGGGCCTGGCCCCTGCTTGAGTGTGTCATGTGGGAGACACACGAGGCTGAGCCATGCAGGCATGTGTTCCAGTCTCAGCTCTGCCCCTTCTAGCGGGGGACCCAGTTTTCTTGTTGGTAACATGGGAGGGAGTGCCCAGTAGGGAGCCAGTGAACCTGTTCACAGCGTTCCTGACAAGAGGGTGTGCTGTGAGTGACGGTCCGTGTGTCCCCTCCAGGCCTGCACAGCGTGCCCTCTTCCTTCCTCGCCTGGTGACCCCAGCCCCTCCCTTCCTGGCTTCAGTACCCAGTGGGCCCCTATGCGTGGGGGCAGCATCCCCAGCGGCTGGAAGGTTACTGCAGGACCCCTCACTGCTGCCCACATTGGGAGAGGAGGCTGCAGGGTCCCCAAGGCTACCCCCGTCCCCAAACTTCCTTCCTTTGCCACCGCAAAGAAGCCCCAGGGCCGCCGTCGGCGCATGCAACTCACAGGCCATCATGAGGCCCAGGGGGGTGGCCAGGAGTGGGCTGCCCCACAACACTGCCCGTCCCCCCCCTTCCCTGTGGAAGGCTGGTCAGTGGGCACCTGCCGGCCACTGTGCTGCAACAAGACTGCCGCTGCAGAGGGCGGGGTCCACAGTGCCCCAGGTCACAGGATCAGATCCTGCTGGGAGCCACCCAAATCTCAGCCTGGCCTCCTGGGACCCTGGTCTTGGGAAACACTTGGAGGGGAGTGAAACTTGGACAAGTCACACCCACCCCTCGGTCCATCCTCTCCTGGGCCCTGGGGGCCTGGGCCTCTCCAGGGACACCCTCACTTCTGTCTGCACATATGCCCACCCATCTATTAGCAGCCTTAAAAATGTGTTAAATGCTTAATAATGTGTTGGGTAGCAATACGTTCACATAGGTCAAAATTTAAAAGATACGCAAAGGGTATAGGGTAAAAAGTCCCCTTCTTATCTCTAGTCTTCCTGCTCCCATTCCCAGAAGTGACCGAGGTTCCTTGCGGGACACTTGAGTTGTTAAAAAGGGATTCTTGCCCAAGGGATTTATATGAATGGTGACATTCTGGGCATTGGTGAGGAACCTGTTTTTGCTGGAGGTGGTTGACAGGATAGGGCAGTCGTTTCTTTTTTTCTTTTCTTTTTTTTTTTTTTTTTTGAGATGAAGTCTTACTGTGTCACCCAGGCTGCAGTGCAGTGGAGTGATCTCAGCTCATCACAACCTCCACCTCCCAGGTTCGAGCGATTCTGCTGCCTCAGCCTCCCAAGTAGCTGGGATTATAGGCACCCACCACCTTGCCCAGCTAATTTTTTGTATTTTTAGTAGAGACAGGGTTTCACCATGTTGGTCAGGCTGGTCTCAAACTCCTGACTTCAAATGATCCTCCTGCCTCAACCTCCCAAAGTGCTGGGGTTACAGGTGTGAGCCACTGTGCCTGGCCTGGGCAGTCGTTCTTGATCCCTATAAACATCAAATGAGGAACTCAAGGCTCTTAGACGGATAGAATCCTCAAATAATGGGCTCTTAGAATCTTGGGGAAAACAAAAGTCACCAGTAGAGGGTCGTGACTGCAAGTTGTCCATGTTCTTGGCGTTTTGAACAAAGAATTGGACAAAATGCCCAGCAAAGCAAAGAAAGAATGAAGCAACGAAAGAACGAAAGCAGGGATTTACTGAAAATGAAAGTACACTCCACAGTGTGGGAGTGGCCCGAGCAGCAGCTCAACAGCCCAGATACAGAATCTTCTTGGGTCCAAATATCCCCTAGAAGTTTCCCGTTGGCCACTTCATGCTCACCTCATGTAAATGAAGTGGTGGCCTGCAATCAACCTGATTGGTTGCGGAAAGCAGCCAACCAGAGGCTGAAGTGAAGTTACAAAGGTCACACTCCTGTGCAAACATCTGATTGGTTGCAAAAAGCAACCAGTCAGAGGCTAGGGTGAGGCCGGGCGCGGTGGCTCACACCTGTGATCCCAGCAGTTTGGGAGGCCAAGGCAGGCAGATCACTTGAGGTCAGGAGTTCAAGACCAGCCTGGCCAACATGGTGAAACCGTCTCTACTAAAAATACAAAAAAATTAACTGGGCATGGTGGTGGACACCTGTAATCTCAGCTATTCAGGAAACTGAGGCAGGAGAATTGCTTGAACCCGGGAGGCGGAGGTTGCAGTGAACCGAGACAGCACCATTGCACTCCAGCCTCCCTAGCAGCTGGGATTACAGGTGCCCGCCACCACGCCCAGTTAATTTTTTTGTGTGGGTTTTCCTTTCAATATAGTTCTAGGAAGTAGGAACGAAACAGCCTTAGGTTCCCTGCCTCCTATTCTCCTGCCTCATCATGAGAAGCTCTGCTGTTTGTGGGGCGCCCACCATGTGCTTTACTCTGGTGGTGTATGATGTTCCTGCTTTCCCTGGACTCAGGGCTGGCATTTCGAATCAGCTTCTGGACTCAGACACCTCTGGGCTGGAATCCTAGCTCTGCGCCTTCCTAGCTGTGTGACCTGTGTGAGTCACTCCACCTCTCTGGGTTCCATCTCCCTGTGTAAACTGGGGAGGATTACACAAGAAAATGCAAGAGTTGGCTGGAGGAGGGCCTGGCTCTCCAAGAGCATCCTCCTACCTGTGGCATTCGTTGTTATTTATCTGCACTACCTCCTTTAAGCCATCCCTGCCAACCCTCTGAGTGTGCCAGTGCCATCTCCAGGAGGTCCCAAGGAAATGTCACTGTCCCAAGCAATGTATGGAAAGACACAGCTCTAAGCAGTGGAGTACCAGGGCCCAGGTGGTCTCCACGCCTCAGCCCACAGTGGGATGCCCTCCTTCTCCAAAGTCTGGAAGTCAGAGCTCCTGGCTGTCCGGCAAGGAGGGGGCTCCCAGAACCTGGGCTGGAGGCAGTCACAGGGCCTGCGTGGTTTTTGAGCAGCCTCTGTTACAGTAGACAGACGTGAGCAGGGCAGGAGAGCACCTAGGAATGTCACGCAACCATCAGGTGATAGGCAGTTGTTACACTGTCTCTCTAAAATAATAATTGGTCGCAGCCAGCACCAGGGAAAGGCAGTTTCCCAACATAGGTGTTTCTCTTACATAGAAGCACCTAGTACTAGTGATCAGCAACTTCCCGATAAGATCTCAGGAGTCGGGTGAGTGGGCTCAAGCATAAGCACTAAGAGGCAAAATGGCAGAGCTTAACTCATGTATGACCTTCCTCGGGAAACCCTCGACGGGTAAGGGAAGAGCGCCTCACATGAGCATGTGCACCACTTCAGTAAACACACCGCGCATGCGGCCCCTCCCAGGTGCTGGCATGGCAGGCCATGGCGGCGCGTGCGGACAGCCCAGCCCAAGGGAAGAATCCTCAGAAAGAATGCAATGGCCCCCCGCCGGAAGTGGAAGCATGTCAACGTATAAAACCCCAAGTCAAAGGTCAAACCACACACTAGAATCCCTCAAGTCACCCGCTTGGCCTTCCAGGTGTACTTTCCTTCCTTTCATTCCTGCCCTAAAACTTTTTTTTTTTTTCTTTTTTTTTTGAGACAGAGTCTTACTCTGTCACCCAGGCTGGAGTGCAGTGGTGCCATCTTGGCTCACTGCAACCTCCGCCTCCCGGGTTCAAGCGATTCTCCTGCCTCAGCCTCACAAGTAGCTGGGACCACACCTGGCTAATTTTGTATATTTAGTAGAGACAGGGTTTCACCATGTTGGCCAGGCTGATTTCGAACTCCTGACCTCAGGTGATCCGCCTGCCTTGGCCTCCCAAAATGCTGGGATTACAGGCGTGAGCCGCCACGCCCGGCCACTTTTTTCTTTTTCTTTTTTTTTTGAGACAGTCTCACTCTGTCGCCCAGGCTGGAGTGCAGTGGCGCAATTTTGGCTCACTGCAACCTCTGCCTCCCGGGTTCAAGCCATTCTCCTGCCTCAGCCTCCCAAGTAGCTGGGACCATACCCGGCTCATTTTTTATTTTTAGTAGAGACAGGGTTTCACCATGTTGGCCAGGCTGATTTCGAACTCCTGACCTCAGGTGATCCGCCCGCCTTGGCCTCCAAAAGTGCTGGGATTACAGGTGTGAGCCAGCGATCCCACGATCCCAGCCTTTTTTTTTTTTTTTTTTTTTTTTTTTGAGATAGGGTCTTGCTCTGTTGCCCAGGCTGGAGTGCAGCCACATGATCTGGGCTCACTGCAACCTCCACTTCCCGGGTTCAAGTGATCCTCTCACCTCAGCCTCCTGAGTAGTTGGGACCACAGGTGCCCACCACCACGCTGGCTAATTTTTGTGTTATTATTTTTATTATTTGGTAGAGACAGGGTTTTGCCATGTTGCCCAGGCTCTTTCTCTAAAGCTTTTAAATAAACTTTCACTCCTGCTTTCAAACTTGTTGCAGTCTCTCACTTTGCCTTAGACTTCTCAGTTGAATTCTCTTTTCTGAGGAGGTAAGAACTGAGGTTGCTGCAGACCTGGATGGATTTGCTCCTGCTAACATACTTCAGTGCTTCATGACTTGGATATAGTCTCTCCCGGTAACACCTCCCCTCCCCTCCTCTTCCCTCCCCTCCCCTCCCCTCCTCTTCCCTCCCCTCCCCTCCCCTCCTCTTCCTTCCCCTTCCCTCCCCTCTCCTCCCCGACTTCCTTCTCCAAACAGCCCCATGAAGCAGCACTGGGCTTCCCAAGAGAGGTCCTGCCACGTGACTGGCCTCTGTCATTGGCAGAACCCTGCATAGGCCGTAGCTCTGCAGCTGTTTTCCTGGAAATTATGCCGGCTCCGAGAAGGGCCCATGTTCTACAGGAACCCCAGGCAGAAGGGACCGGAGCTGCACTTAGGCATTTTGCATCAGTACCAGAGAGCTGTGGTGAAAGACTAGAGTTTTAGGAGAGCTGAACTTGGGGAGGAGAGTGGCCGCTTGCAGCTGGCATAGAGAACTTCCTATGCCCATGAGTTCCACCAGGACCCACTCCTCCAGGAAGCCCTCCTACACCACACTATTTGGAAGGCCACTGGGGTTGGGGTCCTGCTGCCCCATAGGCCCTGCTTTCTCTCCCATGGCCCTTCTCCAGCAAGGACAGTGGGTCAGGCTCATGGAATAGCTGCAGAAGCCATACCTCATCAGGCCTCGGTTTCTCCATCTGCCAAATACGAAAAGGAATCCTTGGCCTGGCTTCCTCCTAGGAGGAAAGGGGCAGGGGGGCTATCAACAAATCGACAGTGTCCCGTGGGGCTGGGGTGGGGCACCGCCTGATGGTACATGTCTGGGCTGCTGAGGGTCCTCATGCTCCCTCCTTTGCAGGAGGGGATGTGCCGTGAAAGTGGCTCCTGGTCAGCTGTCCTGGCCATCCCACAGTCCCGGAGGAGGTCAGCAGACTTCAGCCAGGGTCTCATGGAGCTGTAGGTGATGCTGAGCAAGTCACTGCTCCTCTTGGGGAAGGCTGGGTGGCAGCAGGGACCTCAGGCTTAAGGCCTCAACCTCTGTGCCTGCTTCTCTGAGACTCAGTTTCCTCATCTGTCAACAGGGAACACAATGGCCCCACCCCATGCAGACAGTAGGGCATCCCCAGGAAGAGTCTCAGGGCTGGTGACAGCCTGAGAAGTGAAAGGGAGAAGCAGGGTGAGTGTTGGGGTCCTGGGAACCAGGGTTAGGGCAGTGGGAAGTGCAAGTCATCATGCAGAGGGAAGTGGGCCCGGGCTGCTGGGGGAGGGGCTAGGTGACCCACCCTGAGGTCAGCACCACTCTTGTGACCAAGGCTAGCAGCTGCAGCCACGCCTCTGGCCAGGCCCAGCCACCTATAGGCCCTCTGCCCCTCGTGATCACCCACCACCCTGGGCCCTGCTCCAGGTTGCTCTCCCTTCTGCCTTCGACTGCCCTCTTCTTCCTTTTTTTTTTTTTTTTTTTTTTTTGAGATGGAGTTTCACTCTTGTTGCCCAGGCTGGAGTGCAATGGCGTGATCTCAGCTTACCGCAACCTCTGCCTCCCAGGTTCAAGTGATTCTCCTGCCTCAGGCTCCCGAGTAGCTGAGATTACAGGCATGCACCACCACACCTGGCTAATTTTGTATTTTTAGTATTTTGTATTTTGTATTTTTAGTAGAGACGGGATTTCTCCATGTTGGTCAGGCTGGCCTCGAACTCCCGACCTCAGGTGATCCGCCCGCCTTGGCCTCCCAAAATGCTGGGATTACAGGGGTGAGCCACCATGCCCAGCCCCAACTGCCCCTCTTCTAGAGAGCTTTCCTCTAGGTGCCTTCAAGAATGCAGAGAGAGGGCCAGTAATGTGCCTCCCTGTGTTATTCTCTGGTCCGTGCTGAATCGGCCTTTTCTGCTGCCCTACAGGGCGCAGGTGGAGGTTTAATTAATGGACTAAATGAGGTAATGAAAAAGATTGGGAAAAATTTTTTTCAAGGTGAAAAAGGAGTGAAGGATAGTACCTCCCATTTCTGCATCTAAACTCCTTGGTCTAGAAGTCCTTTCTTGTGTCTGACTTAAATACATCAAGCTGAATTTCAGACGCTGAGCAACGTTGGAGGAGAAGCAAGATAACACTGTGCTTAGTGAAGGGGCTCCTAGCTTCACCACTGGCTGGCACATGACTGGACCGCTCTGTGCCTCAGTTTCCTCATCTGTGAAAAGAAGAGAGTTAGTGCCCACTTCATTAGGCTGTCCGATGAAATCGGCTAATGTATACAAAACACTTAGAACAACGCCTGGCACCGGTGGAGATCAACAAACATCAGCAGTCTACCCAAAAGAATTGAAAGCAGGAACGTGAACAGATATTTGCATACCCGTGTTCTTTTGTTTGTTTGTTTTTGTTGTGAGACAGGGTCTTACTCTGTTGCCCAGGCTGGAGTGCAGTGGTGCAATCATGGCTCACTGCAGCCTTAACCTGCCAGGCTCAGGTGGTTCTCCCACCTCAGCCTCCCAAGTAGCTGGGGCTACAGGTGCACCCCATCACACCTGGCTAATTGTTTGTATTTTTGGTGGAGACAGGGTCTCACTATGTTGCCCAGGTTGATCTTGAGTTCCAGAGCTCAAGCGATCCACCCGCCTGGGCCTCCCAAAGTGCTGGGATTACAGGCATGAGCCACCACACCTGGTATACACACCCATGTTTTATAGCAGCACTGTACACAGCAGCCAAGAGGTAGCAGCAATCCCAGTGTGCACAGAGAGATGAATGAATGCACAGTGTAGCCCATCCATACAATGGAATATGATTCAGCCTCAAAAAGGAAGGGAATTCTGATACCTGCTACCACATGAATGAATCTTGAAGGCATTATGCTGAGTGAAATAAACCTGACAACGCCCTCCTGGCAGATGCAGACACAAAAGGATAAACGCTGTGTGACTCTATTTATTTGCAGTACATAGAATAGTCAAGACCACAGAGACGAAAGGTAGAATGGCGGTTGCCAGGGCCCGGAGGAGAGGGAAAGAGGAGTTAGTGCATAGTGGGTAGAGTTTCCGTTTTGCCAGGTGACGATTTCTGCAGGTGGAGGGTGCTGTTGGTTGCACGACCCTGTGAATATACTTAATGCCACTGAACTGTGCACTTAAAAGATTATAAATTGCATTATGTATATTGTACCATAATAATTTTTAAACAGTCAGCTGTCATTGCTCTGGCAGACAGAAGGGAGGGAACATCCCATGTGTCGTAGCCTCTGAGGCCCTGGGTTGCGTGCGAGGAGCTGACCGTGGCTCCTGGCCAGGTGCTGGCACACTCGCCTTCTAGGCTAAATGGAGAGGTCATTGCCAGTCTGCTCCTGTCTGCTGCCCTCCCCACCAGGCAGAGCCCCCTGCTCACTGCCCCTGGCCTGTGCCCTGGGGAGCTGGGGAATGGGACAGCCGCTGGCCACTGGTCACAAACATCGCCACCCAGCATGTGATGCTGGCTTCCTGCTGGGGAGGAGCCGTAGGCTGGCCTTTGGCTCCTCTGGAAGTGCCTGGCCTCTTGGGAACTGCTTTCTGCATCTGCGAGAAGAGGGTAAGGACTGCTCCTGCCCTATGGGCCCCATTGGCTGTCATCCCTTGGGCCTCCATGCTGCCCCATTTTCAGAAGACTTTCCTTGTCTTGAGGACTTCACGTATGTTACCATTGACCCTCATGCCTGAGCTTAGAGAGGGGAAGTGACTGGTGCAGACACAAGTCCAAGGCAGCAGCCTCGTTTCCCAATCCCCAGCCGGTGCTCTGGGCGGGCCACTGCCGTCAGTGGGGGACAAGGGTGGCAGCCCCGCCTCAGCCCTGCAAAGCCCGTGGAGACCAGGGGCTGCCTTCGAGGGGACAGTGGGGCCTAAGGCCTGACAACGCCCTCCTGGCAGATGCAGACTTCCCGAGCAATTTCCCGATCTGCTTGGGAATGGGAGGGGGGGTGAGGGGGTGGGGTGGGGGAACAGAGTCTGGCAGGAGAGGCTTGTGGGGATTGCACAATGAGGCCACAGCAGCCAGCCGTGAAGGCAGCCACCGGCCAGGGCCCCTCAGCCCGTATCCTCATCGCCCCTGTGTGGATGAACTCCATCTGCGCGGTGCCGGTGGAAGGACCCTCCCAGCCCCGGGACACCGCGGCTCTGTGGACTCATCTGAAAAATGTCATCCCTGGAGTCCTAGGAGAGAAGGGGTGGGGTTGGCAGCCTTAACGCCCCATCCTGCATCCTGGCGGCCTCCCGCATCCGCTCCCCCACAGGTTCCCCAGAGACAGGATGATGGATGGCAATCCGAGTGCAAACCTGGCGCTTGGCCAGCACTCTGGAAGAGGAAGTTCTCAGTTCCCAGGGCACCTGAACCCACAGCCGCCCCCACTCCGCTGGCCCCCCTGGTCCTGGAAGACCTGTTACTAGGCTGCAGAAGGGGTGGCGGAGTGATCAGGGGGCGGGGAAAGAGGCCAAACAAAAGAGGGGAGGAGCAGAGGCCCCAGTGAGGCAGGAGGGAAGCCCCTGCCCAGCGGGAAATTCCTAAATGTCTGGGTCCTTTCCAGAGGGCAGGAATTCCTAGCCTAGAGTGTGAAATAAGGAAGGAAGTGAATCTCCAGTGGGTTCCCTTCACAGCCCCTTTCCATCCTCCCCACATGCCCCACCCCCACATCTCCCAAAACAAACCCTGAGAGACGGTGTGGATGGGGAGACAGGCCTGGAAACGGAGGCCTGCGCTGAATGGGCAAAGCCGGGTTGATGATCCAGACGAGGCCCTGGAGTCTGGGCCTTGGGCCCCTCCCCTTCTGCCTGCTCCGGCAGCCTGTGGGTCCAGCCCCAGCCCCAGAGGGGGAAAGGCTCCAGTGGGAGTCCCATAGGCCTGGCTAGGAACCCCACTCCGCTACTTAAAGTGGTGTGAGCCGGGTCAGCCACTTCACCTTTCCGCATTTACGCATTTCAAGCAAGGCTTGACGACCGGAGGGGCTCAAGGCCCTGTGCACAGCCGCGCGGCCAGCACTCTGGCCAGCCTTGTAGCCCCCTTCCCCTTAGGGGGCCTCCTTCAGGAAGCCCCCGTCCCCTGCCTCCTTGTGGCCACGGTGACACCGGAACACTTCAGAGGGGCGGCTGGGGAGTTGGGGTGGGACGGGCTCTCCCGCAGCTGGAGCCGGTGTGTGACGCGGGAACGCGGCCAAGCGCGCCCCATCCAGGCGGCCTATCAGGAGCCGTCGTCGGACAATGGCTCCGCGCCTGACAACCCCGTCGTCCCCGTGCCGTCCCCCGAACTCCACATACCATGCGACGCGCGGCCAGCCCCCCGCCCCTGCCCGGCTGCTGGGAGGAAGTGACAGCGCCCCGCATCCCCCGCTGGGCAGGCCGGGCGCGCCCAGCCCCTGGGACGCAGGGACACAGCCGGGCCGCGCTGGGCCTTGGCCTCCGCCCGCGGGTTTTCCGCGGTTGCGGCGGGGCGGGGAAGGAGGGGCGGGCGGGGCGGGGCTGACTCTGCGACTATTTCAGGCCTTGCGGAACCCGGGCCAGGACAGTGGCGGCCAGGCCGGGACACGGTAAGTGACCTCCGCTTCCACACGTCCATTCCCCGCCGCTCCGCGCGGCTTCTCGCCCGCCCCTACCCCGAGGCCAGGCCGGATTCCCCGAGGAAAGAGCCTGTCGCCGCGGCGGGGACAGGAGGGGGCTGGACGCTTCCAGGGAAACTGAGGCCCTGGCGCGCCCAGCGTCCGCGCGTCCGGGCGCAGAGGGGCCAAGGCTGGCTGAGGGCCCGGGCCTGCCAGAGGCAGGGAGGGCGGGGCTGGGGCAGGCGCAGGGGTCTCCCCTCCATTACAGCAGAAAGGCCCCAGGTCCGGCGTGACTCCCCGGCCGGGCGACACAGGCCGAGTCACTTCCTCGCCCGTGCCCGGGTGTCCTCATCGGGGGATGGGTGCGCCTTCCACATCCTGCCCAGGACTGAAGGAGCCGGGCCCAGCGAGCTCCCGGGAGGTGTGTGGACATCAGCCCTGACGGGGAAGGCGAGCCAGGTCAGTGGACCTGAGGAGAGGCCGGGCAGCAGGAGGCTGGGGGGCGCTGTTGAGCCACTGGCTGTGACCCCTCTACGAGCCTCCCAGCAGGCCCCTTCCTGCCTCAGTGGGCCCAACCAGCGGCAAGGCTCAAAGGAACGCCCCTCCTCCCCTTCTTCCTTTCTGGCTGCACCGGCTCGCTGCTGCCTGCAGGACAGACTCAGGACACAGGAGACTCACCCCCACTGAGGCCCAGCTAGGCGCCCAGCACTTGGCTGTGCGGTTTGGCCACATCCCCTCAGCAGCACTGTGGGGTGGGGGTCCTCATCCCCTTTTCAAAGACGGGGAAACGGCGGCTTGTGAAGGAAGGAGGTGTGCAGTCCACACACTAGTGAGAAGTGTGCTGAGCCCACACCGAAAGCGTTTCTCTTTCCATGGCACCAGCTGCCTCGGAGAGCGGAGACCTGGGGCGAGGCCCAGGGGGCTGCAGCAGGACCTTCAGGCGCTCTGGGTTTCGTGTCACAGAGGGGAGAAGGCGGTGATGCTGTGGGGGTCCTGCGGGAGCTGTGCCTGGAGGTGGGACAGAGCCTAGTACATGTGGGGTGGGACAGGGAAGGCTGAGGTGAGGCTGGCAGGGAGCATTGCTGGTAAGGGCCACCCTCCCCCACCCCAGGAGAATGGCAGAGGTGGGGCCTGGGCACCCAGGGTGGGGCTGAGTGGCCCTGCCAGACAGACCAGCTCCCGCGGGTGCTAGGCATGCACCTGAGAGGGGCTGGGAAGCGAAGTTGGGGCACCGGGTGGGGAGCAGAGGTGCCCCATGGCCTTGCCCCTGGGGCTCCCTGGAGCATGCCCCTCTTGGTCCTGGAGTGGAATGCTCAACCCAAATGGCACTAGGGAGGCCAGTGCCATCCAGGAGTGTGGGACTCTGCCCAGGGCACTGGGTGAGCATGGCAGGGGCTGGGGGTGGGAGGAGCCCAGGCTTCCTGTCCCTCAGGTGGCTCTGGCCAAGCCCCTCCAGGATGGGGACAGGGTAGTGGGGCTGGTGGAGGCAGCGGGGCCATGGGAAGAGTCGGATGGGCCCAGTCTGAGCCTCCATGGCTGCTGTGCTTGGGGCAAACACCTCCTACTCAGCCTCAGTTTCTCCTTCTGGATGGTGGATCATCCTGCCTGCCTTGCAGGGCTGTTTCAGGGGTCACTTGAAGTTACCATGATACATGAGACAAGGCTGCATGCATTTAGTCTTGGGGTGGGGCAGACAGGTGGCATCAAGGTTACAGGTCACCCCAGTTCTTGGGGAGGCCCAGCCCCTGCCTGCTTCCCCCTTTCAGATCAGCCATGCTCTTCTCCAGTGGACCTGGCCTTGCTCTGACAATGGTCAGGTGCTGGGCAGGGACTCTGGGGAAGCTCGGGTCTTGCCTCTCTGGATGTAGCTTGCAGGATAGCTGGGGATGTGGAGGCAGGGGAAAGCTGGGCTCTGGGACCGGGTGGCCTGAGTTCCAAGCCCAAGCTATTGACTATAGGGACAGTTTAAGCCGAAATAACACCCTTCCAGATGAGAGAAAGGAAGAGATGGGATGGGCACCCAGGAAGGCTGCAGAAACTGGAAGCCTTTGTGATGATGCTACGATCCCATTTGGGAGGGGGTGGGAGCCAGGAAGCCTGGGTTCTGGACCCGAGTTGCTGTGTGACTTCAGGCCGCCCTGTGACTTGCTGAGCCCCTTGCCCCAGTGATGTGTGAAAGGCTGTCTGAGGTCCCACCCACTGTGGCTTCTGTAGATCCTGGTCAGGCTCTGCCCCTTTCATGGCCCAGCTGGAGCAGCTGTGTTTCTGTGACCCCACCGCTGGATCAGAACTGGACAAGATGGCAGAGGGGCTGGGTCTGGGCAGGAGGAGGCTGGGTTCCAGTCTCAGGCCGGTTCTGGTGTTCTAGACCCCGGCATGTCCCAGACCTTTCTGGACCTCTGTTCCTGCTCTGTCCAAAGGGACAGAGCCCATGCCCCGCCTCTTCCCTAGGGTCCCGTGGGATCCAGGGAGGTGTCCATTGCCTGCTTCCTGCCCAGAGGGTGGGCTGGCAGGGAAGGATTTGCCCAAGTAAAGTGAAAGTCCCCCTCTGTGTGGCGGGCTTGGCGTCCCCAGCCTCTTCCTTGCTTCTGGGGCTGTGAAGTATTGGAAGGGGAGCTGTAGATGGTGAGATGCTCGTGGCCAGGGAGGAAGCACAGTTGTTGGTGCTCATCTGGGCCAGGAGATGAGCAGAGCCCCGGTGGCTGAATGGGTGAAACAGACTGAGTGTACTCAATGCAGCCAGCATAGCTGTGTGTCCAGCCTGGGAGCCAGGGCCGGTCCATGGTGACCACTGATGCCTTCACCCCCACCCCGCAGGAGCCTGCAGGCCTGAACCAGGGTGATGCTGAAGATGATGACCTTCTTCCAAGGCCTCTAGAGCCATCAGCCTGTGCCAGGCACCCTCGACTTGCCTAGAGGCCCCCAAAAGTTGCAGTCCACATCAGAGGCAGAGTCAGAGGCCTCCATGTCGGAGGCCTCCTCTGAGGACCTGGTGCCACCCCTGGAGGCTGGGGCAGCCCCATATAGGGAGGAGGAAGAGGCGGCGAAGAAGAAGAAGGAGAAGAAGAAGAAGTCCAAAGGCCTGGCCAATGTGTTCTGCGTCTTCACCAAAGGGAAGAAGAAGAAGGGTCAGCCCAGCTCAGCGGAGCCCGAGGACGCAGCCGGGTCCAGGCAGGGGCTGGATGGCCCGCCCCCCACAGGTGCTCTAGGACCCTGGGTTAGAGCTAGTCTGGGGCCTGGACGGGGTTGGCGCTCATCCGCGTGAGTGAGCCACTTGCACAGTGGGCCGGCAAGTGGGGCTGGAAGGCGCGTCTGTCTCCCTGCTTTCACCTGTGCCGCAATCTGGGGGGCTGGGAGGCCTTCAGCCTAGTCAGGGACACCGACATCACCCTTTAGGGTGTTGGCCGCCGGCCCTGTGCGCGTCTAGGGGAGGACGGTCCCGCTTGGCGCTGGCCGCCCCGCCCGGTGGGCGGTGGGCTGGGGCCGGGGCTGACGCGGCTTTCCCGGCGCAGTGGAGGAGCTGAAGGCGGCGCTGGAGCGCGGGCAGCTGGAGGCGGCGCGGCCGCTGCTGGCGCTGGAGCGGGAGCTGGCGGCGGCGGCGGCGGCGGGCGGTGTGAGCGAGGAGGAGCTGGTGCGGCGCCAGAGCAAGGTGGAGGCGCTGTACGAGCTGCTGCGCGACCAGGTGCTGGGCGTGCTGCGGCGGCCGCTGGAGGCGCCGCCCGAGCGGCTGCGCCAGGCGCTGGCCGTGGTGGCGGAGCAGGAGCGCGAGGACCGCCAGGCGGCGGCGGCGGGGCCGGGGACCTCGGGGCTGGCGGCCACGCGCCCGCGGCGCTGGCTGCAGCTGTGGCGGCGCGGCGTGGCGGAGGCGGCCGAGGAGCGCATGGGCCAGCGGCCGGCCGCGGGCGCCGAGGTCCCCGAGAGCGTCTTTCTGCACTTGGGCCGCACCATGAAGGAGGACCTGGAGGCCGTGGTGGAGCGGCTGAAGCCGCTGTTCCCCGCCGAGTTCGGCGTCGTGGCGGCCTACGCCGAGAGCTACCACCAGCACTTCGCGGCCCACCTGGCCGCCGTGGCGCAGTTCGAGCTGTGCGAGCGCGACACCTACATGCTGCTGCTCTGGGTGCAGAACCTCTACCCCAAGTGAGCAGACCAGGGGCTGGGCCCGGGCCGGCAGGGAGGGTGTCCTCTGTAGGAGGGGTGTCGAGGGGTGTCGAGGTGTGCCGCCGGCAGCTTTTAGTGAGGTCGGTGTTTGCAGAGTTTTGGGTCCGAGAATGCAGGGGTGGGACTTGGACTCCCTGGGGCAGAGCCTGGACAGGCAGAGACTGGGCCTGGACACAGGGATAAGGCTGGGGCTGGGTCTGCGTTGCTCTTGGAATCCTTAATTTCCTGGGCCTCAGTCACATTCTGCTGTTGGGGAAACTGAGGCACAGAAAATGGTAGGGATTTCATTCACGAGCGCCCAGTCTGAGGAGGGGGCAAAGCAATCAATAACCATCCAGAGCTGGAAGGGCTGTGGCAGCAGAGGCCAGGCCCCGTGCAGAGCATGGGCCCAAAGCAGGCCTGGAGAAGTCAGGGAAGCCAGCCTGGAGGAGGTGAAAGCCAGCGGTCCTTCTCTGAGCCAGGGAATCAGGCCAGGAGGCAGGAGGAGGGGTGATAGGGCAGGTAGGGGAGAAGGTGAGAGGAAGGTCGGTGCTCCTGAGCATGTCCTCTTCCAGGGCACTCTGGAGCTGAGCAGAGCTATGCGGGCACCCCCAGGCAGGAGAGTTCCAAGTGATGGGCTAGGGCCACGTGTCTTGTTAGACCCCCATTGTGTAGGGTTACCCTGTGAGCCCGCCGCAGAGCTGGAGCCCCTCAGGTGGGAGGCTGGCTGTGCAGCTGGTACCCCTGCTGAGTACAGCCTCAGGCGTCCCTTGACTCCATAGATCCCTGGGCGTGCCCGTCATTCGCACGGTCTGCATGGAGAGAGGCTTACTGCAGTGTGGAAAGGCCCAGGGCGGGGGAGTCCAGGGGCTGTTATTGTGGGGCTTGGCCACTGCTGGCCCCAGATCCTAGTGTGAAACTTTAGGAAGGAAGCCTGGAGGTATAGACAGTGTGGGCAGTGTCTGCCGTCTCGGGGGCCTTGGGTGGCCTGTGGGCTCAGTTCGTGTTGAAGGGTCAGCCTCTGGCAGAAGGATAGAGAAAGGGTCCAGTGGAGAGGGTGGGAGAGGAGTCAGCAGGGCATAGGGGAACTGGCACAGGGCAGGGGCCACGGGAGAGATAACCCAGCCCAGAGCCAGTTCCCGCTTGCTCGTCCTGACTCACCAGGAAATGCCGGGCACCTGCACCCCTGCCTGCCAGTCTTTCTGTCCCAGTGACCTCGGGGTCTGCTGGCCTGGGGTTAGCAACAGGCAACTAAAGCCAAGCTGGGCATGGAGCCCTGGTGAGAGGGTGCCCAGGGGGGCATCGTTGAAGCCTGTGTGCCAGAAATGTGGGGAACGGAGGGACACAGCTGCATCTGGATTGGGTGAGGGGCAGAGAGAAGGTCATTTGTAAACCTCTAGGCAGACAAAGGGCCCTTAGGAAGTGCCAGGGCTGGGCAGTCCCCTGGGAGCTCTGGGGCGCTGCAGAGGCGCCAGGACAGTGAGCCAAGATGCGTCTGTGGAGCAGTTTGGGGCAGCCCTTCCTGCCCATTCTGGCCTACCCCTGGGATTGGGAGGTGGCCGGGGCTGGTGAGATGCCCAAGACCTGCAGGGCTGGAGCGCAGTGGGCTGGGAGCTGGCTGGATTCCAGGGCTGCTGTGAGTAGGAGCAGGGTTTTATCTGGGTGACAGGTAGTCTTGGAGCAGGAAGAAGATCAGATCTTAAAGGTGGCTCTGGCTGCTGGGTGAAGAAGGAATTGTTGGAGGTGAGGGAAGGAGCAGAGAGGCCGGGAGGAGGCTTTTGCAGTGAGCCAGCGGGGAGCTGATGGGAGCCGGCCAGGGCGCCAGAGTGGCATGAGGCTGCTGATTTTGG
Source organism: Homo sapiens (assembly GCF_000001405.40). Lineage (NCBI taxonomy): Eukaryota > Metazoa > Chordata > Mammalia > Primates > Hominidae > Homo > Homo sapiens. The sequence continues at coordinate 103,129,480 of NC_000014.9, forward strand.
GGGCTATTTTGGAGCAGGACCTAATGGGGGGGGGGTGGTGAGAGAGTCAGAGGAGGCATGATGACTTCAGAGTTTCTGTTCCAAACCAAACTAAGTAGATGGAGGACCCATCATCTGAAATGGGGACCGGGTGGGGGTGCGGGAGGGTGTGCTGGGCAGTCTGGGCCTGCCAGAGACCAAGGCTGAGGGCCTGGGCTCTAGCTTGAGTGGTGGTGCTGATTTGGTATAGTTGTCCTCATGCCAGCCTCCCCTGCCTGCAGTGACATCATCAACAGCCCCAAGCTGGTGGGTGAGCTGCAGGGTATGGGGCTCGGGAGCCTCCTGCCCCCCAGGCAGATCCGACTGCTGGAGGCCACATTCCTGTCCAGTGAGGCGGTGAGTCTCCACCTGGGCCAGGGAGGGGCAGGGAGGCAGCAGAGGAGAGGCTCGGAGACAGACAGGACATGGGCAGGGAGCTTGACGGGTCTTCCAGGTGAGCGAGGTGAGGGATAGTGCCCCAGTGACCTGCCCCTCCTCCTCCAGGCCAATGTGAGGGAGTTGATGGACCGAGCTCTGGAGCTAGAGGCACGGCGCTGGGCTGAGGATGTGCCTCCCCAGAGGCTGGACGGCCACTGCCACAGCGAGCTGGCCATCGACATCATCCAGGTACTGCAATCTGCCCCAGGGCACACGTACCGCCCGTGCACGTGCATGGGGAGCCCCACGCACATTCCGTCCTGTGTGCATACCCATGCCCACCTCGGGGCACCCCCTCTGTTCCCGCCTGTTTCCTCCCCGTCCCCTGCCCCCTTGTCCAGGCGAGCCCCTGCTCAGCTCACCCACCACCACCCTGCAGATCACCTCCCAGGCCCAGGCCAAGGCCGAGAGCATCACGCTGGACTTGGGCTCACAGATAAAGCGGGTGCTGCTGGTGGAGCTGCCTGCGTTCCTGAGGAGGTGGGTGTGTGCCCAGGATGGGGTCCCTGTAGCCACCGCTCTCAGAGCCACGGCCCCTCCCTAGTGCCTCAGGTGGGGAGCTGAGCTGGATCCCCGCCCTCTACCCCTGTCCCTGTCATTCTGAGCCAGGAGTTGTTTCCCACTCAGCCAGGGCACTGAGAGCCTCAGGTGGTCTGACCTCCACCAGGATTCAACGTGGGAGCCTCTTGCGCCCACCCCATCAGCAAAGCTCTCAGCAGAGCAGCCTCTAGCTTCAAAGAGGATACCCCAGGAGGGACTGAGACCCCGCCACCCCTTCATACAACACTCCTAGTCTCCACCACCTGAATTCTCTCTGCTCTCTCCCTCTCGACCTCTGAGGGCTTCTCCAGCCAACCACACGCTCACTCCTACCTGGTCTCCCAACTCTAGAGAGGGCCTGGGAGCAGCAGAGATGGGCTGGTACCCTCTTCAGGAGCCCAAGCCTTAGCTTGTGAAGCCAGTTCCATGATGCCCAGGGGCTAGCGGCCCCTCCCTTGGCTATGGGCAGCCAAACAGAAAAGTGAACCCCAGGAGCTGGCAGGGAGGGCAGGGAGGCTGCTGCTGTGGTCCCAGTGTTTGGGCTGGTCCTGAATGTGCCCCTTCTGGTTTCGCCAGCTACCAGCGCGCCTTTAATGAATTTCTGGAGAGAGGCAAGCAGCTGACGAATTACAGGGCCAATGTTATTGCCAACATCAACAACTGCCTGTCCTTCCGGTGAGAGTGTTGGGAGGGGCTTGCGGGAGTGGGAGTCACTCAGCGGGCAGGAGAGGGGAGCTGGAAGGTGGAGGGAGGAGGAGCTGCTTAGGCCAAGAAGTGGAATTCAAACCAGCAACATGTGTGAGGACTCCACGGCCTGCAGCAGCAGCAGCAAACATTTCCCAAGTGCTGGCTGGGGCAAGCACACAGGCAGATGTTTCACCCATTATCTTATCCTTAAAGCAACCCTGTGAAGTAGGTATAGTGATCTGTCTATTAGGCAGATGGGCAAACCACTGGAGGAGGCTCACTTGCCCCCAGTTACAAGGGGATGTAGTGGAGGAGTGTCCTGAGGGCATGGAGAACATGGATGGGAGGACTTGATCCCATAGAGAATGGGGAGCCATTGAGGGTTCTAGAGTGAAGAGAGGGGGCTGTCTGGCTCCCTGGGTATGGGGCTATAGGCTGAGCAGGGCTGGGGTGACCTCTCTGCCTCCACCTTCCAGGATGTCCATGGAGCAGAATTGGCAGGTACCCCAGGACACCCTGAGCCTCCTGCTGGGCCCCCTGGGTGAGCTCAAGAGCCACGGCTTTGACACCCTGCTCCAGAACCTGCATGAGGACCTGAAGGTAGCGGGAGCCTCTTGCCCTCAGGAGCCCAGTGTTGGGGGGTTCCCAGGGAGGGACTGGGAGGTGCCCCCAGGGAGGAGTGGCAGAAGCAAAGATGTGGGGAAGACACGCTCCAGGCCTGTGGACGGCACCGTGGGCCAGCTCTGGTGCAGCGGTGATGCCCGGTTGGGGACCCTAGCAGGCTCTGAACTCCGCCGATCATGTCCTGGGGTTTCACCTGAGAGGGGCCGCCTGGGGCTGGGAGGGGCCGCCTGGGGCTGGGAGGGGCCGCCTGGGGCTGGGAGGGGCCGCCTGGGGCTGGGAGGGCCTGGAAAAGTTTCACTGCCCCTCCCCGATTCAGACACAGCCCAGTCCCAAGCCTGCAGACACCTTTCCTTCAATCCCCTCAGCCCCTCCTATCCACCCCCATCCCCGCGCCTGACTCCCAGCAACTGAGGCTCAGGGTCATCGGCAGCTGGGGTTATATCTGTTATGGGCCAAGAAATCCACAGAAAATGCTGTGAAAACAAGTAGTTCCTTTAGCAGGGTGTAAAGTGGGGGGTCTCTCAAAAGGAAGGGGAGAGGTTCTCTTCCCGGTGTCAGGGACTAGCGGCCATGGGTGGCCTGAGTGTGGTGGAAGCCCGAGCGGTGACCCCACATCCCCTGGTACTGATCTCCCTGGCCCAGCCAAGCACAAGGTCTTGTTTATGAAGGAATTTATTTATTTAAGTGGCAGTGGACTTGGCCTCCGGGCCGGCAGACAGGCTCTCCTGGCTCCTGAGCCGCACTGGGTGACCTTGGATAAGGGTGCACAGAGCCGGCTCCCACTTCCTGTCTGTGAGCAGGGACCTGAGGTTGGCCCGGGTTCCCTGGGAGTCCTTGAGTGCCCCCCGCCCCTCCACCAGGCACATGTGTCGGTGTGTGTCTGTGTCTGCGTGTCTGCGTGTCTGCGGCTGGCAGCCCTTCCTCTCCAGGGCGTGACTAGACATCCTGCCTCTCCTGTCTCAGCCACTGTTCAAGAGGTTCACGCACACCCGCTGGGCGGCCCCTGTGGAGACCCTGGAAAACATCATCGCCACTGTAGACACGAGGCTGCCTGAGTTCTCAGAGCTGCAGGGCTGTTTCCGGGAGGTGAGGAGGCTCTGGGCTGGTGGCTGGGTCTTGGGGAGTTGGGGGCAGCCCGGACACGCACACTAGCACGTCTGTGTACACTCACGCACATGTGCTCACACGCGCACATGTGAACACACGTGAATGCACGAGCATGTGAACACGTGCACATGTGAACACACGTGAAGGCACGAACATGTGAACGCACGAGCATGTGAACACACACATGTGAATGCACGAGCATGTGAACACATGCACACATATGAACACACGTGAAGGCACGAGCATGTAAACACACACATGTGAACACGTGAACGCATGCACATGTGAACACACACGCATGTGAACGCATGAGCATGTGAACGCACACATGTGGACGCACGAGCACGTGTGCAGTCTTTTGCTCTGGCATCTGCCTCTCTCTGGAGGCCTGGCTACAAGGCTTCAAGGGAGGTGGCGAGCTCCCCATCAGCAGACAGCTCACACGCCCCTGGCTGCTTGCCCTCCCAGGAGCTCATGGAGGCCTTGCACCTGCACCTGGTGAAGGAGTACATCATCCAACTCAGCAAGGGGCGCCTGGTCCTCAAGACGGCCGAGCAGCAGCAGCAGCTGGCTGGGTACATCCTGGCCAATGCTGACACCATCCAGCACTTCTGCACCCAGCACGTAAGCCGCTGCCCACCTCTCCCAAGCCCCTCTGAAATGGCTGCCTCTTCTCCCCTAGCCCTTTCAGGGTCGGAGATAGGCCGCTGGTGCCTCTCTAAGCCCAACGAGTCGCTGACCCGAGCCTCTGGACCCCTGGGTCCCTCCAACCACACCCACTCCTGCAGGGCTCCCCGGCGACCTGGCTGCAGCCTGCTCTCCCTACGCTGGCCGAGATCATTCGCCTGCAGGACCCCAGTGCCATCAAGATTGAGGTGGCCACTTATGCCACCTGCTACCCTGACTTCAGGTGAGAACCTGGGGCACCTCAGGACCACTGTCACATCACTGTGGCCAAGGCCTCACAGGGCTGGCATTGGGAACCCAGATCCTGGCAGCTGCCCACGTGCCAGTCACTGTGTGAACCTCACCAGGGGCTCATTCTTGTGGCCTTCACCACAGCACTACGAGGACAATACTTCCCATTCCCGTTTCACAGAGGAGGCCTGGAGAGCTCACAGGATGTGTCCAAGGTGACACGGCTAGTTAGTGTCTGGCTGCATGGCCCACACTCTTAGCTTTACCTGACACTGCCTCTCACAGGGGAGACTGAGACCAGAGAGGCCAGCTTCACCCAGCCTGGGGGGCCTCTGCGGCCTAGGCCTATGCTCTGGGACCAGGGCTCATATTCGGGAGTGGAGGCTTAGCCCTTGGCTGCCTGAAGTTCTGGTGGGCCAGGGACATTGTTTCTTCCTGGGCTGGGTCCTCTGACATGTTAGGGTAAGTTTGAATGGGTCTTGACAGGGTTGACCCCAGCTTCGCCAAGTCCAGTCCCTGTCTGATCCATTCCACCCATTCATTCATTCACCCACCATACAAGCACCCATCTGCTCATCCACCCATTCCTTCACCCATCTGGCTATCCGTCTATCTTCTCACCCACTCATCACCTGTCTACCCATCCACCCACCCACCCACCCACCCGTCTATCCATCCATCTATTCATCCACCTACCCATGTAAGCACCCATCCACCCATCTACTCATCCATCCACCCCTCCACCCATTTAGCTATCCATCCACTCAACCACTCACCCACCCACCCATCCACCCATGCATCTACTCACTCATCCATGCTCCCATCCCTCCACCCATCTAGCTCTCATCCATCTGCTCACCCACCCACCATCCATCTACCTATGCCACCAACAATTATGGAGAAGTCTGCTAGGTGTCAGCCTCTGTTCTAGTTACCAGGATGCAATGAAGTACAAGGGAAGCCAGGTCTCAGTCCTCCCTTAAGTAGCTCATTCTGTTGAGGGCCAGCAATACTAATGACATAATCAGGCAAAGAAACAGACAATTACAAGTTGTAAATAGGGTTTAACCAAGGTTGTGAATGATAGGAGGTGCCGACTTTAGAGACAAGAAAGCCTTTTGGGGGTGGACATCTTAGCGGAGACCTAAGGGGTGGGAAGAGGCGGTCATCTCAGGGCCTGGGAAGAACATTGCAGGGGAACAGCCGGTGCGGAGGCCTGAAGCAGGCTGGGGCATGGCTGCTCTTGGGACCATCAGGTGGAGGGCATGGGTGAGGGAGAGTGAAGTGCAGCCCCCTCGTGGGCCGGGCGTTGGCTGTCGGGCCCTGTGGCACTGGCCGGGAGTGCAGGGAGCTGGTGAGTAGGGGTGTGGGTGACAGGCTGGGCTGACAGGATGCTCTCTTTGCCAGCAAAGGCCACCTGAGCGCTATCCTGGCCATCAAGGGGAACCTATCCAACAGTGAGGTCAAGCGCATCCGGAGCATCTTGGACGTCAGCATGGGGGCGCAGGAGCCCTCCCGGCCCCTATTTTCCCTTATAAAGGTTGGTTAGCTTTTCCTGTGGCCTGACCTGCCTGTGAGTGCCCAGCAAGCCTTGGGCACACCCCGCTGGGAGCTGTTAAGAGCAGCGCTGGTTCTCGGTTCCTCCCGGGTCTCCTGTGCTCTGATGCTACTTCTGCCTAGCCCTGGCGGAGGTGCAGGCCCTGTCAGCTGGAACTGGACAGACCTTGGTTTGTTTACATGTCCGATGGGGGCAGGAGCTCCCATCCTGGGCAGCCAACCAGGCAACACCAAGGACTCTTTGTAAACGATAGCTGATCGTGTGCACGCAAGGAAAGAACCAGGAGGGAGAGTGCAGCCAGGCTCAGGGATCCCCGGACACCTCTGTCCAGAGCCCCTCCACAGTCGGCCTCATGACTGTCCTCCTCGTGGGTGGGGCCGAGGGCCCTCTTCAGCTCTCTGGAGACAGGGGCCGAGCCTCACCCATCTGCCCTCTGCAGCCCAGGGCCGCCGTGAGCGGGATTCAGCAATGGTGGAATGGAAGACAGAACTGGAAGAGAAAGAAGGAAAAGATGAGCTCTCGTCTGGCAGGGGCTTTTAGGGTCCTGTGGCGAGCTGTGAGCACCGCCAGCATTAGACGTCACATCCAGGTGGCCCCACGGCCCCTACAGGCTGGCCCTGCAATGGGGCCCTGAGCCCTCCCTCTTCATCCCCCAAGGCCTCAACTAGAGGGTGGTCCCCCGAGGGCTTGGTGTCTACTACCGAAGGGCCCAAGACCTCCTGGGTCCTCTCAGGCTCCCCCTTCCCCAAGGCAGGGACAGGCCCTGGGGGTGCCACCGTGGGCCCTGCCACCCAGAAGTCTGGCTGAGGTCTGGGCAGGGGCAGGGCAAGCTTGACCTCTCACTGTTGACCCTTTGGCCTCTGTATTTGTTTCCTATTGCCGTGACAGGTTTCCACAAACTTCGTGGATCAAAACGAGGTCTTCCAGTTCTGCGGGTCAGAAGGCTGACCCGGGGCTCAAATCTGGGTGTCGGCAGTCCTGCACTCCTTCTGGAGGCTCTAGGGGAGAATTCATTTCTGGCCTTTTCATTTTTAGAGGCTGACCGTAATTCTTGACTTCAGGCTCCTCCATCTTCAGAGCCAGCTGTGGGTAGTTGAATCTTTTTCCCGTCACCTCATTGAGGCCTCCCCTCTCCTGCCTCCCTCCACCACTTTTTTTTTTTTTTTTTTGAGACAGGGTCTTGCTGTGTTGCCCAGGCTGGAGTGCAGTGGCCTGGTCATGGCATCAAGGCTCACTGCAGCCTGGACCTCCTGGTTCAAGTGATCCTCTTGTCTCAGTCCCCTGAGACAATCCCCCACGCCCAGCTACATATTTTTTGTGGATACAGGGTCTCATTCTGTTGCCTAGGCTTGTCTGGAACTCCTGGGCTCAAGGGATCTTGTAGCCTTAGCCTCCTAAAGTGCTGGGATTATAGGCATGAGTCACTGTACCCGGCCTGCTCTACCGCTTTTAAGGACGCTTATGATCACATTGCGCCTACCCAGAGAACCCAGGTCGTCTTTCTATTTTCAGGTCAGCTGATTAGCCACCTTAGTTCCATCTGCAACTTTAGTTCCCACTGGCTGTGTAACCTAACATAGTCACAGGCTCTGGGGACTGTCACGTGGACATCTTTGGGAGGCCGTTATTCTGCCCACCGCACCCTCCGTTCATCCCCTGCCCTGCCGGGCACCTCGCTCTACCCCAGGAAAATGTGAGCTCGTTTTCCTGCTCGGCATGTGCTCCCCCTAAGGCTCTGCTCCTCCCTGGGCCTGAAAGTTCCTTCTCAGCCTGAGAGGGGGCCCTTCGGACTCAGGCATGACTCAGCCCGGCTGATGCCTCTGCAGTGCTGAGTCAGGATTTGGGGCCGGCTCTCTTGGGTCCGTCCCCTTTTCCCAGGTACTGCCTTACAAAGCTGTGGCCAGGAAGTGGCCGGTATAAAGGATGCCCAAGGTCTTTGTACGTGTGTAGGAGTTAGCGTGTTTGATATTGTTAATATAATAATAATTATTTTTTAGAGTACTGCTTTTGTATGTATGTTGAACAGGATCCAGGTTTTTATAGCTTGATATAAAACAGAATTCAAAAGTGGCTGTGGAGTGATTTATTTTGGGAGCTGCACAATGATGGGGGGCCCAGCCAGGCAGCCTTAGCAGCTTTCTGAGCCTCTAGGGGTCCGGGCAAACCTACCTAGGTTCTGTGTCAATCCCCAGCCTGTCCCAGCCCCCAGAGCACCTCATGTGGTCCAGGCAGGAGATGGCCCACCATCCCCTCACTGTGAGCAGGAGCTTTGGAAGTGTCTGCCTGTAGGGCATGGACAGTCACTTCACCCTTCCGTGCCTCAGTTTCCTCATCTGTAAAAAGGGGACTGTGACCCTTTGGGGCTTCCTCCACCGTCCTTTACTGAGGAAGAGGGTGGGGTGGACACGGGGCAGCCATTTCAACCGCATGCACGGGACACAGAGTGGGAACTGACTCTTACCATGCTGGCATTGACCTGAAAGCTACAGCTGTGGACACAGGAGGTCTGGTTTGTATTCAGAGACGGGCTCAGCTGCCACGGAAGGGTGGGCCTCTCCGCAGCCAATCTGGCCTGGAATTTGGGAAGGAGCAGAGTCCCTGGAAGGGAAGAAGGGTACCTTGATGAACGTTGCACAGAGGCCGGGGAGGGCCCCAAGGGGAGCCGTGTGCACCTGAAGAGGGGTGTGGGCTTCAGCAGGGCCTGGGACAGCCCGGAGCTGGGGGTGGGGGAGGGCAGGCCCTTTCTCCTGAGTTCCATTCTTGGGGCCAAAGCGGATGGCATGAGGCCACCGTGCAGTGAGAGAAAGGAGGGAGACGAGGGCCAGGGGCAGTGCGGCTTGGCACGGAGACCCTCTGCCCGGCTCCTGGACCCGCCGGTCCATGTGGCTGCGAGGTCCTGGCCTGGTTGAGCCACGTGGGGAGCGTGGGCCTTGGGCGGGCGAGTTCCCGTTCCTCTCCTCGGAGCACAGGGTCAGGGGGAAGTGGGGGCAGCGCGACTCTCCCCTGCATGGCCCCCTGACCCTGGGCAAACGTGGGGAGAGATGGCGCCTGAGCCCCGATGGAAGCTGTCAGTGGGCCCTGGCACACATTCTCCCACGGGGGCGGACTTAGGTCCCAAAGTGACCCCCAGCCTCGCGGCGGCCAGGGCGGGCCGAGTCGTCGGAGCGCGGCGGGACCTGGGGCCAGGTGGACCCCCCTCCCCGGGCTGCGTCCACCCCTGGCAGAGGGGCGGGCTCCGGGCGCGAGGCCCCAGGCGAGGAGGAAGAGGGTGCGGGCGGCGCCTTGGAGGTTCCTGCTGTTCCTGCTTTTCGGGGCGGGGGCCTTCCGGGTCACTGTCCCGCCAGCTGTTGGATCTGCACCAGTAACTTCTCCAGGAAAATCCCCCGGAGAGGAGGATCTGCCCGGCGGAGGGGAGCGAGTCCCCCAGCGCGGGGACAGGGCGGGCGGAGCGGGGCCTGGGCCAGGCCTGGTGCCTTTGTGCAAGGACGGGCCCCGGGCTGCCCAGGCTCCTGTGAGCAGGGGTGGAGCGGGGAGGCCGCAGCCCCCGCGGAACACCGGGCGCCCCCGGCCTCCAGCAGTGGGAAGCAGCCCGGGGGCTGACGCTCCCTGCAGGAGCCAGGAGCAAGCAAACAAGCAGCTTGAGTGCAGGCGCGGGGACGGGCCGGGGGTGCCTGCGGGTGAAAGGGCGGCTCAAAGGGACAGTCGCTGGAGGCCCGGTCTTGAGGAGGTGCCTGGAGCAGACCCGGGCTGGGCGCTGCGGGGGAGGGAGGAGGTTGCGGAGGCCGGCGGGCGGGAACGGGGAGGAATTCCAGGTTTCAGGCAAAGAAAGACGGCAGGACTGGGGAAAAGGGATCCTGGACAGGAGACTCCGCAGGAGGAAGGAGGGGGCCGGTAAGTGGGCTCCTTCCAGCTGGGGAGCGGGGCTGGAAGGGGCTGGAGACGCGAGTTTCAACTCATGGGATTTATGGCTTGGAAAGACCCCTCTGCCCTTCGGGGGCGCTGGGGTCCCCAGGGGAGAGATGAGGGCGGCAGCGAGGGCCCCCTCGTGCAGTGAGATGGAGCGAGCTCTCGGTGGGCTGAGGGAAAGAGCAGCCCAGGGGCTTCTAAGAGACCGGGAGGGAACCAGGCTGCTTCCAGGGACAGGGAGGGCCTGGGAGGGGAGAAAGGGCTGAGGAAGCGCTTGGTCAAGTTCAGGGGGAGAGGTCCCTCCGCACTCGCAGTTGTGCCCTGTGTCACCACGATGTTGTTCCCAAAGTATTCTTCTGGTGTTTTTTTTATTTTTATTTTTTCCTTCTTTTCACAGGTGTTGACCCAAAGTATTTTCTCTCATGCCTGGCCACTCTGCCCTGGACCCTCAACCCAGCCGAATATGACACATCTCCAGAAACCCAGCAGGCGCAAGCCGCAGGGTTGGCCTTAAAATCCTGCTTAAACAGGAGACCCTGGAGGCCTGCTTCAGTGCCACCAGCCTAACCGCCAGGGCTCATCAAAGACGCTGCCCAGATGCATTGAACGTAAGCAAGATCAGCAAAGGTTTATCTCAACTTCAGACTCACTCCCAGAAACTCACTCTTGGGAGCTCTCTGTGGAATTGGGCCCCCCTTCTTCTGGTATTATGTTTTCAAAACTGACAGGGATATGAAAGAAAAACTTATCCAGGAAAGAAAATTGGGTTGAACATTTAACATCTCATTTAAGTCTTGCAATAATGGCTATATGTATTTTTGCTAAATAAATCTTCTATTAATCTTTTTTTTTTTTAAAGTTTGAGATGTCTGCAGAATGGGCATGTGGTTCATTAGAGTGACCAATACCCCGGTGAGTGACAACACTTTGTGTGCGAGGCTGCCGGCCGCCAGGCCCTCTCTCTCGCTCACTGCTTTGGGGGCATCATTTTGCACAGCCCCTGTGGAGGGTGATTTGGGCTTCCGGGTCAGGCTGACAAATGCAGGAACCTGTGAGGCAGCCATTCTCCTTCCAGGAATGTACCTTATCCATGCTCTACCAGCTATGCAAAGCAACTTGAGTGCCAGACTAGTCACTTCAGTTACAGTAGCAACATACTGGAAACTCCCTAAATGCCCATCGGCAGACACCAGGGAAATCACTGCAGTGCACCCAAACAATGGAGTACTATGTGGCGGTGAAAAAGAATGAGGAAGTTCTCTCTGTTCTCATGTTGACATTCAGGACACATAACGTTAAGTGGAAAAAAGCACAGTGCAGAGCAGAGTTTGTGGTGTGTGTGTGTGTGTCTGAGAGAGAGAGAGAGAGAGAGAGAGAGAGGTGAACAGGGTTGGATGGGGACAGAAGTTAGGAAGGAGGTATTTGGCCGTATAGCTTGTAAATTTTCATTATGAGGCATGTGAATGTGTTATATTATTAGCATTTTATAACTGAACATTTAACTGAGAAAATGAAAGTGGTGTTGCTGGAGATGGGAGGAGAGAGGAGGAAAATACTTTAGTGTCTCAGGGGTAGGCTCAACCAGCCATGTCCAGCGCCTCTTTGAAGTGGGTTCATCAGCAACCTGTGACTTGGCGTGAAGCCAAGTTCAGCGCTGAGGTGCAGACTGTAATCACAGGGCTGAGTTTAACCAAGACTCTGGTTTTGTCAGGCGATCACTATGGAGGATGATAGCTGAGCCGTGGGAGGGGCTTGCCAGGGAGAAGTCATACCGATGGGCGATACCCATACTGACTGCTGCTATACCCAGCAGTCCCTGGTCGCCCCCAGAACTCCCATCCTCTGACCCTGTGCTGCCTTGCAGCCCCTCAGCCCCCCATGCATGCCCCCCATGCATGCCCCCACCATCCCTGCAGTGAGACCCCGCAGCCTCCTGAGATGCCAGGTAAGCCATGCACAGCCAGGTGCTGTGCCTCAGAACTTGCTGCAAAGCTACTTATGCAAGGCGGGGGAAGCCGTCCTGGGAGGCTGTGCAGGTGAGCAGCCAATAAACAAGTGAAAAGAAACCCCCCTCCCTCCTTGTTTGTCTCTCCAGCGCCCTCTACTGACAGTGCACAGCACCGTGCCAGCAGGAGAGAGGGAAAAGTTCCAGAATCCCCAAGTAGGGCAGTGAAAGATGGGCTTGGGTCAGAGGCAGTAGATGGATAGCAGGCAGTTGCTTTCCATATGCACCCTTTTACACACGTTTAACCTTTTCTAAAAATTCCAGTAAATGCAATACATGTATCCTTCCCACAAGTGAAGATGCACTCACGCTGTCTCCAAAATGAGGAGACAGTGAGGACAAGGTGCCAATGGTTACTGTAGCCACTGTTGGCTCTGTTAATTACACCACAAATTCAACCACAGTCCACTGAATATCTTGTTACCTGAAGACTGAATGGTAACACTAACCTCCAAAAAATTGTGTGTACAATACAGATGCCAGCGAGAGAAAACAGGAAAATGGTTGGCATGTGGAAACAAACACGTGAAAACAAGCAAAGGAAACTAAGCAAAACTACTACACTCCTTGCTTCCGTGACAGTTGGGAGCCGAGGCTTGAAGTCCATGGTTCCTTCTCCCATCACTCATCCTGGATTTTCCCCTCCCTCAGCCGGGACCTCAGCTAGTTGGTGATCTTTACTTGATGAAACAACTAAAACTTTCATTTCAGAAGGTTCTGAGTCCTCAATTTTCCTGCCTTTCTATGGCTGGGGTAGTTTTCCATGAACCTTTTCTATTGGCCATGGAAATAGTCAGAAGTGCCGCAGAGAATGAATGCCCTGATTTCCAGACATAGTAGCAGCTGCCTGGTCTCCCAGGAGAATCAGAACCTATCACTGCAGTCAAGAGAGCAATCATTTTTTAGGTCTTTTGGTGTCATGACAGAATGAGCCCCAGATGGCCAGGTGGCGGCATCATCTTTCAATTTAATGAAACCATTGCTGTGTCTCCTGGTTGAAGGATGTTCCTCTCCGGGACTAAGACCTTCACATTAGCAGAGCTCAAAGTTGCTGCGACAGGAAGCAAAAATCCTGCCAGCTGGTTGTTATTGGGGGTAATAGTAAGTGGATCCCCCTCATATCAACTGGTTGCATGGAGTTCTAATCGGGGAAGAGGAGTCAGGCTGGGGGGAGCAGGGAAAGCAAAACAAACAAACAAAAAACAGATAAGCTATAAGCCTGCCTTTCTACATGGCCCAGGACACACAGAGCCCTCCTAAGCAAATAACTCACAATCTTCCTGTGCCCATCTTATCGCCAGATCCTCAGCCGATAGACAAGTGTCAGTTAGCTCGCTGCAACCTGGGCATTATCAGCACTGCGCGTGGCCCTCTCCAGCACAAGCACCATCCTATAAAATCCCCCACAAGTCTTTGTCTCCTTGTAGTCAGCTCCCCTTTTGCTGATCTGCCCATTGCTTTCTTGCAATGTATTTTCCTGTGTTCTCTAATAAGCCTGCCTGTCTTTACCTACAACTCTCTTGGTAAATTCCTTTATTGCATGCGCCACTGGTCCTAGTTAGTCACTACCTGTGACAGCTTGGTTTCTGGAGCCATGCATTTTGGCTATAAGGGAAGTAGAACCATGTGGTGGCCCCTGATTCAAAGCGTATATGGAATCCTGTAAAATAGAGTCCATCTTTCCTGGGTATTGCCACTCAGTCTTTTGCTGAGGCTAGCTCCTTCTGGGTGATAGAATAAGCAGTAAGATCAGTGAATTCCACGGCCACGAGCCACTGTGGCATTTCCTTGGTGGTGAAATGGGTTCCTTGGTCAGAAGCAGCCCTGCATGGAAGCCATGATGGTGAAAGGCATCACGTGAGGCTACAAGCAGCAGTGCTGCAGAAACACTCTGGGTAAGGGAGGCAAAGTGTGTCCCTTCCAGGAAGGTGAGTCTGTGTCCCCTCCATGATGGAAGAGACCAGGACCCACCTGCTACCAGATGCTGGCTGCTCTCTGTGGGGGAAGGTGCCATCAGGCACTCAGTGCTGCTCTCTGGGGTTGTGAGAGGGGGCTGCCAGCAGTGAGATTAGTCAGACCAGCCTGGAGAGATGAGCCCGTGTTGCTGGGCCCATGCGTAGCCTCCATCTTGGTCACCATAAATACATTGTTTGTGGGTTCATTGAAAAAGCGCTGGTGTGGCTAGGGAATTGTGTCCCCCCAAATTCATCTTAAAATCGTAACTCCCAATGTGGCCCTACTTGGAGCTAGAGTGTTCACAGAGGTAATCAAGTTAGAATGAGGTCATTGGGTGGCTCTAATCCAATACGACTGGTGTCCTAAAAAGGGGAAATTTGGAGACAGACACAGGGAGAATGCAGTGTGAGGATGGAGACAGATCAGGGTGCTGCTCCTGTCAGAGGCATTCGAACCAGAGTGACTCCATCTTGAATAGGGGCTGGGAAAAATGAGGCTGGGGCCTGCTGGGCTACATTCCCAGGAACTTAGGCATTGTTAGTCGCAAGAGTTTACGGTTGAGGGAGCAGATTAATAATGTTTACTAACAGACCTGGAATGTCCTGATGTCCCAATATCTTGAGAACGCAAGCATTCCTAGTTTAAGACGTTTTGTTTTAAAGATAATATCGATTCTTGTGAAAGATGGTAATTACAAAGATTAATCCTCTATCACAAACCCTTGTAGTAAAGCACATCTCCTATGATTTTCGTATCTTAAACAGGCATTGTACTTAGGCTGGGCTTGGTCCTCCTTTTACTTTAAGGAATGCCCTTCTCTGTCTATAGTCATTCTTTTTTTTTTTTTTCTTAAAAAATATATGTATATATTTTGGGGGCTCTATTTTACAGGATAATATATATATGTATGTATCTTTTGTATATATATTTGTGTTACAGGCCGAAAGAATGAGGGTGGTGATCAGTTCAGTATACCACTGGAGGCTCTATGAGTAAACAGCAAACTGTTTCTCATAAATGCGGAATGTTGGCAAACTGACAAACTGTGTCTGCCACCCAGAAGGGATGCTGAGGGCAGTCACTCCCCAAACGCAGTGTTTCTTGAGATTAGGTACATCTGAAGCCTGTTAGTAATAACATGAACCTGTTATCAATTAGCAGCCGACCAGTCATTACCTCCTCCTCCCTGCTCTTGCTACCCAATAAATATGAAGGGCTATGGAAGCTCAGGGGCTGCCTTTGTCCACTAGAAGCAGGGAGCTCTCTTCATCCTTCCCTGGACAGTTCCTTTCAAACAGTTTCTTTTGTCTTCAGTTTTCATTTCTACGTTTGTCTCTTCGTTCAGTCTTGTAATGACGGTCTCAAGTAGTAAAAGTAGTAATTGTTGTGGGGATGATCTCAAGTAGTAACCGTGGCAGTCAGCCACATATTTGTATATATATATTTACAGGATACAAATTATATATATATATATTTTAAGACAGAGTCTCACTCTGTTGCTCAGGCTTGAGTGCAGTGGCACAATCCTGACTCACTGCAACCTTTGCCTCCCAGGTTCAAGCAATTCTTGTGCCTCCGCCTCCCGAGTAGCTGGGATTACAGGCACACACCACCACACCCGGCTAATTTTTGTATTTTTAGTAGAGATGGGGTTTCACCATGTTGACCAGGCTGGTCTTGAACTCCTGACCTCAGGTGATCTGTCTGCCTTGGTTTCCCAAAGTGTTGGGATTACAGGCGTGAGCCACTGGTCCTTGTCAAAAATATATATATATATAATATATATTTTATATTTTATGTTTTATATATATAAATATAAAATATATATATTTTATATTTTATGTTTTATATATATAAATATAAAATATATATTTTATATTTTATGTTTTATATATATATATATAAATATAAAACAGGCGTGAGCCACTGGGCCTGGCCAAAATATATATATATATTTTATAGAGACAGGGTCTTACTATGTTGTCCAGGGTAGTCTCAAACTCCTGGGCTCAAGCAGTCCTCCTGCCTTAGCCTCCCAACATGCTGGGATTACAGGCATGAGCCACCATGCCCATCCAGGAGTAGCTATTCTTTCATTCCTTTACTCTCTTAATAAACCTGCAGCTAGGTGTGGTGGCTCACACCTGTAGTCCCAGCACTTTGGAAGGTCGAGGCGGGCAGATCGCGTGAGTCCAGGAGTTTGAGACCAGCCTGGGCAACATGGTGAAACCCTGTCTCTGTGAAAAATTTAAAAAATTAGCCAAGCATGGTGGTGTGCACCTGTAGTTTCAGCGGAGGTGGGAGGATCACCTGAGCCTGGGAGGTGGAGGTTGCATTGAGCCAAGATCACGCCACTGCACTCCAGCCTGGGTGACAGAGTGAGACCCCATCTCAAAAGATAAAATACATAGAATAAAACAAACTTGCTTTCACTTTGCACTGTGGAATTGCCTCTAATTCTGTCTCGTGTGAGATCTGAGAACGCTCTCTTGGGGTCTGCATTGGGGCCCCTTTCCAGTAACACTTCTACAAGCCAAGAAAGGCCAGAGATTGACAGAAAACTCCCACAGCTGGGAGACGGGCTGGGATGGAGTCTCCCTCACTTCCTCAGAAGGAGGCAATTCTGCTGACACCTTGACCCCAGACTTCTAACTTCCAGAACTGGGAGATGGCACGTTTTTAGGGCCTAAGCACCCGCAGCTTGCGGCACTTTGTTGCAGCATTCCTAGGAAACACACAGGGTCTGGCTGATGACTTCACAGAACTTCCTTCTTTTACCTGATTCAGCCTCTTCTGAAGGGGACACCCTTTGCTGAGCATTTATATGATGCGCAAATGTTCCTGTAGTCTGTGTCCATCTCGAGAGGCTGACCGCATACTTCTTCCTCAGACATCCTTGTTACCAAACTTCCAATCCTTTTCTTCCAGGTCCCCGAACATCCAACCAAACTGTTAGCAGCTGTTTCTAAGTGGGCACGGATTTGTACCTCTGGGCATCTCTCTGTCTGCATGTAGTGGACAGCCGAGTGAATGGCTCAAACTGTGCGCCTAGGGAGGGTTCCTTCGCTACCGGGGCTCGGCCGGTGGAGCTGTAGTACTCATGTCTACTTTTGTGGGAACTGGCATAGCATGCCGAGCCCTCTGTCACCAGGCTCGAGTTTCTTCCTCAGCCAACTGGGTGTGAGGAGTACCCGGGGAGGCTGGAGGCATGGATGGGGAAGGGAGACAGGGCAGCAGGGGTAGGTGCTGAGGGAGTCTGGGCCACCTGCCTTCCCTGTGAAGTTCCCATGCCGTCTGGACCCACCCCAGCTTGCCTCTACTGCGTACATGGACTGAGAGGCCACCGCTGCAGATCCCACGCCTGGTGGCTGGGTGGGTCCAACCATGCCCGGCCCCTAATGGGAACTAGGCTGAATGATCACCTAATGACACAGGGGTGGGCGTTCAGACTCGAATCCCAGTAGAAAGCGAGAAGCAGTTTCTCAGAAGGAAACTAGTTATCTACAGAAGAGAGCACAGAATTGCTCCACAATTCTAGAGGTCCGGACTGCAATTTTCCCATTGGCGCTTGTCATGGATATGTTGAGCAGCAGTGGCTCACAGGGCTGGGCGGCACAGAGGCTTGTACGCATAGAGCAGCCCAGGCCTGCAGAACCTCCTCTTGCTCAGCCTCTTATGGAAACTGGCTGCCTTATGGGGCACTCGGGAGATGGGTCATGGTAACACACTAAAATGTGTTGGGCCAGCCTGGTGGCTGACACCTGTAATCCCAACACTTTGGGAGGCTTAGGCACAAGGATTGGTTGAGGCCAGAAGTTTGAGATCAACCTGGGCAACATAGTGAGACCCCCAAAAGCCCTTCCAAGCATTTGCCTCTTTCTTCATAGTAGGTAGTGGGAGGTGTAGCAACTTGCCTTCACCTTAGAGTGAATATTTCAAAATTCTCCAGCCCAAATAACCCCCAAGAAGCTTAGAAATCACAGGTCTCAAATTTGGGGGGATTTATCCCCCATCTTCTAGCTGACATATGTTTTATTAAAGCTTCTAGAGGATGTGCTATTTCTTATCAGATCCAATCAGCTTTATATCACCAATGCAGGGGGCCAGTGTAGTGGTGTGTGGAATGTTAAATAATAAAGATCAATTTGGCCAGGCGCAGTGGCTCACGCCTGTAATCCCAGCACTTTGGGAGGCCAAGGCGGGCAGATCACTTGAGATCAGGAGTTCGAGAACAGCCTGGCCAACATGGTGAAACCCTGTCTCTACTAAAATACAAAAATTAGCCAGGTATGGTGGCCCACGCCTGTAATCCCAGCTACTTGGGAGGCTGAGACAGGAGAATCGCTTGAACCCAGGAGGCGGAGGCTGTAGTGAGCCAAGATCCCGCCACTGCACTCCAGCCTGGGTGATAGAATGAGACTCCGTCTCTAAATAAATAAATAAAGATCAATTCATAGAGATGGAAAGTAGAATGGGGGTTGCCAAGGGTTGGGGACAATGGGGATTTATTGTATGATGGGTGCAGAGCTCCAGTTTTGCAAGGTGAAAGGAATTCTGAAGATGGATGGTGATGATGGTTGCACGACAATGTGAGTGTGCTGAATGCCACTGAAGTGTAGACCTAAAAATGGTGAAAATCGTGAGTTTTATGTTATGTATGTTTCACCACAATTTAATAAATAAATACAAAGTATAAAGGAAAAAAGGAACTGAAGCATGGATTAAAATAAAGGATTTTCATGTTGTTTGACTACATTTTAGAAAGCAGTGTGTTAGGATCTTGATACTGTAAGAATGGTTAAGATACTAGCAGCATGGGTACTGCCGGGAAAGGTTTTAGAAAGTCAGAATGCCTGCCTCAGCTGGGTGCAGTGGCTCACACCTGTAATCTCAGCACCTTGTTAGACCAAGGCAGGCAGGTTGGTTAAGTCCAGGAGTTCGAGACCAGCCTGGGAAACACAGTGAGATCTCATCTCTACAAAAAATTAGCCAGCATGGTGGTGTGTACCTGTAGTCCCAGCTACTTGGGAGGCTGAAATGGGAGGATCACTTGAGCCTGGGAAGTGGAGGCTGCAGTGAGCTGAGATGGTGCCACTGCACTCCAGCCTGGGTGGCAGAGTGAGACCCTGTCTCAATCAATCAATCAATCAATCAATCAATCAGTAAAAAGAATGCCTTCCTCAGACCTACTAGATCAGAGTCTGCAATTGTACAATCCCCAGGTGACTCATACAAATTAAATATTTATCTGAGCTTTTTTTGAAGTATAAGATACAAACAATAAAGCTTACTTAAATACAAAAATAAAAGATAACAAAGCCCTTTCAGCCGGAACCGCCGTTTTCCAGTAATTCGCCAAAATGACGAACACAAAGGGAAAGAGGAGAGGCACCCGATGTATGTTCTCCAGGCCTTGTGGAAAACATGGAATTTTTCCTTTGGCCACGTACATGCGAATGTATAAGAAAGGTGATACTGTAGACATCAAGGGAATGGGAACTGTTCAAAAAGGAAGCCGCACAAGTGTCACCATGGCAAAGCTGGAAGAGTCTACGATGTTCCCCAGCATGCTGTTGGCATTGCTGTAGACAAACAAGCTAAGGGCAAGATTCCTGCCAAGAGAACTAATGTGCGTATTGAGCACATGAAGCACTCTAAGAGCCGAGACAGCTTCCTGAGACGCGTGAAGGAAAATGATCAGAAAAAGAAAGAGGCCACAGAGAAAGGTACCTGGGCCGGGCACTGTGGCTCACGCCTGTAATCCCAGCACTTTGGGAGGCTGAGGCGGGTGGATCATCTGAGGTCAGGAGTTCGAGACCAGCCTGACCAACATGGTGAAAACTCGTCTCTACTAAAAATACAAAAAATTAGCCAGGCATGATGGCACGCACCTGTAATCCCATCTACTTGGGAGGCTGAGGCAGGAGAATCACTTGAACCTGGGAGGCGGAGGTTGCAGTGAGCTGAGATCACGCCATTGCACTCCAGCCTGGGCAACAAGAGTGAAACTCCATCTCAAAAAAAAAAAAAAAAAAAAAACAAAAAAAAGAGAAAGGTACCTGGGTTCAACTAAGCTCCAGGCTGCTCCACCCAAAGATGCACACTTTGTGAGAACCAACAGGAAGGAGCCCGAGCTGCTGGAACCTATTCCCTGTGAATTCATGGCATAATAGGTGTTAATAAAATAAAAGACCTCTGGACTGTAAAAAAAAAAAGATAACAAAGATACCTGTGGACTATATTATAGCAGAAGCCAGGATTCATGTAGTTAAGACACGAAGGTGTACTGTTGGCCCTGACAGGTAAAAGCAAATTGTTTTTGCAAATTAGTATGGAAAATAAGACATTAGCTAGGCCAATAGCTGCATACCAAGTGCCAGGGGCCAGGTGGATTTGCACCAGTAAAAGTGCTACGTCTGGGACAGCAGCCGCGAGTGCAGTCAACCACCTGATCACGTTTATTACAGGTCACAGTCATTCTCCAAGGTTTGTCCAGCATTTGCATGGGTTGAGCTGGTGGGTTCTACGGCATGGGAATGTAATAGATAGCCACATCTCTGCTTCTTTCAAGCCTTTAGTGGTGGCATTAATCTCTGCAATTGCCCAGAGATGCAGTCAAGGCCAGGATGAGAGGGAAGCTAGTGAGGTACCAGGGCACAAAATGGAAGGATGTCAGGATGATGCCAGAGCTGAGCCTGCACTACATTCTGTGCCCAAGATGCCTTACTATTTTTTTTTCTTTTTTCTTTTTTTTGAGACAGTCTCACTCTGTTTCCCAGGCTGGAGTGCAGTGATGCAATCATAGTTCACTGTAACTGCGGACTCCTGGGCTCAACAATCCTCCCTCCTCAAAGCTCCCTCCCGCCTGTAGCTAGGGCTACAGGCCTGTGCCTCATTGTCCAGCTAATTAAAAAAATTATTGTAGAAATGGGGTCTTGCCATATGGCCCTGGCTGGTCTCAAACTCCTGGCCTCAAACAATCCTCCTGTTTCGGCCTCCCAAAGCACTGGGATTACAGGTATGAGCCACCATGCCAGGCCTATATGTTACTGCTAAGGAGACCCTCACTCCAAGGCTGTGCAAGTGCAGTGCTGAAATTTAACACACGAATTCACCGTTGGTGGGACTGTAACCTAGAACAAACTTTACAGAAGGCATTTGATAGCTTATTTTAAAAAAATTAATTCCGGCTGGGCACGCCTGTAATCCCAGCACTTGGCGAGGCTGAGGCGGGTGGATCACGAGGTCAGGAGTTTGAGACCAGCCTGGCCAACCTGGTGAAACCCATCTCTACTAAAAATACAAAAATTAGCTGGGTGTGGTGGCGAGTGCCTGTAATCCCAGCCATTCGGGAGGCTGAGGCAGGAGAATCGTTTGAACCTGGGAGGCAGAGGTTGCAGTGAGCCGAGATTGCGCCATTGCGCTCTAGCCTGGGTGACAGGTAAGACTCCATCTCAAAAAAAAAAAAAAATTAATTCCAAGGTTTCAAATTGTCACTTCTCACAAATTTGTTTTTTTCTGTGAATTTTAAATTTTTGATTTACGTTTTTGCCAGAGTAGTACATCAACATAGTTTCAAAAATCAAATAACAGCTCTAGAACTTATATTACAATGTCCATCCTGCGCCCCCTGCCACCACCACCCCAGGCAGCCCCTTTCGCCTCTACCCGTGTCTCTGGTCCTTCTTGAGTTTTAGTTTTGAATGTTCTGTATTGAGTTGTTACTATGTAGGTCTTGAACAATTCTTTTAAAACATATTACCAGGTTTTTCATAGTTTTAGGCAATATTGTGAATCAGACCCTTTCCCCCTAAAAATTATCTAACTAGGTCCTCAGTGTAAAATGTAAACCTACTGAGTTTTTCATATTTGTATTATAATCAGTGACCTTTCCAGATTGTGATATTTGTTCTAAGAGGCTTTTGGTTTAGTCTCTGATTTTCTGGGTGAACAATCCTGTCATTTGGGGGATTATACATTCATATATGCACTGTGTCACGTCTGCATAAGACACATGTACCCTGTCTAATGGCACGTATAAGATGCGTATAAACTGCTGGTATGCAATCAATTGTTTGTTAGGGGTGCCAACAAATGACCTACCGAGGCACAACCTGAGAGAGGCAGGCAGGCGAAGATCAAATATAATCGTCATTCCTGAAAAAGCCACTGTGAAGAATGTGGCTGTCATCTGCAGCCCTCGGCTATGTGAGCACCACCAGCGACAGACAGATGATTTAACGCAGATGTGGGCAGCAGTGCTTCCCCCCTTGGAGACATAAGAAGGAGAAACACTGAATAAATGTAACAAGTTAAAGCACAGAGAAATGGGCTTAATACCTTCACCCATCTGCCAGTCAGGTGAGTTCTCCTTCGCCTGGGATAGGGGTTGGAAAGGGAGAGACAGACGAGGCCAGGTCACGGCTCTGGCGGATCCTACACAGGGACAAAGCATGCTGGCACCCCGCTCTGCCCATGGGCTTCGTCTCCACATGGCATCTTGGAGCAATTCCTGTTTTTCTTTCTGTCTCTCTTTTTTTTGTTTTTGAAAGCAGCTGACAGTACTCCATTGTTTGGGTGCACTGCAATCCTTTCCCTGGTGTCTGCTCCTGGGCATTTAGGGAGTTTCCAGTATTTTGCTACTACAATTGAAATGACTTAGCCCGGGACTGAAGTCAGTTTATGGGTTTTTTCTGTGTGTGAGTTTTGTGTTTTTGTTTGTTTGTTTGTTTTGTTTTTTGTTTGTTTGTTTTGAGTTGGAGTCTCGCTCTGTAGCCTAGGCTGGAGTGCAATGGTGCAATCTCAGCTCACTGCAACCTCCGCCCTCTGGGTTCAAGTGATTCTCCTGCCTCAGCCTCTTGAGTAGCTCGGACTACAGGCACCTGCCACCATGCCCGGCTAATTTTTGTATTTTTAGTAGAGACCGGGTTTCACCATGTTGGCCAGGCTGGTCTCGAACGAACTCCTGGCCTTAAGTGATCCGCCTGCCTTGGCCTCCCAAAGTGCTGGGATTACAGGAGTGAGCCACTGCACCCGGCCACTTTGCATAGCTGTTAGAGAATGAATAAGATACATTCTTGGAAGGGGAATGGCTGGCTGACAGGTTCCTGCATTTGTCAGCCTGATCCATGAGCCCAAATCACCCTCCACAGGGGCTGTGCAAAATGATGCCCCCAAAGCCGTGAGTGAGATGGCCTGGCGGCCGCCATTATAAATATTAACTATTCAACTAAGATCAGATGGTAGCTGGAGGTGGGGGAGCAGGGAAGGATGAGAGGGATGGGTCACCCAGGCGCATGGTGAATCCTTTGGTGGTGGTGGATATGCTCATTATGCTGATTGTTGTGATACTTTCGCAAGTATATACACATGTGCAAATTAATTAAACACATACTTTACATATGTGCAGTTTATTGCATGTCAGTTATATCTCAATAAAGTTGTTTAAAAATCATAAAACATTAGTTTTTTGGTCCCATCAGATTGTCAAAAAAATAAACAAACAGGGTGGCCGGGCACGGTGGCTCACGCCTGTAATCCCAGCACTTTGGGAGGCCAAGGTGGGCGGATCACGAGATCAGGAGATCGAGACCATCCTGCCTAACACGGTGAAACCCCGTCTCTACTAAAAGTACAAAAAATTAGCCGGGCGTGGTGGCGGGTGCTTGTAGTCCCAGCTACTCGGGAGGCTGAGTCAGGAAAATGGCGTGAACCCGGGAGGCGGAGCTTGCAGTGAGCGGAGTTCGTGCCGCTGCACTCCAGCTTGGGCGACAGAGCGAAACTCCATCTCAAAAAACAACAACAACAAAAAACCAAGCAAGGTAATTGCCTCTAGTCCTGGCAACTTGTAAGGAAGCCAGCTCCCTATCTGTGAAAGAATGAATTGGCATATGGAATTAACTTTTGAACTATTCATTTGAAAAGTGTTTCTGTTCTTTGCGGAAGAAAAATTATATTGCTCGTCCTTCAGCTGTTATAACTAAGATCCTATTAATGCATTTCATTTTTGACTGGGTAAAACCGAATTCCATGGGTTTGCTTTTTGCTTCTCAGGTAACTAATGAATTTTCAGATCCTCTCCTTAAAAATGAAAATGTGCATTAACAAAAAAAAATCTAAGAGAGGGTTAAAGATTTCTCCTTTCCCCTGAAACCGTGGAGGAGAGATATTCCAAATGATAAAGGTTGATCACAGAATTTGATTGGATAAGGTGTGGAATTAAGACCATTTACAAGAGTATAAATCTTGTTTTCCTATAGGAAATTAGAACTTGTGTGAAACTTTGTAACTGTTATCAGCTTTCCAATCTCTTGATTACCATGAACTGTTATTGAAACAGAAGAGCCTTGCAGTGTTTCTAAGGCTTTAGAGTCTGAGGCCATGGTTTTTGAAAATAACTTCAAATAAAAACCTGGAATTCTGGCTGGGGGCGGTGGCTCTCACCTGTAATCACAGCACTTTGGGAGGCCAAGGCGGGTGGATCACCTGAGGTCAGGAGTTTGAGAAACCCTGAACTCCTTTAGTAGAGAAACCCCGTCTCTACTAAAAATACAAAATTAGCCGGGTGTGGTGGCAGACGCCTGTAATCCCAGCTACTCGGGAGGCTGAGACAGGAGAATCGCTTGAACCCGGAAGGCAGAGGCTGCAGTGAGCCAAGATCACACCATGGCACTCCAGCCTGGGCAAGACAGAACAAGATTTTGTCTCAAAACAAACAAACAAACAAACAAATCCTGGGATTCTGCTTGATTGTCTTGATAACCTGCTGCCTTAGTAGCCCTGTTATAATCACATTTCTGGATTCTTAAGCCATACAGGTCCCTGGGAGAGTCCTCAGAAAAACGAGATGGTTTGCATCCCTGCTGAAATGTTTTTACCTTAGTAAAGAGATTTCTTATCCTAGGCTGGGTGCGGTGGCTCACGCCTGTAATCCCAGCACTTTGGGAGGCCGAGGTGGGTGGATCACCTGACGCCGGGAGTTCGAGACCAGCCTGACCAACATGGAGAAACCCCGTCTCTACTAAAAATACAAAATTAGCCAGGCATGGTGGCGCACGCCTGTAATCCCAGCTACTCGGGAGGCTGAGGCAGGAGAATAGCTTGAACCCAGGAGGTTGTGGTGACCCAAGATCATGCCATTGCACCCCAGTCTAGGCAATAAGAGCAAAACACCTTCTCAAAAAAAAAAAAAAAAAAAAAGAGAGAGATTTTGTATCTTAATAAAGAGATATTGAACAGTATCTTTGAGGTAATAATTCTACTTGTAGGGAATGTATGTTATCAGAAATAATAGGACAAACCTTTGTCATTATTCATACAAGGATTCTCGTTGTAGGGAAAACTAGAAACTCCCAAACTATCCAGCAAGAAGGAAAGAGGAAAACAGTTATACTACACAATGCAGTGTGGCCATTCACACAAGGAGGCAGATCTGTTTCCACTGATCTGGAAAAGCATCCGTGACATGACATTAGTGAAAAATGCAAATTTGTAGAACAGTATCTGTGCAGAATGGCTGTGCTAATATAGATGCGTTGGCACCAAAATGTTCAAGGGGAAGGGGAAGGTGGCAGGATCCAATCTGTACTTCACGTAATCCTTTAAAATGTGTGGGATGGTGGGTGAGTCTTCTCTGTATAGATTTTTGCAAACAAGATGGTATTTTGCATAAATATAGTGGGGAAAGGCATTTAAGACATATTCATGCCTGTAGTGCTTGAGTAATTTAAAATTTCTTATTTTGATATTTAATTTGAACATTTTCTATAAGAAGTGCTTTTAAAACTAGAAAAAAATTTTTTAAAGTCTATATAATAAATTCCTACGGCTTTACTTAAATAAGGGTGCCTAGGATTTTTCTTGAGTATGAACCTGTCACATGGCTGGTTGTGTGCTGAGGCCAGAGGGTGGGACCTTCCCTGAGGGCCGGGCTGGGACATCTCCCCACGAGGTTGGTCAGTCCTTCTGCCAGCTCATCCATGAAGAGTTCAACCCAGGTCAGGGCCGGGCCCTGGCAGCCTGGAGGCTGAGCCTGGCAGGCCCTTCCCTTTTCAAAGGCCAGCACTGTCAGGCACTTTGGTCCAGACTCCAGGCCTGCAGAGGCACAGAGCGCACCAAGGGGGGCAGTGGGAGGGGCCAGTGTGCGACCCCCAGGACAGGCTGGGACCCCAGGACAGGCTCGGACCCCAGGACAGGCTGGGACCCCAGGACAGCCTCAGACCCCAGGACAGGCTCGGACCCCAGGACAGGCCGGGACCCCAGGACAAGCTCGGACCCCAGGACAGGCCGGGACCCCAGGACAGGCTCGGACCCCAGGACAGGCCGGGACCCCAGGACAGGCTGGGACCCCAGGACAGGCTCGGACCCCAGGACAGGCTGGGACCCCAGGACAGGCTCGGACCCCAGGACAGGCTGGGACCCCAGGACAGGCTCGGACCTCAGGACAGGCTGGGACCCCAGGACAGGCTCGGACCCCAAGACAGGCTCGGACCCCAAGACAGGCTGGGCTCAGGCTTCACTTGTCCTGTGTCCTCTGGGTTGCTCTGTTGTTCCACCATCCCTGATCCCACAGTAAAATCCTGTCACCCTCACTGCCTGGTTTCTGCCCCTGTTGGGGGTGAATGAGCAGCTTGTCCTGGGTTTGGGGCAGAGAGGCCTGAAGGAGGAGCCTGGGCTGGGGGCAGCCATGCTCATTTGGGGACAGGGCAGGCTTGGTCAGCAGAGGGGCTCCCCCCCCGGAAGGCAGCTGATTCTCAGGGTTGGGCAGAGTCTGGAACTTCAAGGGCAGGACCCATGTCCTAGGACCAACTCTGTCCACCCTCCCACATCCTCCCGTTGCCATGACCTTGGCCCCATCTCCGTCAAATAGCCTGGCCCTCATACGTGCAGGAGCCCTGGGGTCCTTCCCGAGCCCAAACATTTTTGCAGTGAAGGGCCCTGCCTAGCTTCACCCCATGCAGGCCTGGGCAGGGGCAACTCTGTCAGGTGCCCTCGGCCCCCAGGTCTTTCCCCTGAAAGCAGCGAGCATCTCAGTCGCTCCCACTGCATGGGTGGGTGGAGTTCAGAAGAGTGGGAGAGGAAGGGGAATGCTTACTTTTTCCAAAGCGATCCAAGGATTGTTCTGGAATTGTTTGGCAAGGGCTGTGTGGCCATGTGTTTTTCTAGATTCACTTAAAGAAAAAACAGTGTTGGGGTCCCCAAGGAAATAGGGCATCCAGGCTGCAAGGACAAAAGCCAGGTGGGCTGAGGGGCCGGCGGGGCCAAATCTGTCACGAGGAAGGGGAAACTGAGGCCTGGCCTTGCGGGCCCAGGACCTACCCTGCCCCTTTGCACTGAAGGGAGGGAAGGTCTGAGTCCCCGGGAAGCAGAACTGGGGCCAGCTGGGCAGGGGACAGAAGCTGGGTCACCCCTGGGATACCCAAGCAGAGTGACACAGCCCCTGGGACGGACTTGGCTGGGTCTCTCGTCGGCTCTTTTCTCTCCTGTAAGACGAGAACATGGAAAATCCTTCCCCAGGAGCGGGACGGCCCAGCACACTCCCCCATAGCTGGTGGCAACGCCCTGGAAGTCCCGGCTGTCACGGCTCTGCCTGCCCCTTTCAGATGCTGTCTCAATGACATGTGTCCAGGTCGAGCCTGTTCACCAAGCTTCAGCCCTCCCATCCCTCACCCTGGGGACCAAGAGACAGCTCCAGACTAGCCCAGTCTCTCCCGAGTGCTCAGGTGCTTCCCAGCTTCCTCCAAAGGCCAGCAGTCCCAGCGAAGTCCTGGGAAAGGCAGGACAGCCTCAGGCAGCTCCAGCGAAGGCTGTGACCACTACAGGGAGCACCTCTGCCAGGTGGTGGCCCCAAGGACTGCCCAGGACTGTGGGACACTCAGCTTCCCAGGGGGAGAGGCCCCGGCCCACTGTGGGCAGCACAAACTGGCTGTAGAGGAAGCTCTGGGGGCTATGGGAGCCCCTACCCCAGGGCACGCGGGGACTCAGCCAGGTCCAGGCCTTGCGGGAGGCTCTCTGGGGAGTTGCAGAGGCGCAGTTTCCCTTCCGCGGAGCTGCTTTCTCACCCTAGTGGTGGGACAAGCCCTCTCCCGGGTCCATCCCTTCCCTGCCCCTTCACCCAGGTCCTGAGTACTTCTTCTGAGCCACGGGTGGGTGATTTATGACCCACTTCTCACTACAGAGGAGGCGGGGCAGCTCGCTAACACCAAGCAATGCAAAAAGTCAGTGCGAGGGAAACACAGACTCCAACGTTTTTCACCAAAGTGCTGGTTGAAACACTTTTGAAATCTGGGAAGTCTTGTAATCATGTCAACATATAACCTTCTTTTTAAAAAGCACGAGTTTAGTGGCATGGGCCTGTGGTCCCAGCTACTCAGGAGGCCGAGGTGGGAGGATCGCTTGAGCCTTGGAGCTTGAGGCTGCAGTGAGCCACAGTCGCAGCACTGCTCTCCAGCCTGGGTGACAGAGCGAGACCCTGTCTCTGAAAAAAATTTAAAAACTTGGAGCTTCCGTCGGACGATCCCCTCAGATCAAGGCACCGAGTTACTTTTTCCAAGTTACTTGGAAAGATTGGCCCTTTGGGTCTTGCATGAGAACTCCATTAGATGAGACCCAAGCAGCATCAAGCCTAGGGTTAACTTTCCCTACTCCTGAGCTGAGACCCCTCTGAGGACCCTTACCAATGCCAGGTGAAGCACGAGTTCTTCCACTCTGGCTGATGGGAACAGGCAACTATTCCCAGCCTTGGGTGAGCACCAGACACTGCGACTTCTAATCCTTTGCGGTGGTTCTTTCCCCAGGCTCAGGCAGGTTCCCCTTACGCACGTACTGATCGGTTCTCGGCTGAACACTCGTGGGAACCTTCTGCAGACCTCCGGCTCCCTCTGTGCAGCGCTCTGTCCTCCTGCTCCGCCCTGTGGATCCTGCCACCTAGGCTTGCCTGGACTCCCAGCTGGCTGTGCTCCGCTCAGGAGGAGGCTGGTCCCGTCTCCTTACCCCATGGCCTGGAGACTCTCCACGCGGCTAGCCGGGCATCTCAGGGCTCACCCCACTTGATTCCCGTTTTCCTTCATTGCCTGACGCTCAGTGTCACGAAAGCTCGTCTTGTAGATTTTTCTCTTTCTCAGGGTTGTTTTTTTTTTTTTAGAGAGAGAGTCTCGTGCTGTCACCCAGGCTCTTGACAGAGTCTTGACAGAGTCTTGTTCTTTTACCCAATGAAGTGCAGTGGTGCAATCTCGGTTCACTGCAACCTCCACCTGCCGGGTTCAAGCAATTCTTGTGCCTCAGCCTCCCGTGTAGCTGGGACTACAGGAGCACACCACCGTGCTCTGCTAATGTAGAGATGGGGTTTTGCCGTGTTGGCCAGGCTGGTCTTGAACTCCTGGCCTCAAGTGATGTGCCAACTTGGCCCCTCAAAGTGCTAGGATTAGAGATGTGAGCCACGCCCAGCCTCAGGTTTTTCAGTTGTTTCAGAGCAGAGGGTAAACCTGGTCCTTGTCCCATTTTGACCAGAATCAGAAGTCCTCTTTGTAAACCAAAAATACAATTCTGAGGCTCCCCATCCATCAGAATGGACCCCACCTCTCAGCCAGGGCACTCCAAAGCTAACCTGAAAAACTGGTTCAGACCATGCCAGGAAGCAGGGTGGGACATGCCTCACGATGCCCTCCTCCCTTTGTGAGTTCTGGAAAAGCCAACCAGTGTTTAAGATCAACACAGACCTTAAGCCTGATAAGAAGTATTTACAAGCTATTCTCTCTGAAGCCTGCTACCTGGAGGCTTCATCTGCAGGATAAAAGCTTTGTCTCCACAACCCCTTATCATAACCCAGACATTCCTTTCTATTGATAATAACTCGTTTTTTTTTTTTGAGATGGAGTCTCACTGTCACCCAGGCTGGAGTGCAGTGGCTCAATCTCAGCTCACTGCAGCCTCCGCCTCTCGGATTCAAGTGATTCTCCCGCCTCAGCCTCCCAGGTAGCTGGGATTACAGGCGCCCACCACCACACCCAGCTAATTTTTGTATTTTTAGTAGAGACAGGGTTTTGCCATGTTGGCCAGCCTGGTCTTGAATTCCTGACCTCACGTGATCTGCCTGCCTCAGCCTCCCAAAGTGCTAGGATTACAGGCATGAGCCACCACACCTGGCCGATAATAACTCTTTCAACCAATTGCCATCAGAAAAATTTTAAATTAAGTCTACCTATAACTTGGAAGTCCCCCACTTGAAGTCGTCCCGCCTTTCTAGGCTGAACCAACGTATTTCTTACATGAATCTGATTGATGTCTCAGGTCTCCTGAAATGTATAAAACGGAGGCTACGCCCTGGTCCCCTTGGGCACAAGGGCTGGGTCATGGGCCATGGTCACTTATATTTGGTTCAGAATAAATCTCTTCGAATCTTTCACCGAGTTTGACTCTTTTCGTTGACATCTTATGTGGTTTAAAACTGTGAGAGACTGTCTTAAAATCTGAATTGAGTCTGTTTAACTGAACTGTCAGAGATTACCAGTGACTTCTGTTGCAACAGGAAGATAAGACAGTGAACCGTTTTGTTTTTAACTATTTCTTTCTTTCTTTTTTTTCTTTTTTAGACAGAGTCTTGCTCTGTCGCCCAGGCTGGAGTGCAGTGGCACGATCTCAGCTCCCTGCAACCTCCACCTCCCGGGTTTAAGAGATTCTCCTGCGTCAGCCTCCCGAGTAGCTGGGATTACAGGCACCCACCACCAAGCTTGGCTAATTTTTGAATTTTTAGTAGAGACAGGGTTTTTTCATGCTGGCTGGGCTGGTCTTGAATTCAAGACCTCAAGTGATCTACCCGCCTTGGCCTCCCAAAGGGCTGGGATTACAGGTGTGAGCCACTGCGCCCGGCCTGTTTTTAACTATTTCTAAGTTTTCACAGGTCTGCGAAGAACAGGCATTTAAGGAGAGAAATGCAAGAGTTCTCTGCCGCTGAATTCCCCCACCTGGCACATGATATGAGGTGTGTGCATGTCGGGACAGTTACAAAGCCTCACTCAACACGAAGTCAGGATCTCTTCCTTCTCCTTGGCTGCCAGGAGTCTGGGAGAGCCGAAATGACAATTTAGAGCAAGAGTCCATCCACTTTTGCGTTCCCTCCTGGCCACTGAAAATCCGCCGTGTTCTCCCCACAGGAGCAGGGGATCCCAGTGCTGGGTTGTGCTGCAGAAACCCCCAAGGGGTCTCCTCCAGGGCCCAGATGCTGGCGCAGCCCTAGCCCCAGCCCCAGCAAATCAGAATAATGGGGATGTTGAATAAAGACCCGAGTTTTCAACACCCCGTCCCTGCCTGCAGTGATTCCGATGATCAATCAGGCGCGAAGCCCAGAGACCCAGGAGGACGAGTCACTGACTGGGCCATGAGACAGGACCCCACAGCCTGCATCCCCACAGCCTGCACCCCGACAGCCTGCACCTCAACAGCCTCCTGCCTGCACCCCTACAACCTTCTGCCTGCACTCCCGACAGCCTCCTGCCTGCACCCCCCACAGCCTGCACCCCAACAGCCTCCTGCCTGCACCCCCCCACAGCTTCCTGCCTGCACCCCCCCACAGCTTCCTGCCTGCACCCCCCCACAGCCTCCTGCCTGCACCCCCCCACAGCTTCCTGCCTGCACCCCCCCACAGCCTCCTGCCTGCACCCCCCACAGCCTGCACCTCAATAGCCTCCTGCCTGCACCCTGACAGCCTCCTGCCTGCATTCCTGCTCACTTCTCCAGTTCCAGTGGAGGCAAAGACTCTGACCCGTGAGTTCTCCAGCACTGAAACCTGTGCTCCCAGCTCCCTGGGGAGGAGGCTGTCCCTGCAATGACCCCATCCTAGCTGGGCTGTGTCATTCTTACAGAGGGTAATGGCTCTACCTGCATTCCTGAGGTTTCTCAGGCTCAGGACCTGTGGAAAGTGAGCCATAGAATCTGCTGGCATTGCAGAGAGGAAAGCCAGACAGCCAGGGTCACAGCCACTGTGACGTCCACCCTCGGAGTCCTCTGTCTGCCACTCTGAACACAGGGTAGAAGCAGTTATTGCAAAACAAATGCCACTGTCCTGTCCAAAAGTGAGATGGGTTTGGTTCCCTACAAAACCTCCCGCAGTGCATGCTAGGAAATTTTGGAGGAAATACCAAACGTCCTTTCATTCATGGCTGAGAGCCTAATCAAGGGAAAACTCTATTGGCCAAAAATGAAAAGGAGCTGCAAAGCAGGCACTAAGCTGACACAGATGCTACAGTGGCCCTGGGGAGATTTGCTAGGCCAGGTAACCAAGACACTTCCATTTCAACGGCCATATTAGGATGGGGAACCAGGCCTTGTTCTGTGAAAGGTTAGCACTGACACCCCTGAATGAAGCCCGTAATTGTGAAGGGCTCTACTCACAGTGGAACTGGTGGATTAAGAGGGAAAAATTCCTTTTTCTTTCAAAAAGTGTCAAGGATGAAGCTTGTCTTGGTTTGATCTCTGGAAAGAGAAAAGTCTCTGTAACTTGGAAGCCAAGGCCAGTCTTCATGTCAGCATGCAGCTCAAACTCACCCCATGTGCAGTTTTAGGAACTGCAAGCTAAGACTCTGACAGGGAGGTGTGGGTAGCCGAGATGACCCTGTTTCTAGCTTCTGCACATGATGCTTTACATCTGGGGTCTTGATTAGCCCGTTCCTAGAGAGTAAAGGACCAGCCTACACGCACGCCACCATACGGCAGCCACCAAACCAGAGCTCCTACCCAGCCACCTCCTCTACTGGCTCTAACACTCTGGGCCCGTCTCCACCTGTCCTGAGCACCCTAGAACCAGGTACCAGACATCTAGGGGCAGTCCCTATGTGCCAGAGCCCGTGAAATTATTTTATTCATGCGTGGCAGTCTTAAACCATTCATCCTGCCTCACGTGTTCCTTCCTGCAGAAACCCTGATAAAGGCTCTTGCCCATGTTTTTCTGCCCTCTCTGCCTCCTGACAGATCCTGGTACTTCCCTGTGTGGCCCCTCTGTGGCATGGCCCCTGCTCTTGGTACCTGTGAGTATAACAAACTATCTTTTCAATAGTATTGATGTAGGATATTTTGCTCCTTAGTTCAGCTAAATCCAGGTTCTTGTCTCACGACCAGGAAAAATTAGGCACATGGACATATTGAAGGGTGAAGAGAGTGGAATTTATTAAGCAAAAGGGGAACTTTCAGCAGAGAGAGGGGTCCCACCAGCCAGCTCCTACCTCACAGATTGAATACCAGGCCACCATGCACAAGCTGAAGAGGCCAGTCTCCTTCCCAGCATAGGGCATGGATTCCTGAAGGCTCCATCCCTTTCTTCCAGTGCGCATGTGAGCCGTTAGTCTGAGCCACACCACATTGATTTATTTCCCTTACTGCGCATGTGTGAAGGGATGGAATTTTTCACTGAGGGCATGTTTAGGTGAGCCCCCTGTGCACAGTGACCTGGACGGGTCGGAGGGTCTCTGAGGACCTTTCCTTATCGGCCTAGGCATTTGGCTGTCTACTGCTTCTATCAGTATAACAAGCTATCTTTTCAATTTGTTTGTTTTCTAAAACAAACAACCAAAAATCTCCTACATTTTAAAGCAGTAAGAAGTTCCCCAGGAGCTTCACACAAAGGGTGAAGTCTATGGAGCAATGTATCTTCAGTGTAGACAGGCTGCCAGGATGCCCTTGGGCACAGCTCCAGTGAAGGGGAACCCATGAGCCATGTTATAGATCGGAGAGGGCACAGACACCTGAGTGACTGCCTTTAGACAAAAAAATGGACTGGGGACGTCTGAAATTTCCAACTACAGGATGACTTGATAGATACACAAAGTTAATATTTAAAGGACAAAATACTATGTTTCATTTGTCATGTTTAAATTCTATTAAAATACTAGAAAGATGGGAAATAACTAAATAAGACTTTTAAAAACAAAAAAGTATCATCACTGAAATCAAATACTTCTGGACACGTAGAACATAATTTTGGACACAGTGAATTTTGGACACATGAACTGCAAGAAAGATCTGAAGTGAGACTCGGGATACAGAATAGAAGTACCGGGGCACAGAGTCCAGTCCAGCAGAATGGAGACTAATTCTGTGGCCCGGTGGGTGTGTTTCTGTTGTCTCTGGCCCCTCTTTGTCCTGGCTTCCGTCCTTGGTGTTTGGACAGAAGCCCCACCTTGTACTTGAACATAATCATGATAGGGACAGGAGGCGGGGAAATTCTGGGCAGAAGAGGGTGAGTCCCCAGTGAGGGCCTCACCCTCAAGCCTGGAATTATAGCCCAAAGTAAGAACATGCATTCCTGTTTTCCCACTCAAATGTTGCTTTTTCCAAAACCACCCATGGCCCACCCCCACCCCCATCCTGCACCCATAAAAACCCCAGGCTTCACTGGCTCCACCAGCAAAGAGCAGAGAAGAGGAGAAGCAGCTGGACATTGGAGACTATGGTTGGACATCAGAGGGAGGCAGCTTGACTTCAGAGGGGCAGCTTGATGGTGTTGCTTTGGAGAGGAGTCCAGCTGGAGATGGCTAGACTTGGGGAAAATCACCTTCCAGCTCCATCCCCTTGCCAGTTCTCCTTCCTGCTGAGACCCACTTTCACTGGCAATAAAATCCTCCATGTTCACCACCCTTCCATTTGTTTGTGTGACCTGATTTTTCCTAGATTCTGAACAAGAGCTCAGATACCACGAGTGCACATGCAAAAGGCTGTCACACTGACCCTCTGCCCTCACTGGTGGAAAGCAGCCGCCTCATGCGAAAAGGCAGAGGGTCCACTGAGCTGTTAACACTTAAACCATCTACGGATGGCAGAGCTGAAAGAGCATTGACTGTAACACTCCTTCAGGGACTTTGGGGGTCATGGGTTCCCCCCACAGATGCTGCCACGGGGCTCCCATGGGGTTTTGCTCCTGCTGGCACCCAAAAGCACTCACCCCGGCTCCTGCACCTGCTCACCTGCATGCTCCCTCCCACGAGGGGTTGAGCACAATGGGTTCGAATGAGTGGAGTTTGTCCCTGCCGGCGCCAAAGTGGCCAGCTAGCTCCAGTGCCCACACTCCAGTTCCCGCCTGTGAAGGGGTCAGGGGAAATTTCCTGCTCATTTATGGGGCCTCATTTGGGATACGTCAGCAGGGTGAGTAAATGCGAATCTGCCAGATCTGTCTCTTCTTGTCCTCAGACTTTGCTCTGAGCTATGCCACTTGCAGGGGAGAGGATGCAACCCTGCCATCTCTCTCTTTCTTTTACGTAAAAGGAATGTTGGCTCTGTTCCCTTCATGGAGATCTAGCCATTGCCTGGGACTGGAATAAAGTCCTGGGGCCACTGAAGGCATCTGGTCGAGGCCATACCTCGGTGTTGCCAGAAGGCCCCAAGACTGTACCCAGTTCCTGACTGCCCATCAGGGGGCTGGCCAAGACCCCCAGAATTTTCCATGGTATCTTTCCTTTCTTCTTTCATGGTTTGAAATAGCTCCTATCTCTTCTGTCATAATGTTAAGGGTTTTGCTGCAAACTGCAGAAATATTGCTAGAGCATTTGGCCCAGCAGTCAGATATGCAATTCAGGACAGTGTGATTTCCACTTGTCCTTAGAGGTGCCGTCCCCATCCCCAGCCCAAAAGCCACAGGCACGTGTGGCACATGGTGGCCCCCTCCTCACCCCCCTCCCTTCCTGGCTGGGGTGCTTGGGCATGTCTGCGGCATGCACATGCCATGCCACCAGCCATGGGCAGTGAGAGAGAACCATGGCTGCTGCCAGGGCCCCAGGGCAGTCTTGAGGGCAGGGACCCCGTGCAGCCTGCTGGCCAGTGTTTGCCACTCGCCGCCCCCCCTGCCATGTGCCCATAGAGTCTTTCCTCCCCTGGCCAGGGAGTTCATCTCGGTCCAAACCGTGGAAGGGATACAATGATTAAAGGAACCCGTTTGCAGAGAGCAAGAGGTTCCTCCCACAGCTGTTTTTTTCTTTCCTTTTCTATGCAAGAGGGTTATTTTCCTGCCTCAGCACTCCGCTTATGATGGGGAAACAACCAAGGAGCCACCCCCACCGGCTAATAACTGCAAGTTTGGCAGGGCCCATCGGGGAGTCCATCTAAAGGGACCCATGCACCCCCTCAGACACCTTTTTGTTCCAAACTCGATTCCAAGTTTTGGGCTGAAGCCCTAGAAAGAAAAACCAGATCTGAGGGATCCAAAGCGAGGCAACGGGCACAGTGTAAATGGTCAGGACAGATTCCTGCTGGCTCAGCCCATGCTTCATGGAAGGAGGCCATGCTCCATGGCATAGATAAGGCCCAGGGAACCTGAGGGCTGCCGACAGTAGTGGGGGGTGGAGATGTGGGTGAGTGCAGACAAGTCCTGTTGTGTAGGCACCCCCTGCTTCACAGGTGCGGGCCATAGTGGCACCTGTGGGTGGTATCTGTCTAAAGGTCGATGGGTCTCAGGGATCAAAAAACAGAAGAGAAAAGGGGGATGCTTGCTTTCTCTCTCCCTCACACCCCAAGTTTTTGCCGAAAGAAGGAAGGGAAATGAGGAATGCCTATTTCCCTGTCTTTCCCTGTCTTTCAGAACCAGCTATCTTCACCACCCCCAGTCTATACTCCTCTGGAGTGTATACTGAATCACTGGGACTGCTTTGACCCTCAGATTCTGGAGGAAAAACACCTCATAGTCCTCTGTACAAAGGCTTGGCCAAATCATGATCTGCAGGAAGGTCTGGCTTGGCCTCAGGAAGGAACCATTCATTTTGATACCATCCTGAAGTTGGAACTTTTTCCGTAAACATGAGGGCAAATGGTCTGATGCCCCATATGTGCAGGCTTTCTTTACCTTGCAGGGTAATCCAGACCTTTGCCGACAGTGTAGGATTGATCCATCCCTCCTCTTTGCCATCTCAGGAGAGGCTGCAAGGGGCAATCCCAGGGAACTATAGAAATGAGCCCCGGAGGCACCTCCAGCAGGGGAGCCAGCTCCCACCAGCCCTGCTCCTCCCGATCCACCCGGTCCTCCCTCTTCAGCTTCTCTCTCTCACTTGCCCCCTCCTAGAAATCCTCACCCTGGGCAAGCCCCAGTGTCACACTTGCCCCTCCAACAGATGCTTGGTGAATTTGGCCCCCATGAGGTCCAGGTCCCCTTCTCTCTACAGGACTTAAAGCAAATCAAGGGAGATCTTGGCAAGTTTTCAGATGACCCTGACAGATATATATAAAGGCTTTCCAGAATTTAACCCAAGTATTTGAACTCTCCTGGAAAGATGTTATGTTAGTTTTCAATCAAACCCTGAGTAACAGCTGAGAAGCAGGAGGCTCTGCAAGTGGCAGAGGGGAGGGATTTGGGGATGAACTTTGTATCACATATAGTGTCAGGGAAGGGGTCAAACTTTATCCAACTGGAAGAGAAGCAGTAGCATTGGATGACCCTAAATGGGATCCCCATGATGACATGGGAGAATGGAAGAGGAGACACTTTCAGGAGTGCATAATGGAGGGCTTACATAGGACTAGCACTAGGCCTCTCAATTACACCAAGCTATCCATGATTGAACAGGGATTTGATGAGAATCCCACTGCCTTCCTGGAAAGGCTAAGGGAGCCCTTGGTAAAGCACACCTCTCTATCTCCTGATTCAGTCAAAGGAAACTAATCCTAAAGAATAAATTTATTACTCAGGCAGTCCCTGCAGAAACAGGCCCTGGGATCAGATAGTACTTTAGAGAACCTCCTGAAAGTGGCCACTTCAGTCATTTATAATAGAGACAGGGAGGCTCAGGAGAGAGAGAGAGGACGCGCAGGAAAGAGGCAGAGGCTTTAATGGCCACCATGCAGGTCCACAAACCCCAGAATTCCTGAGGTTCAGCTGTTAACTGCTACAGACGTGGCAAGCCAGGGGATTTTAGAACGAATTGCCCTGGCAGCATGAGGAAGCCACTTCGTCCCTGTCCAATCTGCAATGGGGACCACTGGAAAGTGGATTGTCCCTGAGAATGCTGGTCTCTGAGTCCAGAGCCAATCTCCCAAATGGTCCAGCCAGACTGACAGATCCTGGGGCTCCTCTCCCTGGCTCTGGTGGTCTAGACCACCATTAGCATTCAGGAGCCCTGGGTAATCCCGGAAATCGAAGGAAGGAAAGTGGACCGCATTCTGGACACCAGGGCTGGTCTCTCGGTTCTCCTCTCCAATCTGGGTCCCTTTCCTCTGTTAGCACAACCGTGAGAGGCATCTCAGGAAGACCTTTAACCCAATAGTTCTCCCAACCCCTTAGTTGTAGTTGAGGAGACCTCTTGTTCACACATACTTTTCTAATTATGCCTGAAAACCCAACTCCTCTGTTGGGCAGGGATATTCTGGCCCATATGGGGACCACCATCCTGATGGCCCCAGGACAAACTCTTTATCTCCTCCTTGTGGAGACCAATATTAACCCAGAAGTTTGGGCAATTCAAGGGAAAATGGGCCAAGTTGGCTGGGTGCCGTGGCTGACACCTGTAACCCCAGCACTTTAGGAAGCCGAGGCAGACGGATCACCTGAGGTCAGGAGTTTGAGGCCAGCCTGGCCAACATGGCGAAACCCTGTCTCTACTAAAAATACAAAAATTAGCTGGGTATGGTGGTGCACACCTGTAATCCCAGTTACTCGGGAGGCTGAGACAGGAAAATCGCTTGAACTCAGGAGGCGGAGGTTGCAGTGAGCCAAGATCATGCCACTGCACTCCAGCCTGGGTGACAGAGTGAGACTTTGTCAAAAAAAAAAAAAGAAAAGAAAGAAAGAAAGAAACTTGGCCAAGCCACAACTGCCATACTGGTCTGGGTCCACCTTAAGTTCTCCTTTTTTAACCAGAAATAATATTCCCTGAAACCAGAAGTTAGAAAAGGACTAGAAGCCATCATTGATAACTTAAGGTTGCAGGGCCTCCTCAAACTCTGCAACAGCCCTTGTCATACCCCAATATTGGGGGTACAAAAACCCAACGAGGAATGGAGACTAATTCAAGACCTCCACCTCGTTAATAAGCCTGTGGTTCCAATTCACCTGGTGGTTCCCAATCCATATACCCTGCTAGGTCAAATACCTGAAGGAACTAAATGGTTTACTGTCCTGGACCTAAAGAATGCCTTCTTCTGCATATTGTACACCCTTTCAGTATTTGTTTGCATTTGAGGAGCCCTCTAACTAAAC
Source organism: Homo sapiens (assembly GCF_000001405.40). Classification (NCBI taxonomy): domain Eukaryota; kingdom Metazoa; phylum Chordata; class Mammalia; order Primates; family Hominidae; genus Homo; species Homo sapiens. Next base: position 103,168,402 of record NC_000014.9, read on the forward strand.
CACTCAGTTGACTTGGACAGTGTTACCTCAGCGGTTCTGCCCACTTGTTTGGGCAGGCATTGTCAAGAGACCTCTCCAAGTTCCTTTATCCTCAGGTTAAAGTTTTACAATACATAGGTGACATTCTCCTCTGTGCTCCAACTGAGGCAGTCTCTCAGGAGGGCAGAAAGGCTCTTCTTAATTTTCTGGCTAACAGAAGATATAAGGTTTCAAAATCTAAATCTCAGCTCTGTCAGACTTCAATGAAGTACCTAGGCCTGGTCTTATCAGAGGGGACCAGAGCATTGGGTGAAGAGAGGATTAAATCCATCTCCTTCTTTCCCCTCCCCCAAACCCTCAAGGAACTAAGGGAATTCTTAGGCATTACAGGATTCGTAACTGGGTACAATGAAATAGCTGGGTATAGTGCATAACTGGGTACAGTGAAATAGCTCGTCCCTTATATCACCTAATAAAGGAGACTCAGGCAGAAAAAACTCACTGTCTAATTTGGGAACCAGAGGCTAGAAAGGCCTTTGACCAACTAAAGCAAGCCCTGCTTAAGGCACTGGCTTTTAGTTTCCCCATAGGGAAGATGTTTAATCTTTATGTGTCAGAAAGAAAGGGAATGGCCCTGGGAGTTCTAACAGAGGCCCACAGTCCAGCCCAGCAGCCTGTAGACTACCTAAGTAAGGAACTTGATTTGATAGCCAAAGGATGGCTAGCCTGCCTCTGGGCAGTTGCGGCAGTAGCCTTGCTGGTACTAGAAGCTACTAAGTTAACCATTGGGAATAACGTAACTGTTTATACCCCACATAATGTGGAAGGACTGCTGTCTTCTAAGGGGAGTCTCTGGCTAACAGACTACTGCTTCCTCAGGTATCAAGGTCTGTTATTAGAAGGATCTGCAGTCAAATTAAGAAACTGTCTCTTCCTAAATCCAGCCACCTTCCTCCCAGAGGAAGCTGGGGAGCTTGAACATGACTGTGAACAGATAGTAGTACAAATCTATGCAGCCAGGGAGTACCTCAAGGAAACCCCCTTAGAGAACCCTCACTCTTTATGGATGGAAGTTCTTTTGTAGAGCAAGGGATCCATAAACCAGAGTATGCAACAGTTACTCTGAATGATATTGTTGAGAATGCGTCTCTTTCCTTGGGCACAAGTGCTCAACTAGCTGAGCTAATCACCCTGATGAGGGCACTAGATTTAAGCAAAGGGAAAGCAGTTAACATTTATACTGATTCTAAGTACACTTTCCTAGTCCCCCATGCCCATGCCGCTACCTGGAAAGAGAGGAACTTCCTCACAGCTAATGGGTCTCCCATTAAATACCATCAGGGAATTAATAGACTATTATCCTCAGTTTTCCTTCCACAGGAAGTGGCAGTAATACAGTGTAAAGGCCACCAAAAAGGGATGGATGAAGTAGGCGAGGGAAATAGGTTGGTGGACCAAGCAGCTAAATCAGCACTGAGAGGGCCTCTGATTTCTGATACACTTGAAGCCCTACTGATCTGGGAGGGCCCCATAAGAGAAATAAAACCTCAATATTCTCCTACAGAAATAAATCGGGTCACCTCTCCAGGATATATCCTTCAGCCCTCAGGATGGCCACAGTGTTGGTAGAAGAGCTGAGGCAGGACTGGCTTGTCCGTCATAATATAAAAGAGTTTTGGAAGATGTCCAGGGTCCAGGGTCTAAAACCCCTCGTGGCCTTTGGAACACCAAGCTCTGTGCCAAAGTGTGGAAGGCTGCCTTGCCGCACCACAAATCTAAGCCCATGGCTTGGATGGAATCCAGGGCTCAGGGCATAAAACCCCTTGTAGCCTCCGGAATGTGCACAGACTTGTTGCTTGCTCTCCCAGGCGTGAAAACATGTTCTCCATTATCTCAAGCAGCAAAGCATACTGTATATGCGTCAAAGAAAATGCTAAACCATCAGAGCTGTATTTGATGCACCCCTACCTTTCTACCCCAACGTCCTCACCTGTTTACCCCCACATCTGCACATCCTCACCACCTGCTTTTTTGTTTGATCACCGATAAATAGTGTGGGCTCCGAGAGCTCAGGGCATTCGCAGCCTGAATACCAGCGTTGGCCCCCTGGACCCACCTTATGCACTCTTAACTTGTCTTTTCTCATTCCTTTGACTCCACTGGACTTTGTAGCCCCCATGGCCTGGTGTTTGGTCTGATCACCCCAACATTTCTGGCACCCAACGTGGGGCTATGAAGACCCCAGTGAAGGAACACTAGAGCATGCGGAACTGGAGGACGCATTGTCAGAGGACACCCGAGGATGACTGAAAGAAGCTCGGTGGGAAAGCTGAGCACTCGGAAGAAACAGGGTAACAACAGGACAGAATGAAAGTAAATATTCTGTTTATTTAAATTTCTTAAGGCATTTATTACGGAGAGGGGGAGTGAAAGTTAGTACTCAGAATTTATTAACACTGTTTAATACAGTAGAGCAGTTTTATCCATAGTTCCCAGAACAAGGGACAATGGAATTAGATGAATGGGAAAGAATTGGCAGAGATTTTTAAAAGGCGCATAAAGAAGGAGCCAAAATTCCAGTTTCTGTTTGGTCAGTGTGGGCGTTGATAAAGGCAGCTCTTGAACCATTTCAAACAGATGATGAGGCAGATTCAGATGAGAAAGAGGTAGATGAGTGTAAAAAATTAACTTCAGACTCTGAATATGAGGAACAGCAACCGGAGAAAATTAAAGAAAAGAAAGGGACGCTGGAAAGGGTATATTTTACTAGCCTGTCGGTTCCACCTGCTGAATTAAGTGAATGGCCACCTCCTCCCTCTTTCCTTAATGGGCGAGAAGATGAATTAGCTGTAAAACGTACTGCTTCTGTAGTGGCAACATTAAATATGGGGAACAATTGCTGGTGCTATACAAAATTCTTTTCAGAAGGCTGGAGCTGAAGGAGAGCTAGAAGCATGGCAATTTCCAGTTACTATAATTCAGCAAGGAGGACAGAACATTGCTAATTGGGCCACTTTTCCTTTTAAGATGTTAAAGGAATTTAAGCAAGCCATTAGTCAATATGAGCCAAATTCTCCTTTTGTACAAACTTTACTAAAAAATGTGGCTCTTGATAATAGATTAATACCATATGACTGGGATACTTTAACAAAATCTGTTCTCACTCCATCTCAGTACTTGCAGTTTAAAACTTGGTGGGCTGATGAAGCTCAAACTCAGGCAAGAGAAAACACACAAGCACAGTTGCCTGTGCCTGTTTCCTTTGAACAGTTAATGGGGTTGGGCCCTAATTGGGGCCAATTAGACAATCAAGCAGTAATGAAAAATGTCGCCATTGTTCAGTTACGCACTGTGTGCTTACGGGCATGGAAAAAAATAAATGTTACAGGGAAAAAATATCCTTCTTTCATTAGACCTATGAGAGGGAAGTCTCATTTGGCTGAATATATTAAGGCTTGCCATGGCATTGGAGGTAACTTACATAAGGCTACTCTTTTAGCTCAAGCTATGGCTGAATTAAAGGTGGGGAAAAATATGCCTTGTTTCTCAGGCTCTTGTTTAATTGTGGGCAATTTGGACACACAAAAAAAGGAATGTAAAAAAAGGAAATCAACAGGCAAGGGCTACTACCAGTAAGCAACAAAAAAGTCCTGGTATCTGTCCTTGACGTAAGAAGGGCAATCACTGGGCAAATCAGTGTCATTCTAAAGTTAGCAAAGATGGGCAACCTCTTTCAGGAAATGGGAAGAGGGGCCCACCTCGGGCCCCTCAACAAACTGAGGCATATCCAGCACAGTCAGTGTCCTTACAAACGTACAGCAATTGTCCCCTGCCACAGCAGGCAGTGCTGCCATAGATCTCTGCAGCACAATTCCCATTTCCTTACTTCCTGGGGAGCTATCAAAGAAGGTCCCCATGGGAGTTAGGGGCCCTTTACCCTCAGGAACAGTTGGTCTGTTGCTTGGAAGGTCTAGCTTAAATTTAAGAGGCATCACTGTACATACAGGAATAATTGATTCTGATTATACTAGAGAGATTTAATTAGTTATTAGTTCCTCAATTCCATAGTCTGCTTCCCCAGGAGAAAGAATTGCTCAGTTGTTACTGCTACCTTATGCAAAACTGGGAAGCAGCACAGTAAAAAGAATAGGAGGCTTTGGTAGTACAAATCCAGCAGGAAAAGCTGTATATTGGGTTAATCAAGTGTCTGACAAAAGACCTATTTGTACAGTAACTATTCAAGGTAAAGATTTTGAGGGGCTAGTAGATATTGGAGCTGATGTTTCTATTATGGGTTTAAATCAATGGCCCTGGCATTGGCCAAAACAAAAGGCATCCATTGGTATTGTTTATAGAGTAAAGGCTGCCTCAGAAATTTTTCAGAGTTCTTTAATTTTGCCACGCTAAGGGCCAGATGGCCAAGAAGGGACAATTCAACCTATTATTACACCTATTCCTGTCAATCTATGGTGTAGAGACTTATTACAACAATGGGGTGCTGAAATATCTATTTCTATGGATCAGTATAGTAATAACAGTAAACAAATGATGAGAAAAATGGGATATCTCCCAGGAAAGGGACTGGAAAAAATGAAAGTGGCCAAACAGAACCTTCAGAACTAAAAGGGCAAACAGATCGAACTGGATTAGGCTATCATTTTTAGGAGTGGTCATTGCTGAGCCTCCGGCTCCCATTCCTCTTATTTGATTAACTGCCAAACCGGTTTGGGTGGAGCAATGGCTGCTGAAACAGGAAAAACTGGAGGCTTTAAAAAAATTGGTACAGGAACAATTGCAAAAGGGACACATAGAGCCTACTTTCTCTCCTTGGAATTCTCCTGTGTTTGTTATTAAGAAAAAATCAGGGAAACGGAGAATGTTAACAGACTTGAGGGCTGTTAATGCTGTGATTCAACCCATGGGCGCACTGCAACCAGGGCTGCCCTCTCCAACAATGATCCCAAAATACTGGCCTCTCATAGTAATAGATTTAAAAGATTGCTTTTTTACCATTCCTTTAGCAACTCAAGATTATGAAAAATTTGCTTTTACTGTTCCCACTAAAAATAACAAAGAACCAGCGGACAGATACCATTGGAAAATACTGCCACAATGCATGTTAAATAGCCTGACTATTTGTCAAACTTATGTCAGAAAAGCTATTAAGCCAGTTAGAGAACAATTCAAAAAATGCTATATTATCCATTACATGGATGATATTTTATGTGCAGCTGAAACTAGAGAAGAATTAATGCTATGCTGCAAACAATTGGAAAAGGCTGTAACTGCAGCGGGATTAATCATAGCCCCCGATAAAATCCAAACTTCTACTCCCTTTCAGTATTTAGGAATGAAAGTAGAACAAAGTACTATTAAGCCTCAAAAAGTTCAAATTAGAAGAGATACTTTAAAAACTCTAAATGATTTTCAAAAATTATTAGGAGACATAAATTGGATTCGTCTCACTTTAGGCATTCCTACTTATGCTATGTCTCACCTCTTTTCTACCTTATGAGGTGATTCTAACCTTAATAGCAAATGCTCTCTATCCAAAGAAGCATTAGAGAAACTTCAATTAATTGAAAAAAATTTCAACAAGCCCAAGTGACTCGAATTAACCCTATGCAGCCATTACAGTTTTTAGTTTTTCCTACTAAACATTCACCTACAGGAGTTATTGTTCAACAGAATGATCTGGTTGAGTGGCTTTTTCTACCTCACAATACAGCCAAAACGCTCACTCTGTACTTAGATCAAATTGCTGTACTAGTAGAACAAGCAAGGCTGTGCACAACAAAGTTAATGGGATATAATCTAAATCAAATTATGGTTCCATTAAACAAACAACAAATTCAGCAGGCTTATATTAATTCCCAGGAATGGCAAGTTAATTTGGCAGGTTTTACTGGTGTTCTTGGATAATCATTATCCTAAATCCAAAATATTCCAATTTCTTAAGTTAATATCATGGATATTGCCCTCCATTACTCAAAAAGCCCCTATTGAAGGGGCCATTACTGTTTTCACTGATGGATCTAGTAATAGAAAAACCTCATTTGCAGGACCTCAACAGCAAGTTTTTCAAACTGACTTTGCTTCTGCTCAAAGGGCTGAACTTATGACTGTGATAACAGCGTTAAAAACTTTTAAACAACCAGTAAACATTGTTTCTGATTCAGCCTATGTAGTGCAAGCCATGCAAAATATTGAATGTGCCTTAATTCAAAATGTGACTAATGACCAACTTAATCTTTTATTTCCTTCTTTACAGCAAGCAGTACAACAAGGCATTCCCCTTTCTATATCACTCATATGAGAGCACATACTAACCTCCCTGGACCTTTAACTAAACTTAATCAAAGGGTGGATAATTACATGGGGAAGAGGATTTGTTTGTGTTTATCCAGGTGACAATCAGGTGCCTGTGTGGGTGCCCACCAAACATCTGAAGATCTATTATGAGCTACAGCAGGAAGAGAGGACTCTGGGAAGAGCCAGATATAAGCAATGTCACAAATAAACATCTCAGAGATGAAGGAGAAAACCAATCTCCCCAAAACAATGCCCCCTGTCAGCAAGAAGTAGCTATGATCAGTCATCGTTCATATTCCAACAGCAGTTAGATGTGCCTCTTCTGAGGCAGGGAGTGATAGGGACAGGAGGCAAGGAAATTCTGGGCAGAAGAGGGCAGGTGCCCAGTGAAGGCCCGAACCTGAAGCCTGGAACCACAGCCCAAAGTGAGAACATGCATTCCTGTTTTCCCGCTCAAATGTTGCCTTTTCCAAAACCACCCATGGCCCGCCCCCACACCTCATCCTATGCCCATAAAAAACCCAGGTTCCACTGGCAGACAGCAGAGAAGAGGAGAAGCATCTGGACATCAGAGAGTACAGTTGGATGTTGGAGAGAAGCAGCTTGACTTCACAGAGACGGCTTGATGGCATTGCTCCAGGGGAAGATCACCTTCCTGCTCCATCCCCTTTCCAGCTCCCCTTCCCACTGAGTGCCACTTTCATCAACAATAAAATCCCCTGCATTCACCACCCTTCAATTTGTGTTACCCGGACGCCAAACAAGAGCTGAGGTACCATGGGAGCAGATGCAAAAGGCTGTCACACTGACCCTCTGCCCTCACTGGTGGAAAGCAGCCACCTCATGAGAAAAGGCAGAGGGCCCACTGAGCTGTTAACACTTAAGCCATCTGTGGATGGCAGCACTGAAAGAGCACTGACTATAACATTCCTTCTGGGGCTTTGGGCGTCATGGGTACTTCTCCCAGATGCTGCCGCAGGGCGCATGCAGTTTTGCCCCTGCTGACACCCAAAAGCACTCACCCTGGCTCCTACAACTGCTCACCTGCGTGTTCCCTCCCACGAGGGTTGAACACAAGGGGTTCGGGTGAGTGGAGTTTTCCCCTGCTGGTGCCAAAGCTGTGGGTAGCTCCAGTGCCTGTACTTCAGTTCCTGCCCACGAAGGGGTCAGGGGAAATTTCCTGCTTCAATGGTAGCAATATTTTGAGGCCTGCAAGGTGGGCACCTTCCCCAGAGGCTGAGCATGTGCTTCTGCCAGGCCCTGGCTGGAGTCAGTTTATTACACTTAGCAGTGAAGGAAATAATGTACACAGTGGTCCATTTCCAAGACAATGTGCCTTGAATCAGCTTAGGTCAGCAAACTACAGAAGAAACAAGATATACTAGGCCCCTGCCTGCTTTTCAGCCTCCCCCTGCCCCCTCTCCCACTCCCCTCTTAGTTGCCCTCACCCAAACCAAAAAAGTTTAGTCTAAAATGAAAGTTTACTACCCTGCAAAATAGTTTGCTTTGTCTGTTCTTATCAGCCTGCCCAGCTACTTAGGTCATAAGTCAAATACTTGAAGAGCCCCTGAGCTAACTAGGATTGCAATGCATTGTGGGCTGCAACAGAATGCAACAAGACAACCCTAAAGAAAACGTCTAAAGCCCCTGCCCAACAACCAATAGGTGACATCCAGGAAGGTTGTGACCCCATAGTACTCAGCCTATGAGGAACCAGGGGAGGGACCTGCACACTAGGGGATAAATTGCTTGTTGAAACTGTGCTGGGTGTGCCTGCTCATCAGGCACCCAATCTTGCAAGACCGTCATTAAAATCTCACTTTCGGGCCAGGCACAGTGGCTCACGCCTGTAATCCTAGCACTTTGGGAGGCTGAAGTGGGTGGATCACAAGGTCAGGAGTTCGAGAACAGCCTGGCCAAGATGGTGAAACCCCATTTCTACTAAAAATACAAAAATTAGCCAGGCGTGATGGCGGGCACCTGTAGTCCCAGCTACTTGGGAGACTGAGGCGGGGGAATCACTTGAACCTGGGTGGCAGAGGTTGCAGTGAGCCCAGATGGTGCCACTGCGCTCCAGCCTGGGCGATAGAGTGAGACTCCATCTCAAAAAACAAAACAAAACAAAACAAAACAAAGAACAAACCGTCACTTTCGTTGTTCTCTGGGTCTCTGAGTCCATTCTTTGGGTTTGGACAGATGAGTTTATTTCTCACATTTCTCACACTAGGAAATGTGAGTTCCAGGGGAGCATTTGCGAAGCGTGGGTTCACTCTGGGTGACCCAGCTGTGACTGTGAGACTCTTTGTGCGCCCAGTACAATGTGGAGGGGACTTCCTTGGGGACACCCCACTCGGGCACACAGGGGTTTGTGTTCTGTTTCCCCCAGAGCCCATGGCAATCAGTGTTCTCATCCACCCACTAACTTTCCTGGGCTGACCCCACAGAGTCCTGCCTCCCTTCTCCCGGGCCTGGTGATTATCTTGCCAGCTCTCCAGTCTTTTAAAAAGACACATTTTAAAACACTGAGTCCACCGTATGATCTGGTTTCAGTGGGAATATTGGTCTGACCATACGGACCCTCCCATCCACTCTTCTCCCACTCATGTATCTGTGGCCCAAGCCCACTTCCTGGCTTATTCTCCTAAGAGGCTGAAATCTGAAGCAGAAAGGAGCTGGGCCCAAGAAATTAACTTGGGGCATTTTTTTAATGCTGCACCCAAATGCTCCCGTGTGACCGGTTATTGGAACCTGCACAGATGTGTCCAGGGGAGGGCCCTTCCCGCTGCCAGGGGGATGCCGCCACATGTAAGCAAGGGCAAGGGTTCCACCCCTCCCTGCACCCAGGAGGCCTTCCAGAATCGACCCAGGGCTGCAGTGGGGGGTACAGTAGAGACCAGGAGATGCAAACACGGGCGGGGCTGGGTGTGGAACCCCAGGATTCTGGCCCTGAGCTGCAGTAGGCAGGGTGGGGAAAGGGCATGGTGTGAGGACCCCACCCACCCCAGGGGGGTCCCTGGAGGGAGCCAGTGCCAGGAGTCCTGGGATACAGGAGGCTCCACCCCAGGGAAGGAGGCCCCAAGGCTCCCTCAGCACCCAGGGCCTCAGGTGTGTGTGCTGGAAAATGGGGCCAGGGTCACTTTTAAATATTTTCAATGATTTCCCCAATTATTCAACTGGAGTTACTAAATATTCAAATTGTGATTACCTAATGATTTTTAAAGCTTTATATTAATATTTTGAAAAAGTATAGACTCACAGGAAGTTACCAAAATAGTAGAATCCTGTACTCTCCCCAGACCCCTCAATGGTGACATCTTACTAAGGATCAAAACCAGGAATCTGTGCTCTTTTTATTTTTTTATTTTATTATTTTTTTGATACGGAGTCTCACTGTATCACCCAGCCTGGAGTGCAATGGTGCAATCTCGGCTCACTGCAATGTCTGCCTCCCAGGTTCAAGCAATTCTCCTGCCTCAGCCTCCCAAGTAGCTGGGATTATAGGCGCCCGTCACCACGCCTGGCTAATTTTTGTATTTTTAGTAGAGACGGGTTTTCACCATGTTGGCCAGGCTGGTCCTGAACTCCTGACCTCAGGTGATCTACCTGCCTCAGCCTCCCAAAGTGTTGGATTACGGGCGTGAGCCACTGCGCCCAGCCTTGTGCTCTTTTTAAATAGCACCTTATTCAAATATAATTCATGCAGAGTGCACAATTTCCTGGTTTTTATATATCCATAGAGCCGGGTGTCATTTTTAAAGAAAGTCACAATGGAGAATGGGCTGAGCCTCTCTCTGGCCAGGGGTTCCATGAGTGCATGGTGGGGTTTCATGGTTTCCTGGAATGGTATCTGGAGGCCTCTCCCCTCTGCTGCCCCACGGCAGGGCTGCCTGAGCACCGCAGATCGTGCTGAAGTGGGTGGGCAGAACAGGCCCCTCCCGCAGGGGCGCTGAGTGCTGTGATTTGTGCGGACTGTGTTCTGAGAATTACTTTTGCTATTTGAAAGACTATTTAGCCAATTTGGCACAGAATTCCACCAGATTTGCATGTTTTAAGTCATTTATAGCATTGTATGTAACAGTAACATTTAATTTCCATGTAGTTCTAAATATATTTATGACCTACTTATCAAAGTTTTTTAAAAAAGAGATAGTGTTTCCTGGGTAACTTAATTTGATATAGAAACAGAGGGAGCCCAACTCAGTCAGTCTCATAATTGACATAATTAACATACGCACTTGAAAATTGAGTGCAAATAGTTTAAAAACTTTCTGGGGCCTCTTATTGGATTCTCCTTCTTGGGCAGGTCCTGGCTGTCAAATTCTGTCCCCAGCACCCCCAAATCTACAAAGTAGAAGCTCAAGATCTGCAGAGATGGGTAGAAGGCCTCAGTAAGACAGCTAGGTTGACCAACTTGTTCCAGCTCACCTGGGATCTTGCCGGCTTTGAAGTGGAAATCCTGAGGTCTGAGAGCACCCTCAGTTCTAGGCACCCTCAGACTGTTGGTTGTCCTTCCGGCAGCATGCCTGCTTGACTTTGATGTAAACATTTCTTAACACACACACATGCTTCTTACTGTCAACACACTCCAGCTAAAGGCCACTGGACCCACTTGTAGCTGAGCAGTTTGAGCTCATTATGCATTGCAGAGAGGAAGAGCAGCCACCACGGGAAGCGCCAGACACACGCTCAGAGGGGTTAGAAAGAACTTGTGCCCACACTGAGCCAGAGCTGGGGGCTTGGGGGAGGGTGCAAAGAAGCAGAGGTTCTCTGTAATGTGGATGCTGTCAGAACTCAGGGTGGTTCTGTGATCAGGCATCTCGACAAAGCTCCTCTGCGGTGGGCAGAGAAGAATGGAGAACCCATAAAGCAGCTGCTGCCACTCATTTTTGCCAACAGAGGGGCTGGCTGGGAATTTGAGGGGGGCACACTGACCTTGCTTTTGTCTGTGTTCGGACAAAGTTAAGAGTGGCCTTGTCTTGTCTCATTCTGTCACCGTCTCAGAGACACCTCGTCTGATATTGGTGGTCTCTGAGGTGGCTCCTGTCCTACAGGAGAGTAACTCAGCCCAGCTGGGTTGCCACCAGCTTCTGGGGACAGGGCTGCACCTTTTTTCTCCCCCACGAAGCAGGGAAAGGTAAGTAGAATACTGTTAAAATGGGCCAGGCACGGTGGCTCATGCCTGTAACACTTTCAGAGGCTGAGGTGGGCTGATCACTTGAGCCCACGAGTTCAAGACCAGCCTGGGCAATATGGTGAAACTCTGTCTCTACAAAAAATACAAAAATTAGCCAGGCATGGTGGTGTGCACTTGCAGTCCCAGCTACTTGGGAGGCTGAGGTTGGTGGATCGTTTGAGCCCAAGAGGTTGAGGCTGCAGTGAGTGGAGATTGTGCCATTGAACTCAGCATGGGTGGCAGAGTGAGGCCCTGTCTTAAGAAAGAAAGAAAGAAAGAAAGAAAGAAAGAAAGAAAGAAAGAAAGAAAGAAAGAATACAGTTAAAATGAAAACCTGTGTTCCTCAAAGTCACTAATGTCAAATGACAAAATACAACAAATTCAGTTAAGATTGAATAGGTTTTTATCTGCAATTCCAGACTTAGGCAACCCCTCATTCTTAGGAAATAAAAGGAGCATTTGGATGAGCTGAGCAGGAGAGGTTGGCTTTGTAGGCAGGAAAGGTGGAAGAAAGCAGAGACAGAGACCAAAAAGCAGATTGGTCATCTCAAACTTACTTTCCTTGTCATGGTTAAAGCACAGCGGACTTCCCTTATCACACCGGCTAAAACTGGCCTATTTGGGGATTTGGGGGCTCTCTCTCTCTCTATCTCCTGAAAGAGGGTCAGATAAACAACTTAGTTTCTGCTTGGTGGTATGAAACTCCCCGCATGAGTAGCTGCATTTCAGCTTGGTCTGTTGGTCCTAGTGCAGAAGCTCACTCCAAACCAATGGCATCCTCTCCATTCATTTAACACCAGCAATAAAGTAAAAAGAGAGGTTGCACAATTCCAGGAGATACCGTAATACGTGTATCTGAAAAATACTAGTGTCCAGAAAACACAAAGCACTCCTACAAATCAATCATACCAAGGCAGAGACCCAGTAGAAAAACTGGCTTCTTAAAAATTTAAATGGGAATGTCAAAAAAGTAGACTTCTGAATGGCTCATAAGAGTATGAAAAAGTGTTTGACTGGCCAGGCGCGGTGGCTCACTCCTGTAATCCCAGCACTCTGGGAGGCCGAGGCGGAAGGATCACAAGGTCAGGAGATTGAGACCATCCTGGCTAACACAGTGAGACCCTGTCTCTACTAAAAATACAAAAAATTAGCCGGGCGTGGTGGCACACACCTGTAGTCCCAGCTACTCAGGAGGCTGTGGCAGGAGAATGGCGTGAACCCAGAAGGCAGAGCTTGCAGTGAGCCGAGATCGTGCCACTGCACTCCAGCCTGGGCAACAGGGCGAGACTCTGTCTCAAAAAAAAAAAAAAGAAAAAAAAAAGGAAAAATTTCTCAGATGTATATCTCAATGGTTCAACTTTTACTGTATCTTGCTTCATACGATTTATTTTCATTGACTTCAGCTGTTTCTTCCCTGGAAAGGCCTGGAATGCTAACTCTTCCCTTCAGTTTTTTTAGGTCAACTCCTGTAACTTTTTTTTTCAAGAGACAGGTCTTGTTATGTTGCCCAAGCTGATCTCAAACTCCTGGTCTCAAATGATCCTCCCACCTTGGCCTCCCAAAGTGCTGGGATTACAGGTGTGATTCACTGTGCCCAGCCTCCTGTAACTTTTTTCTCTGGTTCTAACTCTGCTTTTACAGACTGTCACTAAAATGTTTATCTGAAAGGCCTAAAAAAGCAATGTTTTCTTCTAGTATAATTTAATTTTGTACTGTTGGCTTTTCTTAAGGTATCTAAATTGTTACGCTAATAACCTTGGACACATTCTTTTTGTGTTTGATTAAATCCAAGTCCCTTTTTCATCAGGTTTGACTTCCAAGTTATCTAAATTAGCTCCTATAAAGAAAAACAATCATACTACAAAAGGTTTTTCTTTACCTTTTGGTAGCTGGTCTAAAACCACAAAAATTTTATGTTTTATCAAGATAATTTTCTATGTTGTCTTTATTAGGCTTGTAATTACTTACAAAAACCTAAGCTTTAAAAGGGTTAAGGTTTTTATATCTATATAACTTTCTGCATTGCTTTCAAAGTCTTTTAATTATCACTCTGGTTAAATAAATATGATTTTACAATGCAACTCTGTTTTGATCAAGTGTTTTGAGCCTTTTAACGTCTTTGACAAACTTCCTGAAAATCAATCCTAAATTCAAGTCTCTTTTGCCTAAAATTAACTTTGAAATTTTTTAGATGGGGCCCTGAAAAGCCTCAAAAAATCTCTCTCTCATCTTATAGAGATACTAAATGATTAGGCTGATTTGGCAAATTACATTTTTTAAATGTCAAATAATAATTCATATTAGATCTTTTAGCTACATAGATGAGTATGTTAATATAAATATTTCAAAAAATATATAACTTTATAAAAATCTAATATGCTGTCAGTCATAATTCATAATTCTGGTTGTTATCGGTTGTTATCTTAAAGTGCTATCTATATGTAGTAGAAATAATTAAGTATCCTTTTCAATTGGAAACTTTCATCAGATTTTTAACCCTGGTGATGTGGTTTGAATATATGTTCTGGCCATATCTCATGTTGAATTGTAATCCCCGGTGTTGGAGGGAGGACCCGTGGAGGTGTTTGGGTCATGGGGGCAGGTCTGTCATGGCTTGGTGCTGCCTCACAATAGTGAGTGAATTCTTCTGAGATCTGGTCGTTCAGTGTGGCAGCCCCCGCACCCTCTCGCTCCTGCTCTGGCCACGTGAGATGCCTGCGTCTCCTTCACCTTCCACCATGATTGTCAGCTTCCTGAGGCCCTCACTAGAAGCTGAGCTGATGTCAGTACCATGCTTCCTGTATCGCCTGCAGAACTGTGAACCAATCGAACCTCTTTTCTTATAAATTACCCAGTCTCTGCTATATATTTCTATACAGCAATGCAAGAACGACCTAACACACATGGCTATGCTAAGTTTTTGTCATTCACTGTTATTATTTTAAACTCTTCTCTAAAAACGTTCACAGTCAGATTCATAGAAAAGACTCCAACAAGTACTCTTAAATACGGATCTCTAATAACTTTAAGATCGATGGACTAAATAAAAATTTCTAAAACTCTTATAAAAATTAATAGATTCATAAAACTAATAAAAATCAAGCAGAACAAAAGTTAATGACATAAAATTAAAGAATAAATGATAAAAATGATAAATAATAAATGATAAAAATATTTTTATAATTTTTATTTAAAATGTTATTGGCTCTTTACTCAAATGTTTTGTCTTCCAGATTTAAGAAAATCTTCTCTTTTAAGCTATCTATAATTTACTACAATTTGATAAAATACATTTTTTTAAACAAAGATAAAAAATTTGTTTTTTCTCCTCACTTGATTCCTCCAAAATGTGAAAACTATACGTGAGTATACTTATGACAATACGGTTATTTATATAAGTCCAATAAAATCTGCTCTGTTTATAACAAAATACAATGAAAAACACCGGTTACATTACCAAGACTGACTAAAATGGCATATTTTAAAATATACATAAAATATCTGACTTCGAGGGTCCTCAGACTTACAGTAAGTTAATAAAAACTGTCATTTTCTGGCAGGCCCAAGAACCTTAGGACTATGAGTAAAATCTAAAGTCTTATTTAGTTTGACTTTCTAGCCTCAAGAGATTTTTCATCTGAAATTCCTATATGATCAAAGTAAAAAGAAGAGTTATAGTCCTTAAAAAAAAAGCTATAATACACCTGTTATTAGATTGTAACTCTATGCACTGTTTTTTTAGTTCTTATCTACTTTAGACTAAATCCTAAATTATTCTAGGTTCCTCCAATCCAACTTTCTTCCATAAAATTAGCAAAATGAAAACTGCTCTGTTCCTGAAGCCCACTAAGCTAAAACTAAACTGATATTACAAAACAAAGTCCAAGGTGGGAGGATCCCTTGAAGCATCACTTGAAGCCAGGAGTTTGAGACCAGCCTGGGCAACAAAGTGAGACCCCTTCTCTGCAAATAATAAAATAAAACGAATTAGCCAGGTGCTATGGCATATATTAATACCTGTAGTCTCAGCTGCTTGGGAGGCTGAGGTGGGAGAATCACTTGAGCCCAGGAGTTAGGCTGCAGTGAGCTATGATCATGTCACTGCACTCCAGCCTGGGCAACATAGCGAGATCTCTGTCTCTACAAAAAATAAGTTAGCTGGGTGTGGTGGCACACGCCTATAGTCCCAGCTACTTCAAGCCTGCAGTAAATTAGGATTGCACCACTGCACCTCCATCCTGGGCAACAGAGCAAGACCCTGTCCCTAGAAAAACAAAAACAAAAACAAACAGTGACCAAAGTGCAGCGTGGAGACCCTCTGCACCCCTCCCTACGAACATGGCACTGAGTGGCGCAGTGTGGGTGGGCTGTGGGCTGCAGCTTGAGCGGGGCCTTGGCACCTGCCATGCCTCACCGGCTGAGGCCTTGGTGGCTGGGGATGGGCACGGTTTGTGCGTGGAACCCGCCCTGCTCTCGGTGCATGAATTCTCGGGGAAACGTGGTTGGAGAACAACAAGAAATGGTATGGGAACCGTGGGAATCAGGCATTTTGCACAGGAAGTATTGGGAGATGTTTTTACTGTAGTCTGCCTGAAGCTGGGACAAAATTGAACAAACAAGATGAATTTGGTGCTTTGGAAAGTGTGAAAGCTGTTCATGAACTCCATTCTCCTTTATCAGGAGAAGTAACTGAAATTAATGAAGCTCTTGCAGAAAATACAGAACTTATTGACAAATCTTGTTATAAAAATGTTTGGCCGATCAAGATGACACTGAGTAACTCTTCAGAACTAGGTGAACTTGGCCGGGCGCAGTGGCTCACACCTGTAATCCCAGCACTTTGAGAGGCTGAGGCAGGTGGATAATCTGAGGTTAGGAGTTTGAGACCAGCCTGGCCAACGTGGCGAAACCCCATCTCCACTAAAATACAAAATTTAGCTGGGCGTGGTGGCAGTTGCCTGTAATCCCAGCTACTCAGGAGGCTGAGGCAAGAGAATCACTTGAACCCAGGAGGCAGAGGTTGCAGTGAGCCAAGATCATGCCACTGCACTCCAGCCTGGGCAACAAGAGCAAAACTGTCTCAAAAAAAAAAAAAAAAAAAAAAAAAAAAGAACTAGATGAACTTATGAGTGAAGAAGCTTATAAAAAATACGGAAAAATCTATTGAGGAGTGAAAATAACCCCTAAATAAACTAGTATGAAATAATTTAAAATATAAAAATAAAAAACAAAATTAATAAAGTAAAAAACAAGTCTTATGCCTGATATATGAACCACACCAAAAGTTCACCAAATTGCACGATGCCGTAATCAGAGACAATCAAACCACAAACCAAGAGGAGCAGTTGACGTTTTCCCTGCTAAAAACAGCTGTTCCAGCAGCCATGGTGCCTGTAGTCCCAGCTACTTGGAAGGCCGAGGCGAGAGGAGTTAAACTTCAGCCTGGGCAACATGATGAGACCTCACTATTTAAAAACAAAAATTGAAAAAGAAACCTAAAAAAGCAGGTTTTCCGAAGACGTTGTTATAAGGCTCCATATAATAATGAGACTCTCACCCTCTCAATGCCATTCTTCATTTGGCAGGATAATGCTATAATTAAAATTTCACAATAAGTAACTGCTATAGGTAACTTGAGAAAACCTGACCTAAAAAAAAAAAAAAAAGAAATCCTTTTAGTCCACCTAGTGGGCAAATTTGGCATTTTCCCTAACACAGTTTTTTGTTCAAATTGTACTGGTGGTCCCTTTTATAAACCTGGCGTTCACAAAGTAGTGATTAATTCGATCCTGTATGAAATACTTCTCAGTGGCTATCACAGGCCTGGCCCAGTCTCCTCCATGGCCTTTTGTTTAATTTGTTGCCCTTAGGCTGGGGCTGTTAGTTCAAAACCACTTCTACGAACTAAGTTTATTATATTGTTGCCAATTTTTTCATTATAATTTTTAAATGTTGTTCTTAGTGCCTGTCTAATCTCAACGAAGCCAACTCTCCTAACAGGATAATACTTGCTCAACACCTCCAGATAATGACTAATGCCTACAAAGCAGATGAAATAAAATGTAATACTGGACTCCAGATGAAACTGCTTTGAGGCCAGGTGCAGTGGTTCACGCCTGCAACCCCAGCACTTTGGGAGGCTGAGGCGGGCAGATCACCTGAAGTCAGGAGTTCAAGACCAGCCTGGCCGACATGGTGAAACCCTGTCTCTACAAAAAAAAAAAAAAAAGAGAGAGAGAGAGAGAGAGGAAAAAAATCAGCTGGGGGTGGTGGCGCATGCCTGTAATTCCAGCTATTCAGGAGGCTGAGGCAGAAGAATCGCATGAAACCAGGAGGCAGAGGTTGCAGTGAGCCAAGATAGTGCCACTGCACTCCAGCCTGGACTACAAGAGCAAAACTACATCTCAAAAAGGAAAGAAAGAAAGAAAGAAAAAAAGTAACTGCTTTGAGACATTTTTTCCTTCTGGCCTCGTTATTACACAAATGTGGCCCAGGTTGCTGACTTAGACCCCGCCATGTTCCCTCCAATGTGGGACAGAGACAGCTGGCACAAGCCCATTACAGCCCCAGGGACAGATAAGCCTGGCTGCAGAACGGCTGGTTAGCGATGCTTTCAGAGAAATATCTTGATCAAAAGAGAAAAATGTAAAGCTAATCACACAAATTGGGTCATTCTTGTCCCACCCAACCAAGGGTCAAGAGGCCAGCGGGAAGGAGCACTCAGGGCACATAGAATTTCTCCAAGAATGTCATTCTCTGTAAGACCGGCTGCTGAAACTGCTGCCACCTGAAACCAGTTTACCTAATGCCTACTAAACAACCTGCTGACACGACTCGTTTTACCCTCTGCCCTCACTCATCAGTCGGAGCTTGCCAGCTCCCCAAACTCACCAGTGCCAATGAGCTTTCTTAAAGAGCAGTAGTAATATTTCTCCTCTTTATAAAACCTCCAGCCTTTCTTCATTCTTTGGACATCCTAAAGACCACTCACGCTACAGATATCCACAAATTACACTTCTTTCCCCAAATAAAACATTTTAATTTTGAGGATTCATCTCTGTATTTAACTTCGACACTGATAACAGGGAAATACGCAGCAAAGACACCTCAACCCCCAGGGGTCCCCTTCTAAGCACTCCCTCCCCCAGTCAGCCCAGACTTCCTAGGGGCGGGGAATGGCTGGGCAGCTCCACCTGTGACAATGGACTCTGCCCCGTCCCTGATCGAAATGACTGACAGCAAGCTCTCCTTCAGGCCTGGCCTCCCCGGAGTTCTCACTTAGCAAATGGCTTTCTAATGAGAGCACAGGAATTTGTCCCTATGTGTGGACTGACAATGAATAAAAGAAGCAGAAATCCATGGTGAACTTTATTTCAGCGAATAGAGGACAAAGATCAGCGACAGCTCCTGTGGGATTCGGGAGATTTGTCAGCCACGTAGGCATAGAAGATGGGAAAATGGGATCCACTTTTTTCCCCTTTGGGGCCAACCTGGCAATTTGTGTGCAAAGCACAGGAATTCCACACAAGGAATTTGGCGTAATAGAAGTAATTAGGGCTGGGCGTGCTGCCTCATGCCTGTAATTCCAGCACTTTGGGAGGCCAATGCAGGAGGATTGCTTGAGCCCAGGAGTTGAAGACCAGCCTGGGTACCATAGCAAGATCCTATCTCTACCAAAACAAAACAAAACAAAACAAATTAGCTGGGTGTAGTAGTGTACACCTGTCTAAAAAAAAAATGTAATTAGTAACAGGAATGCTCCAAACTCAGGAAAAAAAACAAAACAATATTTTTAAACTGCTAAGAAGACCAAAAATTATTTCAAAACCATGAGGTAAAATGACAGAGGTCCTGGTGAGGAGAGGACTTTATCAAGGGTGTAATGGAAGACGCTGGGCATGATTCACATGTTGTGGAGACCCCTGGAGAAGGGGGGCTAGAGTCAGGCAGGGGTGTGAGTGACCCAGGCACAGAAGTGGGGCAGGAGGGACTTGGGACCCTCCTTCTGAAGCTCCCCAGGAGGCTCCTCCTTTTACCTGCCCTTGATCCTGGAGTCCTCTCTGCCAGAGACAGGAGGCCACATGGTTCTCACCACCAGGCTAGTGGACAAATCCCTTTGTTTCCAGGGTGGGCCTGGAAGGGATTAGGTTACTTTCTGGTCCACACCAGAGGCTCCCCTAGAAGGCAGACAGCCCCAGGGACTGACTCAGGGACCCAGAGGCTGGGATGGGGGAGGCCAGGGAGTGAGGCCAGGGCAGGCAGCTGTGGGGGCTGGGCTGGGGAGAGGAAACAGTACTGGGGCAGAGGGGACGCCTGTAATCCCAGCACTTTGGGAGGCCGAGGTGGGAGGCTCATTTCAGCTGAGGAGTTCAAGACCAGCCTGGGCAACATAGCGAGAACGGTTCCTGGGGGAAAAAAAAAAAAGAAAAAAAGCATGAAATACAATGTGTCTATATTGAAATCTGTACTGTAATTGAGATGAAATACTGTGGAAAAACTCAAGGAATTTACCTAAATGCTCCGCAATCTAATTCCAAATACCAATGGTAATTCTCAATACCTAATTAGGAAAACATCACAACCTGCATTTGAAGAAAAGAGTAACGTTCAACTTCTAACGAGGCGTGCGATCATTTCGGCACTTGGAACATGAAACAAAGTCAAAACATTTTCAGGCAAGGTGAATTGCTGATCAAGTATCAGATGTCCAGGTCTGCTCCCCTTACCGTTGCGATTGATTCACCACTACATCTCTTCTGAAAGTACCACACGGTGTGGAATCCTCAACTTAAGTACAAAACACGACGAAACTGATTAGGAAAATCCATTTGTCAACTGTGGGAGGCTCTGGATGTGTAGAGTACCTAGACTGTGGTAACCCCTCCACCCTGCGTGCCTCCATCACATCATCCAGCTGTTCACCTTAAATAAATACAATTTCTATCCATCAATTACACCGCAATAGAGCTGGGGGCCATTTTTTAAAAACTTCCTCTGGCATGCAGCAATTGATAAGAACTTGCAAAGCTGAGAAGGCACCGATTTAAAACTCGCGCCAACGCGGCTGCGCGCCTTGTCCTCCGCCCAGGAACCCTGGAGGCCACGGCCTCGCCCGGCTCCTGCGCTGGCACTGGACGTCCCGCCGGCTGTACCTGGCGCCCCGTGGCCTCGCTCCCGACCGCTGCCCCGCAGAGGCCTCCCGACCGCCGAGGCCCTCGCCACGCCCGGGTGCCCCCAGGGGGCGCCGGCTTCCACCCACAGAGCTCCCCAGGCCTGGGCGGGCGCAGGGAGGGCGCGACCGGGGCGCACCCGCGCGGGAACTTGGCAGAGACTCGCGGGACGTGGCGGGGGCGCCTCAGGAAACGCGCCGCGGGGCTGCGGGGTCGAGGGGAGGGGACTAGTGTGCAGGGGCCACCCTCTCCCCAGCCCCGCCCCCCGAGTCCAGCTCCGCCCCTGATGCGTACCTGGCGGGACTGGGTCCCAGGGGCTCTCCGCGCTCCTTCTGGGGGCGCCACGTCCGGACCTTGTCCCCTGCTGAGGACTACCTCGCGGGCCGGGCGGGGTGAAGGGCGCTGTTAAGAAGGACAGTCCCGGGGAATGAGGGGCGAGGGGGAGAACGGGGTCGCCGGGTCGGGAGAAGATGACAGACGGGGCAGAGTAGAGGCTGCAGAGGGTCGCCCGGAGAGCGCGGGGGTCCCCCCACCAGCATCCCGTCGCCGCTTCCCGTCTGACCCCACCCGCTCCCCGTCCCCGCTTCCCGTCTGACCCCACCCGCTCCCCGTCCTCGCTTCCCGTCGGACCCCACCCGCTCCCCGTCCCCGCTTCCCGTCGGACCCCAGGGCAGGTGGGAACGAAGAAGTGAGTTGGGTCCCCGCTGTGGGCCCTCGCCCTCTCAAGCCGGGCCGTCTCCAGGGCTTCAGGTTGGGGAACGGGCTCCTGTGGCCTCCAGCAGGCTCTTCCACTCGGGGCCTGGGTTTCAACTCAGTCCTCTCCCACCACCTTTTCCATGTGTCTTCAACGCCCTTCTTCAGCCGGGGTGACCCGAACTGCCCAGAGGGCTTGCAGCCTTCAGGGACGCAGTTTCCAGTTTCTGGGCGCCCATATGGACACTCCCCTGAAGCCCGCCTCCCCTTCCCCTGGGAGCAGGGGCCTTGCAGGTTCTCCCACCGCTCACCTTGCACTTGCTTCCTCCGCCTGTACAGGGAAAGGCCCACCCAGCTCAACCCAAAGGCCCAGGGCCCCTTGGTGGAAAACCCCAAGGGGGACAAACAAAAGACCTCTGCAATCTGGTTTAGAGTAGACAAAGCTTCCCTTAAGCAAGTGATCTGTTAGGTTTTGTGTCCCCACCCAAATCTCGTCTGGAATTGTAATCCCCATAATCCCCACGTGTCAAGGGGGAGACCAGATGGAGGTCATTGAATCATGGGGGCGGTTTTCCCCATGCTGTTCTCGTGATAGTGAGTTCTCACGAGATCTGATGGCTTTATAAGGGGCTCTTCCCATTGCTCAGCACCTCTCCTTGCTGCCTTGTGGAGAAGGTCCCTTGCTTTCCCTTTGCCTTCCGCCATGATTGTAAGTTTCCTGAGGCCTCCCCAGCCATGCTGAACTGTGAGTCAATTAAACCTCTTTCCCTTATAAATTACCCAGTCTCAGGCAGTTCTTTATAGCACATGAAAACGGACTAATACAGCAGTTCACCACAAACCCAAGGCAGGCTTCAGTCTTTTTCCGTCCTGTACCTAGTTCATTTAAGAACACACTTAGAGTTAGAAACTGGATACTTTGGCCCTCGTTGAGGATACGGACATATATGTACACACATATGTACACTCACACATCTATGGTGTAAAGTGGCAGCCATGACAGTCCCTTCACCTGACTTGT
The DNA here is from genome assembly GCF_000001405.40 of Homo sapiens. Classification (NCBI taxonomy): domain Eukaryota; kingdom Metazoa; phylum Chordata; class Mammalia; order Primates; family Hominidae; genus Homo; species Homo sapiens. Next base: position 103,190,750 of record NC_000014.9, read on the forward strand.
CTAGAAATGCTCAGCTCCTGAGGCAGTGACCCTAGAGGGACAGAGAGCGTGTCTGGGAGAAATGTGGAAGGGTCAGCTGCGTCCAGTGGGCTTCGTGAGGCACCGCACCTGCCTTTTCCAGGTCGAATATTCCAAGTGGAACTCAAGCAAGATGGATCTAATGGGGAACTTGTGGGGAGTCTCCGGGTCTGATGCTGGAGTCGTGTCCACAGGGTAGGCCACGAGGAAGGGAACTTCAGGAGCAGCTGCCGCCCCGAGAAGACAGACTGAAACCCATATCAGTTCCTGTTCCTTCTGACCTTGGGTGCTAGGGTATTCTACAAAAGTTAGTTTAGTTTTGTTTTTGAGACGGGGCCTCAATCCATCACCCAGACTAAAGTTCAGTGACAGGATCATAGCTCACTGCAGCCTTGAACTGCTGGGTTCAGGTGATCCTCCTGCCTCAGCCTCCCAAGAAGGTGAGATTACATGTGCCAATGCACCCTGTCAGTTTTTGTTTATTTTTGTTCAACGCCTTTAATGTAATCAGCCTGGTAATTTTTAAAACCCTTTTTTTTTTTTTTTTTTTTGCAGAGAGGGGGTCTTGCTATGTTGCTCAGGCTGGTCTTCAACTCCTGGGCTCAAGTGATCCTCCTCCCTGGGCATGCATAAGCCACCGTGCTGAGCCCAAGCCAGTATTTTTATTTAGTAACTCATTGTTTTTAAATAATATTTATGTTATATCTTCTATCTGCTAATCTTACAGCCTGAAAATGAGGTTGTTCTGGCTTGCTCTTGGCCTCGAGGGAAGGCGGACCACTCCAGAGCAGCTGGCTTCCATTGCTGTGTGGCCCTATAAGCATCTTTCAGCCTGGGCACTTAATATTGATTTCTTAGCTTGTTGGTTCCAGGGCCTCAAAAAAAATGATGTTCAGTTTAAATCCAAACACACAAGAGGATGGGGAACCTGTCACAAATCTTAGGGGAGACACTTTTATTGTTTGTCTTAGTGAGAGCCCTGGGTAGAAAAATTTCTTTCTCACCTCTGCTTGCTGATGGTCGCAAAATGAATTCACCTTTTCACTGAGTGTGTGTATATATATATATATATATATATATATATATATATATATATATATGTATATATGTATATATGTATATGTATATATGTATATATGTATATGTATATATGTATATATGTATATATGTATATATATATATATGGCCCTTCTAGGATGCACACCTGTGTGGAAGTCCTAGTCTCCTTTACAGCCAGAGCTCAGGGCTCCTGAGATGAGGAATTCCTCTGGGGCAGCAGCTGCATCAGCGTCAGTGGCCACGTACGTTTCCAGCAGCTTTGTTGTTTGGAAGATTTCCTTTTTTTCCCCAGTTGCATCTATGCAAGAATGGATTTTGTAATATTTAATTCAGAATGTCTAGCCTCAAAAGATTTTTCAAGTTATCTGACCTACTTTATTGTTGGGAAGGAAATAACCACTTGTCTTGTGGTGGTTCCATCCTGTTTGTCTACACTGTTGTGCCGTTTGTCTACACTGTTTTGTCTACACTGTTGTGCCCATTGGCAGAAACTCCTCAGCATGGTTGTGGCATTTCCAGTGTTCCCAGAGCGGGCCTCTGTCTGGTCCTCCCAGAAGTCTCTGCAGTCACTCCCCACTGACGCCAGTAGCAGCTGCTTATTTCCCAGGAATGCCATTCCCTCCCCATGCCCAGAGGCACTAAGACCCCAGTTTCCTCCCAATTGGGAAGAGACCTGGAGGGCAGAGGGATTCTCTCTGGCATAGGGCCAAAGGCTCAGAGAGGAGTCCAAGGCTTCCTGGCCCAGCCAGGCCTGTGGAGTAAGATGAGGTCAGGAGATAGGGACAGAGGAGCCCCTGGGATATGGGTGGCACTTGCCGCCTGCAGGAAGCTCACGTTCTGACCTGCAGTTCCCTGTGATGAACTTCAAGAGGGAACTTACTGGGGGAACTCACCACCAATATTTCAACGTAAGTTCTTTCTATTTTCCACAAGTGTCAGCCAGCTGAGAAACATAGAGGGACAGTACAAAGAGAAGAATTTTACAGCTGGGCCGCTGGGGATGACATCACATATCAGTAGGACTGTGATGCCCGCCTGAGTCTCAGACCAGCAAGTTTTTATTGAGGGTTTCAAAAGAGGAGGGGGTGTAAGAACAGGGAGTAGGTACAAAGATCACATGCTTCTGAGGGAACAGGACAAAGGGCAAAAGCAGAACTACTGATGAGGGTCTATGTTCAGCGGTGCACGTACTGTCTTGATAAACATCTTAAACAACAGAAAACAGGGTGCAAGAGCAGAGAACTGGTCTGACCACAAATTTACCAGGGTGGAGTTTCCTAACCCTAGTAAGCCTGAGGGTACTGCAGGAGACCAGGGTGTATCTCAGTCCTTATCTCAACCGCATAAGACAGACATTCCCAGAATGGCCGTTTATAGATCTCCCCCCAGGAACTCATTCCTTTCCCAGGGTATTAATATTAATATTCCTTGTTAGGAAAAGAATTTAGTGATATCTTCCCTACTTGCATGTCCATTTATAGGCTCTCTGCAAGAAGAAAAATATGGCTCTTTTTGCCCGACCCTGCAGGCAGTCAGACCTTATGTTTGTCTTTCCTTGTTCCCTAAAAATCGCTGTTATTATGTTCTTTTTCAAGGTGCACTAATTTCATATTGTTCAAACACACATATTTTATAATCAACTTGTACAGTTAACACAATTATCACAGTGGTACTGAGGTGACATACATCCTCAGCTTACGAAGATAACAGGATTAAGAGATTAAAGTAAAGACAGGCATAAGAAATTATAAAAGTATTATTTGGGAACTGATAAATGTCCATGAAATCCTCACAATTTATGTTCCTCTGCCGCGGCTCCAGCTGGTCCCTCCGTTCGCGGTCCCTGACTTCCCGAAACAGGAATTCCCACTGGGGCTGCCTAACTCTGGTCAGTGAGACCAAATCTGTGATGTAGGAATAAGAAGATCCATGGTGCAGCCACCAAAGTTATCTGCTCCAGCCCAGACGTGATCTGTGACAAAGCTGGCGCTTTCATGTGCATGTTCTTGAGTCCCGTTTGTCATGTTATTTCTGGACTGGTTGGGTCTTGGGCAGGAGGAAGGAGGCTGTCACTTACTGGGTCTTTCCTCTCCTTACATTAACACTACATTGTTCCATGTTATGCTGTAAGCTTTTCAGCTGTAAAGAGCCTCAACAAGCAATTAGCAAATTCATTTCATTAGAATATTAGAAAAATAGGCCAGGCAGCCTGGGTATGGTGGCTCACGACTGTAATCCCAGCACTTTGGGAGGCCAAGGCAGACGGATCACTTGAGGTCAGGAGTTCGAGACCAGCATGGCCAACATGGTGAAACCCCATCTCTACCAAAAATACAAAAATTATATGGACGTGGTGGCAGGTGCCTGTAATCCCGGCTACTTGGGAGGCTGAGACATGAGAATCACTTGAGCTCAGGAGGTGGAGGTTGCAGTGAGCCAAGATCATGCCACTGCATTCCAGCCTGGGTGACAGAGGGAGACTCTGTCTTAAAAAAAAATTATATATATATAAAATATACCAGCCTAAATTAGGGTTTAATTCAGGAAGACGAGCATTGGTTCAGTCACTCAACAGATCAGATATATCAACTTGGCTATGATGCAACAAACACATTCCTAAAATGCGCTGGGCTATGCAAAATTGCACAATAAAAACCACAGGACTTACAAGGAAAAAACGAGGTTGGGGAAGGACACTCAAAACACCCCATCAGTGACACAATTTTTTTAAATGATAGGAACCTAATAAAGAGGGTAGAAGGGTTTTACATGCTAAATTGTTGAGGAATACATCAATACTACAATGAGCATGGCACTTTATTTGAAGGCCTGAAGTTTGCTTGTGGAGTAGATGGAGGAAGGGGTATAGCCTGTGAGATGCCCGAAGCAGGGAACAGGGTCCCCTGGGTCACTGGAGAAAACATGGTTTGGCTCTGTGTTGCCACCCAAATCTCATCTCGAATTGTAATCCGAATGTGTCAGGGAAGGGACCGGGCGAGAGGTGATTGGATCATGGTGGTGGATTTCTCCCTTGCTGCTCTTCTGATAGCGAGTGAGTTCTCATGAGATCTGATGGTTTAAGAGTATGGCACTGGCCAGGCGCGGTTGCTCCCGCCTGTAATCCCAGCACTTTGGGAGGCCGACGCGGGCAGATCATGAGGTCAGGAGTTTGAGACCAGTCTGGCCAATATGGTGAAACCCCGTCTCTACTAAAAATACAAAAATTAGCTGGGTGTGGTGGTGTGCGCCTATAGTCCCAGCTACTCGGGAGGCTGAGGCAGGAGAATTGCTTGAACCGGGACCCCAGAGGCAGAGGTTGCAGTAAGCCAAGATCGTGCCACTGCACTCCAGCCTGGGCTACAGAAAGAGACTCTGTCCCACCCCACTGTCTCTCTCCTGCCACCATGTAAGACATGCCTTGCTTCCCCTTCACCTTCCTGCATGATTGTAAGTTTCCCAAGTCCTTCCCAGCCATTTGGAACTGTGAGTCAATTAGACCTCTTTTCTTTATAAAGTACACAGTCTTATGTAGTTCTTTATAGCAGTGTGAAACTGGACTAATGCTCAATGGGTATGGCTCACAACCCAGCGGGAAACTGAGGCCACTGGCGGATTCTGAGGTGTGTGCACATGCACTGTGTGCATTCCTGTGCACCTCAGTTCCACTGGGGGTGTTTCTGGTGTTCACCTGGTGTTTCCTACAGACAATCACACATAAGCAATTGCAAAATTCATGTTGTGCTCAAATTGTTCCCTAATTGTCCAAATGCATTGGAACGAATTGACATTTTCTTTTTTTCTTTTTTTTTTTTTTTGAGATGGAATCTCATTCTGTCACCCAGGCTGGAGTACAGTGGCATGATCTCAGCTCACTGCAACCTCCACCTCTGGGGTTCAAGTGATTCTTCTGCCTCAGCCTCCCAAATAGCTGGGACTACAGGCGCACACCACCACACTGGCTAATGTTTATATTTTTAATAGAGATGAGGTTTCACCGTGTTGGTCAGGCTGGTCTCAAATTCATGACCTCGTGATCCACCCGCCTCGGCCTCACAAAGTGCTGGGATTACAGGTATGAGCCACCGCACCCAGCCGAGTTTACATTTCAAAGCAAGCACTGTAATAGAATTGCAGTCATGTAATACCCACCATGTGATAGGCGCTGTGCTAGACGCTGCAGACGCAGCAGCGAGCCATGTGCAGCCCCACCCTCGTAGGAGTTACCTGGCAATGGGGGAAGCAATCAACAAATCAATAATCTCATTTCAGGTGATGAGAAGTGCTGTAAAGGAAAAAGGAACAAGGCAGGACAGCAAGGGATGGCTTTGTGGTAGCATTTTTTTTTTTTTTTTTTTTTTTGTAGGTCTATGTATTTGCTTCCTGGGGCAGGCGTTTACAAAGTGCCACAGCCTTGGTGGCTTCAACAGAAATGATTATCTCCCAGTTCTGAAGGCCAGATGTCTGAGATCCAGGTATCAGTAGGGGTGGTTCCTTCTGGGAGTTGGGAGGAAAGATCCGGTCCGGGCCCCTCCCAGCTGCGTGTGATCCGCTGGCAGTGTCTGGCTCCTGGCTGGTGGACACGTCTCTGCCATCCCTGCCTCCGTCTTCATGTGCTGTTCTCCCTGCGTGCATGTCGTTGTCCAAATTCCCTGTTTTACAAGGACGCCAGTTATAGTGGATGAGGGGCCCAACAACTCCAGTATGACCTCATCTTAACTAATGACATCTGCAATGACCCTGTTTCCAAATAAGGTCACATTCCGAGGTACTGAGGGCTGGGAACTCAACGTATGAATTTTGAGGGGATATGGTTCTACCTACAACAGTTGGTAAGGGAAGCCCCCTTTAAGTAAGTGACATTTGAACAAGAGGCCCCCATTCCTGACCCCTAAACCACTTCCAAAACTAAACTACTTGCACACCAGCCTATGGCCCACATCATAGATTCTGCTTGTGGAGGGGATCCGAATTTAGAGAGTACAGAAGTGGCCCTAAAAGGCAGAACCTCAGGGCAGGAGAGCACACACCCTGCAGCCCCACTGTCAGGACCCTGTTGCTGGGGGGAGTGAGCAGGTGCTGAGCCTCGGCCTGCAGGACAGCTGCCACGGCTCCCAGGGCGGATGACGATATGCACGTTGGGAAGTGAGGCCTGGGTCCATGTGGTAGAGGGGTGCTTTTTATTTTATTTTATTATTTATTTATGACAGAGTCTCACTCTTGTCGCCCAGGCTGGAGAGCAGTGGCACGATCTCGGCTCACTGCAACCTCCGCCTCCCAGATTCAAGCGATTCTCCTGTCTCAGCCTCCCGAGTAGCTGGGAGTACAGGCACCCACCGCCACGCCCAGCTAATTTTTTAGCAGAGATGGGGTTTCACCATTTTGGCCAGGCTGGTCTGGAACTCCTGACCTCAAGTGATCTGCTTGCCTCGGCCTCCCAAAGTGCTGGGATTACAGGCGTGAGCCTCCACACCCAGCCGGGGCGGGGGTGAGGGGAGTACTTTAAAAGCACTGAAGCAATAGTCAGAAGAACTGTGGGGTTGGCCCACTTAATGGTTTTAAAGGCCTCAAAATAATAATAATAACAGGCTCAAGTGAGCCAACTATCAATGTAAGACACTCTATGAGAGTCCGAAGCCTTCGGGGCAGCATGAAGAGCTCTTAGCTCTGCGGGTACAGGGTGGTTTATGATGAAAACCAGGCCCAGGAGTATTCACGACTCTGAATAATGTTCATTTCATCTCTCTCTTCAGCCATGTTTAATGTACTGTCTAATCTATTAAAGACAAACTATTTCTCACATTTCTGACACTAAATGAGGGGGGGGATGTCCCACACCAACCGATCATCCAACTCTCCGCACGCCAACTGGGTGACCTGCAATTCAATTTGGACATGAACTCCTGGGAGGTAACCCAGACCCTACAGATTAACGGCTCAGTCCCACCAGACCACCCCCAGTTCAGAAGCCAAGTGCACGTCTCAGCCTCTCATTTGTTTGTTTGTTTGTTTTTTAAAACTGAGTCTTGCTCTGTCACCCAGGCTGGAGTGCAGTGGCACGATCTTGGCTCACTGCAACCTTGGCCTCCCGGGTTCAAGCGATTCCCCTGCCTCAGCCTCCCGCATAGCTGGGGTTACAGACACCTACCACCATTGGTCCTCCCATACTCTGACCAACTGGCTATAAATCAAGGGTTCCCACGGCCCCTCCCCAGGTTCAGTAATTTGCTGTAGGGCTCACAAAACTCAGGGGTACACTTACATTGACCAGTTCATTAGAAGGCTGCAACTGGACAGTCAGATGAAGAAGTACATAGGGTGAGGTCTGCAGGTCCCTATGGCAGGGGCTTCTGTCCCCAGGGAGTCAGGTGCACCGCCCTCCTGACACGTGGATGTGCTCTCCAAACCCCTCCGTTTAGGGTTTTCATGGAGTTTCCATTATGTACATGGGCATGATTAACTTACTGACCATCAGTACTTAACTCAACCCCAGCCCTCTCCTCTCCCTGGAGGTCAGGTAGGACTGAAGGTTCCAGCCCTCCAATCACATGGGGGCCTCCTCTGCAGCCCCCAGCCTGCAGCTACCTAGGGGCTTCAGCCACCAGTCCTCTTGTTAACAGAAATTCAGCTATGGCTGAAAGGGGCGTGTTATAAATGTTAATGTAAAAACTAAACTCTGTAGAATGTTTTGCAGGGATTTATTCTGAGCCAATATGAGTGACCACAGCCAGGAGCAAACACAAACCCAGGAAGCTTTGAGTAACTGTCCCAAGGTAGTCGGATTACAGTTTGGTTTAACACATTTCAGGGAGGCAGGAGTTACCGGCGAAGACATAAATCAACACATGGAAGGTATAGGTTGGCACAGCCTGGAAAGGCAGGATATTTTCAAGCGGTGTCAGGGTGGGGATGTTATAAGGCACAGGAGCATTCGGAGATTCTTTAATTTGCAGTTGGCTGAAGGAACAAAACTTTGTCTAAAAACAGAGTTAGCAGAAAGGAATGTTTAAGGTAAGATGAGGATGCTGTGTCAGAGTCAGCCACCGTATACCAGGTCAAAAATGACCTAGTTAGCAAGATTGATGGCCTGCAGGAGTGACCTCATCCTTGTTTTGCAAGACCTTCGGTCCTGTTTGTAATTTGGTCTGTTATTGCACAAACAGTCTGCTCTTCGAATCTTATGATCTCTGTTTTAACATTAGCACTAGTCGGTTCTATCTAAACTGCAAAAGGGAGAGGTTTGAAGGAGGTCCGTCCCCTCCTGGCAGGAAACTCAGTTTTTAGTTTCTCTGGGGTCTCCTTGGCCAAGAAGAGGTCTGTTCAGTCAGTTGAGGGGCTTGGGATTTTACATTTAGTTTACGTGAATATCAAAAGATGCTCTTCTCATCCCTATCATTCAGGAAATTCCAAGGGTTTTAGATGCTCTTGGGTCAGGAGCCAGAATGAAGACCAAATATGTGATTTCTTTTCTGGGAAGTATTTATACACTCCTCCCTCGGTATCTGTAAACCATTGGTTGCAGAACCTCCCATAGTTACCAAAATCCACAGATGCTCACGTCTGGTAAAAGAAAAACTTTAGGCCGGGCGTGGTGGCTCATGCCTGTAATCCCAGCATTTTGGGAGGCTGAGGCTGGCGGATCACAAGGTCAGGAGTTCAACCTGGCCAAGAGACCAGCCTGGCCAATATGGTGAAACCCTGTCTCTACTAAAAATACAAAAATTAACCGGGCATGGTTGCGGGTGCCTGTAATCCCAGCTACTTGGGAGGCTGAGGCAGGAGAATTGCTTGAACCCAGGAGGCGGAGGTTGCAGTGAGCCAAAGATTGTGCCATTGCACTCCAGCCTGGTTGACAGAGTGAGACTCTGACTCAAAAAAGAAAAGAAAAGAAAAGAAAAACTTTAGGTAAATTAAATTTAAAAAGAAAAACTTTAGGCAAATTAAATTTATCAGTATAGGCTGGGCACAGTGGCTCATGCCTGTAATCCCAGTAATTTGGGAGGCTGAGGCGGGTGGATCACTTGAGGCCAGGAGTTTGAGACCAGCCTGGGCAACACAGTGAAACCCACAGTGAAACTCTACTAAAAATACAAAAAAAAAAACTTAGCTGGGCACAGTGGTGCATGCCTGTAATCCCAGCTACTTGGGAGCCTGAGGCACGAGACTCACTTGAGCCTGGGAGGCTGTTATCTTTGTTTTAAACTATAAACTATGAACTAAGTTTCTCCCAAAGTTAGTTCAGCCTACACCCAGGAATGAATAAGGATAGCTTGGAGGTTGGAGGCAAGATGGAGTCCTTTAAGTTGGACCTCTTTCATTGGCTCAGTCATAATTTTGCAAAGGCGGTTTCAATATTTGCATATAACCTATATACATCCTCCTGTATGCTTTATTTTATTTTTCGACACAGAGTCTCACTCTGTTACCCAGGCTGGAGTGCAGTGGCGCAATCTCGGCTCACTGCAGCCTCCGCCTCCTGGGTTCAAGCGACTCTTCAAGCTACTTCAGCCTCCCGAGTAGCTAGGATTACAGGCATGCACCACCAGGCCTGGCTAATTTTTGTATTTTTAGTAGAGACAGGGTTTCACCATGTTGGCCAGGCTGGTCTCGAACTCCTGACCTCAAGTGATCCACCCACCTCAGCCTCCCAAAGTGCTGGGATTACAGGCGTGAGCCACCACGCCCAGCCCCTCCTGTACACTTTAAATAACCTCTAGATTACTTATGGTACCTAATACATTGTAAATGCTATGGAAATACTTGTTATATTGTTTAGGGAATAATGACAAGGAAAAAAATCTCTGTACATGTTCAGCACAATTTTTTTCTACGTACTTTATCTTTTCTTTTCTTTTTTTTTTGGAGACAGGGTGTCTCTCTGTGGCCCAGGCTGAAGTGCAGTGGTGTGATCACAGCTTACTGTAGCCTGGAACACTTGGACTCAAGCAATCCTCCCGTGTCAGCCTCCTGAGTAGCTGGGACTACAGACATGCGCCACCACACCCAGCTAATTTTTAAATTATTTGTATAGATGGAGTTGCTATGTTGGCCAGGCTAGAGGTTTTTCAAATATTTTCCATCCTTGATTGGTTGAATCCACAAATGTGGAACCCATGGATATAGAGGGTCAACTAGTTATTTTTATATATTATAGTTATATATTAAAAAGAGAAAAAACTTGACTGAAGAGAAACCCCTGACTTCGGTGGCTCAGGAAGTTTACTGCTCCCCCACCCCACCTAATTCTTCTGTAAAACCTTCCAGCTCAATCTTCAGGAAATCCCCCCTCCCCACTATCCCCCTGATGAAGTGGCATCGCTGTCTGGAGTAAATACCCAGGGTTCATTGTCTCACGCCAAGAAGATTAAGGACATGGACATACATGAGGAGTGAGCTTAGGAGCAGAGGTTTAATCGGCAAAAGAAAGAGAAAGGAGAGCAGCTCTCTCTCTCTCTTGCAAGAGAGAGGGGGCTCCAAAAGGGAAAAGCTGGCCTGCAGGGACAGCAGCAGATTTTATAGTCCAGCTTGAGGAGCAGTGTATGATTCACGAAGGGCCCACAGATTGGTTCAACCAGGTGTGACATTTACATAGCATGTGGGGAAGGCTGGTCTCCCCACCCTAATCTTATTATGCAAATGGGCTTTCCACTTGGCCAACACCATCTTGCCTGCTTCTTACTGTACACCTGGCTGGCAAAGAGAAGGGAAGATACAGCCAACATTTTGATCATGCCTAGTTCCAGGTAGCCTTTTCCTATCGGCACAACTGCTGGCATTCACCCGTGCAAGCTTCCAGCTTGCTTGTCTATGTCTGCAGCTCGATTTTACAGGCTGCCCCTTGTTACAAAAGAAAATGATTTGGGGGCTTCTTTTCATTAAAAGGAAAACCTTACTGAGAACTTCTTTATCCTTACTATTTGCCTAAATAATTTCTTTTTAACCATATATCACTACCATGGCTTTCTGCAGGGTGTCCCCTATTGTGCTGGGAGGGCACATGGGTGGTGGAGAAGGTAGAAGCTATCAATTCTTGGAGAGGAAGGTGGGATTCAGGCCACCTGGGGGCTGTGGGGAGGGGAATGAGGCCTAAAAGATGCCGAAGTTTGCAGGAGGAGAGCAGGCTACCGCCCACATGGGGCTGTTTGTACTCTACAGGACTACGGAGGAGGGAAGCTTGGAAACGTGGCCAGTGCAGGGGAAAGTCAGATGATGTGGATGTTCCTGGGAACATCCCTCATCTGGTGACTGCTGGGAATGCTGACGTCTTGGAAAAATGTGCTCTGAGTGGTCTTCACAGTGGGCAGGCTCAGTGTACCTGGGCCTCCCAAAACGCCAGCTCTGAGACCCCTCCTGAGCAAGGACCCCTGGGTGGATTAAGCCTCAAGTATAGATTTCTTATGGTATCACAGCATGACACCTATCAATAGGTGTTTTAATTATTTATTTTTACTTTTTATGTATTTTTGTTTTTGAGACAGAGTCTCACTCTGTGGCCCAGGCTGGAGTGCAGTAGTGCCATCTCAGTTCACTTCAACCTCCATCTACCGGGCTCAGGTGACTCTCCTACCTCAGCCTCCCAAGTGAGTAGTTGGGACTACAGTCACAGGCTACTATGCTCAGCTAATTTTTCGTTTTCTTCTTTTTTTGAGATGGAGTCTCACTCTTGTTGCCCAGGCGGGAGTGCAGTGGTGCAATCTCCGCTCACTGCATCCTTGACCTCCAGGGAACAAGGAATCCTCCCACTGAAGCAGCTGGGGTATAAACCCAGGGTTCGTTGTCTCATGCCAGGAAAATTTAGGACATGGACACACCCAAGGAGTTTAGGAACGAGGTTTAACAGGCAGAAAAGAGAAAGAAAAGCAGCTCTATTGAGAGAGAGGGGTCTTCCAAGCAGAAAGACCAGCTGATGGCAGATGCGCCAGATTTTATAGTCCAGTTTGAGGAGGTGGTGTCTGATTTACATATGGCTCACAGATTGGTCTGATCAGGTGGGACATTTACACAGCCTTTGGGAAAGGCTGGTCGCCCCACCCTAATCTTATTATGCAAATGAACTTTCCCCTTTGCCGATGCCATCTTGTCTGTTCCTTACTGTACACATGGCTGGCAGGCAAGGGAAGATGGAGCTGCCATCTTGAACATGTCTATCCCCTAGTTCCTGCCTGCATTCACCCGTGCAAGCTCCCAGCTTGCCTGTCCATGTCTGGAGCTCAACTTTATGGGCTGCTCTTTTTTAGAAAATGATTTGGGGCTGCTTTTCATTAAAAAGAAAAGCCTAATGGGGGACTCCCATACCCTATCTGCCTAAGTGATTTGTTCTTAACTCCTATATCACCACCTCAGCCTCCCAAGTAGCTGGGACTACAGGTATGTGCCACTGCATCCAGCTACTTTTTGTATCATTTAAAAAATTGGGCCAGGCACAGTGGCTCATGCCTGTAATCCCAGCACTTTGGGAGGCTGAAGCGAGTATATCACTTGAGCTCAGGAGTTCGAGACCAGTCTGGCCAACATGGTGAAACCCTGTCTCTACTAAAAATACAAAATTTAGCCAGTGTGGTGGCACATGCCTATAATCCCAGTTATTCAAGAGGCTGAGGCAGGAGAATCGCTTGAACTCAGGAGGCAGAGGTTGCAGTGAGCCAAGATTGTGCCACTGCACTCCAGCCTGGGTGACACAGTGAGACTCTGTCTCTAAATAAATAAATAAATATTGATTTCTAGTTTTGTTACCTTGCAGTCTGAGAAATAAATCTTATTTCTCTTTTTAGAAATCAAGTTGTCTGTTATGTCCAATATACTGAGAAATAAAAATGATATCCTAAGCCCCAAGCAACTGAACAGACCTCCCCATCCTGGTCAAGGGGACCCCAGAGAAACCTTGAGTGCCAGGCCATGACAGGATGGGAGGTCAGACACGCCTGGTTCTGCCCTCTCCCTCTCTAACTGCCTTGAGGGTTTCTTCCCTGAGGGCTGAACAAAAACCACTGTGGTTCCAACCGGCCCTGACACTGGCCCTCCCTTTCACAGTTCTGACAAAACAACCGATCAGCATTCCTTCCTGATAAGAGACCACCAACCTCAGAGTGCTTGTGGCCAGTCTACAAAGGATGCGCAGGGAGGGTTATTGTGTCCTCTGCTTCGTCTTTTGTCATCAGGTAGCTGAAAACTCCACTCTCAGATCAGGCCAACACTGCCATTTTTTGTACATGCAACAGACTTATGAAGGGACATGAAGCTCAACTTGGCATGTGCATGTTTCTCCTTTCGTGAATATTCACAGCTCCTCCTGTAGCTTATTCAATATGTATATTCAGTCACCCAGCTCAGCATATATTTCTGTTCCCTTTGCCCCTCCCTCGAAGTGTTTGTTTCTGGCTTCCACCTGGAGGCTGTGCTTCCCAGCCTATTGGATTGCCACCCTGCAGGATGCAACACTTTATGAGAAATAAGGCTGTCCTTTCTTCATCATCCTTCAGCTGACAGTATAATCGAGATTCCATATTGAGGATGTTCTATGCATTATTTATAGAAAAGTACATTCTGCAACAGCCACAAGCACCACTCTTTGGGGAGGCAGGAAGTTCAAGCTCAGCTAGTATTGGGGCCCTGCCCCTTGAGAGTTGTGTTGGACTGAGGAAAGTTCAGTGATACCCCATGCACAGGGAGAGGGAAAGTGTGACAGCCCCACTCTCAGCTCAGGCAGGGAGGTCCCCTGAAGTCCTGAGGCATCTGATTCAGCACCAGGCAGAGGGTGGCAGAGTTCACTCTGGAAGACAACCCCAGAACTTGTGGCCCAGCCCCCACTGTCCCACAACCTGCCCCTTCACCCTTGAAATCAAGAACTAGCAAGAAGGCTGGGTGAAGTGCCCCAGCATGGTGGCTCACGCCTGTAATCACAGCACTTTGGAAGGCTGAGGTGGGAGTATCACTTGAGGCTAGAAGTAGGAGACCAGCATGAGCAACATAGCAAGACCCCATCTCTACAAAATTTAAAGAATGTAGCTGTAGTCCCAGCTACAGGCTGCGGTTGTTGTGGGAATCAGGAGACTGGAGAGACAGGTAGGTGGGACATGAGAATTTTATTGAGTGCACTCAGACCCAGTGGATTAACATCCAAAAACTGGGCCCAGAACAAAGACAGCACTTGACTCATATACACACCTTTGAACGGGAGTGGGCTAGTTTGAAACAAGCTTACAGTGGCATGAAAGCAAGGATACAGAGACAGAACATAGGCAGTTAATCAAATTGTGACAGGTGCATAACCCAGGGTTACATGTAATTCTTGCTATGCAGTCCAGATGGCTGTTATCTAGGCTTGCTTAAAAGAGCCTTGCACAGGCTTATCTCATAACCTTCGCTATGGGGCCCAGAAGGCCGCAGCCCAGGCCTGCTCAGGCATGTTGTATAACCTTCACTGTGCTGCTTAGATAAAACAGAATACTTGAAGTTTCTAGTTACAGAAAACAAGAATCTATAAATTCATAAAACTTGCAGAGCAAGGTACAATCACATGGAGGGGGTTGGGGTTCGAGGGGGAACTTTTTCTTATCCTTATGTTGAGGGAGTGCTGGGAGAGTCTCCAGAGCACACTCCTTTGAGCCTCTGCTTCTTTGATGATGTTATCAAGACTTCGTCTGGGTCTGGGCTTTGTCTGTTACTGCCTTTGGGATGAGTCAGCCTAATATAGAAAGCTTATTTTTCTCTTTTTAAAATTTTATTATTCTTTCTTTCCTTAATTTCCTGCCTCACAGTGAGCTATGATCACACCACTGCACTCCAGCCTGGGTGACACAGCAAGGCCCTGTCCAAAAAAAAAAAAAAAAAAAAATCTGTGAAGTGAGAAAGATGAAGGCCCATGGGAGGAAGGGGGTGGGGAGGCCAGAACCTGAGGACCTTCTTTTTAAGTAGGGTGGCCCCAAGCTGGCTTTGCCCGGCTTCCCAGGTTCATGCCCACTGTCACGTGAATGGGCACTCTCTCACTTCCGAAGGTGACCAGGTTTGGATGGTGAGTTTTGTCATCACTCTGCTCTTAGGCCATGGTGTGAAGTCATGACTTTATCAAGTAGAGAGGGCTTAAGTGGAGGAGGGATGGGTGATTTACATTTTATAAAGTGCCCCGGGGGCTGGAGGGAGCTAGAGTGAAGGCCTGGGTATGAGCGACTCCAGGGGGACAGGGAGGGGAGTACCCGTCACTTAGGACCTCAGTCTGAAGTTCCCTGGCAGGTGTCCCCTTCACCTGCCCTTGAGCCTGGGGGCCTCCCTGCCTGGAGAGGCCCCAGCAACCCAGCCAAGCCTGACCTTGAGCAAGGCCTGGAGGCTGGATCTGAAATGGAGAAATTCCAGCATTTCTCAGGTTGGCCAAGAAGAGATCAGGTTACCTTCTGGTCCAAAGACAGAAAGGGCTCCCTTTGGAAGGGGGAGCAGAGCCACAGCCTGATCTAGGGACCCAGCTGGTGGTCAGGCCCAGTATGGGTGACAGGCCAAGCAGGCCTGGCAGTTCCCTGGGCCACCCTTGAGCCAGGCCTGGGACCAGGAGCTGGCGGGGCTGACCCGGCACCAGGACCCCCAGGAGCAAAGGCAGGGCCCAGACAAGAGGAGTGCAGGAGGTAAGGGACTTGGAGCGTGCCAGGCCTAGACTCCCGGGATCCCTGTCTCGGTGGCAGTGTGGCAGGCCAGGTCTCACTAACGCAGGCCTCCATTACAACTGTCCCAGCACTGACTGAGTAGCTAGATTAAACATTAAAAGCTGATAGAGCCAGTGCCCTTATACAAAGGCTGGAAAGTAACAAAGAGCCCACCGAGAGTTTTGCCTAGGCCTTCCCTGGGCCTTAAAGCAGGACAAAATAACAAATTAATTCTTATCAGGACCCTTTTAGGGTTAAACGAGTTTTTTTGTGGGTCTGAAGAAGCTCCCCACGCCTCCAGAAACAAGTTTATTGAGGGTCTGAAGGCACTCCCCAAACCTCCTGATTTAGCAGGAGACAAGATAAAGGTAATCCCCCCAGCATCTGGACCCATTTAGATTCAGTAACCTTATTGAGGCTCCAGAGGAAGGTCTTCAGGACTCACAGATGACCGTAAGTTCATCACTAATGTCTTCAGATGCATGCACACTTACACGTAGACATACCGCTTAGAAGGTATGTAAGTTCTGGAAAACTGTAATTTTGAGTTGGTCCGGTGATCATTTCCAGGCCTTTCTCCCTGTAACCAGTTGCAGAAAATAAAAACGCTCTTCCTCCTCAGTTCATCTGCATCTCGTCATTGGGCCCCGAGAAATAGCCGCCCCACTCTCAGTTTGGTCCGAGAACAGCGCGACAGTGGAGTTGGAGCCGCCCCGGGCGGGATTAAGCCGGGTGGAAGCAAGTCCAGGAGACGCCCGCCCCTCCCCCGCGCCACAGGACTCGCCAGCCCCGCCACGCCCTGACCCCTCGTCTCTCCTCCCCTCCCCTCCTCCTCTTTTCTCCTCTCTTGCCCTCCCCCATCCCCTCCCTCCTCTCCCCTCCCTGCCCCTGCCCGGACAGTCCTGGTACGCCGTTCCCTGCGCTCCCAGGCCCCTTCCCCTTCCTCCTTCCCCTCCCCTTCCTCCCTCTCCTCCCCTCCCCGCCGCGTCCCGGACACTGCGGGCTGGTCCCGCGCCCCGCCAGGGCTGCCGGGGTGTGCTGCTGGGGAGCGTGACGTGGGCAGGACCACGCTGGACACGCAGTTCGCGTGCGGCCGCTCCCCGAGCAGTGCGCGGCGTGGGCGGAGGAGCGGCTCCGCGAGGAGATCGAGGCAAACGCGGCGCCCGCGCTGCTGGAAATCGTGGACGCGGCGGACGCCGAGCACCTGGTCACGCTCCAGGACCTGGACATCCGCCACGGCGACGGCTTCGCGGTGCTCCGGGGCGTGTGCAGCGAGGCCTCGTTCCCGGCCGTGAGGCCGCTGCGCGAGCGCCTGCGCGGGCTGTGGGAACCCGGGGCCGTCCTGCTGGTGCTGGTGGGCACCCAGGCCGACCGGGACTCCGAGCGCCAGGTGCTGATGGCGCGGGCCCGCGAGGGGCCCTGCCCGTTCCCGGGGGTCACGGCCAAGATCCAGCGGAGGATGGACCAGGTGTTCACGCTGGCGGTGCGCGAGACGGAGGCCCTGATCCCGCCCGAGGTGCCTCCCCGCCAATGCCCAGCACACGAGGCTGTCGGAAAGGTTCATTGGCTAATTTGCCACAGTTGGTTTTCAATATGTCCATCCCTTTTCCTGATTTCCAGAGCTCAGTATTTCTACCCAGTGCCTATTTATTTATTTATTTATTTATTGAGACAGAGTCTCACTCTGTCGCCCAGGCTGGAGTGCAGTGGCGCAGTGTCGGCTCACTGCAACCTCTGCCTCCCGGGTTCAAGCGATTCTCCTGCCTCAGCCTCCCGAGTAGCTGGGATTACAGGCGCCTGCTACCAGACGCAGCTGATTTTTGTATTTTAAGTACAGCTGGGGTTTCATCATGTTGGTCAGGCTGGTCTCAAACTCCTGACCTCGTGATCCGCCCGCCTCAGCCTCCTAAAGTGCTGGGATTACAGGCGTGAGCCACCTTGTCCGGCCCTGAAGCTTATAGTTTTTAATATTCTATAATTCCTGAAGTTTTCATAGTCTGCCTCTTTGCTTCTTATTTTTCAGGAAACAAGTTAGTAACTGAGGGGAAAAGCACCACGATCTCCCGGTGCGTTGTTTGCAAGAGTGCTTCAGCAGTCAGTGTCTTTCTTGTTGTTTGCCAGATAAAGATATTTTGTCTGCATATCTGCATAGCTTAACAGTAACTCAGGTGCTGACGTAGAAGTAAAGCATGTGAGAATGCTTTTGGATCATACACTTTTCACATAATAACAAATTTTTCTCGAATTGGTTTAACAGTATCGTTTTATGCTTTTTAAAATGTATCTTTGATATGAGTTGTTTGTCATTTGCACAAGTTAATGATTTTACCTCCCCAGCTGCAACATATTTTTCAAATTTAGGAACCCAACTTAACCATCTGAACATCCTTCTTAAAAAAAATAAAGAAGAAAGCTCACAACTATGCCTGTGATCTGAACTAGTTGATTTTGTTAACGGAATGTTATTTATATAGTGATGGTTAGAGAAGGCTCTGGTCATTTCTATTTATATTGTATGTGATGTTTTACTAGAAAAACAAGTTTTACCTTAACATGAAAAAAATACATTTTAGAACCTAATGGCAAGTTCACCTCCGAAGAGGGCTAGGCGGGGACTGTACCCTGGGTTTTATCTCTTCCTCTCCCTCCTAGGACAGGTTGGGGGTTGGGATGCTTACTTTTGAAGCTGGAAACCCGGCTGACTCACTCCCCTCCTGACCTCTGTCTTCTGGGGTCCCTCCTGGCAAAGCCCTTATTCATCTCTCTAAGGGGGCATATCAAATGTGGGGAGGGGCCAGTGATGGGTGGGGAGCATCTTCCTGGTCTCAGCTGTCGTTGTCCAGAGCTGCCCCCTCCTCCTGCTGGAGCAGAGGAGAAACACAAGTTTGTTCACTGTCTGGATTGGGCTGTGCAGAGAAAGCCCAGGGAGAAGAAACAGCCTCCTGTTCCCACCACCACGACAGCAGAGAGCTGGGCCCCCATGACTGCAAGCTGGGAATTCCCTTAGCCCCCACCCCAACAGTCCTGCCCTTCTGACTCTCCACCTGCTTGTGCTGAGGAGGGCCTCTGGAGAGGTTTTGTGTCCTTGGATCCCAGTCCTTCTGGATATCAGGCCTCGATCCAAGAAAACATTCCCAAATAGCCGTTTCTGCCCTTAGATTCCCTGGAGGAACTCAGACACTCCCACTCAGATTCAAGTTTTCAGCTTAGAGTGCAGTGGGTTTCTGGCTGACTAGTCAATGTCAGGGATGGCCAGAGCCACATGGCCAGCTCCTGTGACCTTGCTTTCTGAGTGAGCATGGACGCACACAGGCACACATGAAATTAAAGCCCTACATGCTGGATTGTCCTGCTTTTCCTGTGTGTCAAATTTCTAGACTTTGTATGTCACACACACATTGTCTCAGTCCCTCCAGAGGCAAGGAAGGCTGCAAGAACTCCAAAGTGAACTTGCCAGCATCGAATACAACCACCTGTCAGAGCGCTCGGGGACCTGGAGGCCCCATTCACAGCCGATGGACCTGTGGAGCAGGGGCAGGCTGACTTGTGAGCTTGCGGGTGGGCAAACCTCAAGCCCTCCGCTGTTCTCTCCTCCTGGCTGTGGGCTCTGTCTGCTCAGCACCACCAAGGAACGCCAGGCCAGGAATGAAAGTCAAGGAGGCTGCGACATTAATGACCCACAGTACGGGTGAGTCTTCTGCCTCTCCCAGTTATCCACAGACTTCTGACCAATGTATTTGGTTTCTATTTGTATTATTCAGATTGCTGCTGATACTGAGAACTCATGGGGAGGGTTTAAAATTACATGTGTTTTCCTTTTCTGTGAAATGTATGCTCCTTTTGCCAGCTTTGAAAATTTTGTGAACCACATTAACAACCCGTCTATAAAATAACGGGGGAAAAGGAGAGAAAGAAGATAGTTTCTATGTGTACACATCCACATAACAAGGAAGAAACTGCTCATGGCTGCTACAGTCCTTGTCTCTGAAACTGATCATGAGGCCATGGTTGATTTTTATCACTTATTTATTTATTTATTTTTGAGACAGAGTCTCGCTGTGTCACCCAGGCTGGAAGGGTGCGATCTCGACTCCCTGCAATCTCCACCTCCAGGGTTCAAGCGATTCTGGTGCCTCAGCCTCCCAAGTAGCTGGGATTACAGGCGTGCGTCACCATGCCTGGCTAATTTTTGTATTTTTAGTAGAGACGGGGTTTTGCCATGTTGGCCAGGCTGGTCTTGAACTCCTCCTGACCTCAAGTGATCTACCTACCTTGACCTCCCAAAGTGCTGGGATTACAGGCATGAGCCACCACACCCGGCCCATAGTTGATTTTTTTTTTTTTTTTTTTTTTTGAGACGGAATCTCGTTCTGTCACCCAGGCTGGAGTGCAGTGGCACCATCTCAGCTCACTGCAAGCTCCGCCTCCCAGGTTCACGCCATTCTCCTGCCTCAGCCTCCCCAGTAGCTGGGACTACAGGCGCCCACCACCATGCCCGGCTAATTTTTTTGTATTTTTAGTAGAGACAGGGTTTCACTGTGTTAGCCAGGATGGTCTCGATCTCCTGACCTGGTGTTCCACCCTCCTCAGCCTCCCAAAGTGCTGGAATTACAGGCGTGAGCCACCGTGCCCGGCCCATAGTTGATTATTAAATTGTGTAGTATAAGCACACATAACATAAAACTTACCATCTTAATCTTTTTTTTTTTTTTTGAGATGGAGCCTGGCTCTGTCGTCCAGGCTGGAGTGCAATGGCACGAGCTCGGCTCACTGCAACCTCTGCCTCCCGGGTTCAAGCAATTCTCCCTGCCTCGGTCTCCCGAGTAGCTGGGATTACAGGCATCCGCCACCACGCCCAGCTAATTTTTGTATTTTTTAGTACAGATGGGGTTTCGCCATGTTGGCCAGGCTGGTCTTGAACTCCTGACTTCAGGTGATCCGCCCGCTTCAGCCTCCCAAAGTGCTGGGATTACAGGTGTGAGCCACCGCACCCGGCCACATTGTTCTTTTTCAAGGTTACTTTGGCTACTCGAGGTCCCTTGAGAGTCCATATGAATTCTAGGATGGATTTTCTATTTCTGCAAAAACTGCCATTGGGCTCTTTGATAAGAATTGCCTTGAATCTGTAGATTGCTTTGGGTAGTATTGACATCTTAACAATATTAAGCATTTCAATCCATGAACATGAGATGTCTTTCATTTATTTGTGTCTTCCTTAGTTTCTTTCAGCAATGTTTCATAATTTCCAGTGTACAAGTCTTTTGCCTCTTGGTTAAGTTTATTCTTAGGTATTTTATTATATTCAATGCTATTGTAAATAGAATTGTTTTCTTAATTTCCTTTTCAGGTTGTTCATTGTTAGTGTATAGAAATGCAACTGATCAGCTGGGCACGGTGGCTCACGCCTGTAATCCCAGCACTTTGGGAGGCCGAGGTGGGTGGATCACCTGAGGTCAGGAGTTTGAGACCAGGCTGGCCAACATGGTGAAACCCCATCTCTACTAAAAATACAAAAATTAGCCAGGTGTGGTGGTGGACGCCTGTAATCCCAGCTACTCCAGAGGCTGAGGCAGGAGAATTGCTTGAACCCAGGAGACAGAGGTTGCAGTGAGCTGAGATTGCCCCACTGCACTCCAGCCTGGGTGACAGAGCGAGACTCCATCTCAAAAAAAAAAAAAATCTGATTTTTGTGTGTTGATTTTTGTATTCTGCAACTTTTCTGGATTTATTAGTTCTAACAGGATTTTTTGGTAGCGTCTTTAGGGTTTTGTACATATAAGATCATGTCATCTGTGAACAGAGATAATTTTACTCCTTCCTTTCTGATGTGGACACTTTTTATTTCTTTTTCTTGACTAATTGCTGTGGTTATTATTTTCAATATATGTTGAACACAAGTGGCAAGAATGACTGAGGATCTTTGTCCTGATCCTAAGCTTAGAAGAAAAACTTTGTCTTTCACCATTGAGTATGATTGTTAACTATGGACTTTTCGTATATGGACTCCATTATGTTGAGGTAGTTGCATTCTAGTCCTATCTTGTTAAATGTTTTTATCATGAAAGGGTATGATTTTTTTTCAAATGCATTTTTCTGCATCAATTGAGATGATCATGTTTCTTTTCCCTTCATTCAGGTAATGTGGGGCATTATATTGGTTGATTTTCTTATGTCGAACCATTCTTGCATTTCAGGAATAATCCCACTTGGTCATGATGTATGATCCTTTGAATGGGCCGTTGAATTGTTTGCTAGTATTTGATTTTTAGATTTTTCTTCTTTCATTCCATGTTTTCTTTGCCCTCAGCCAGGCCCTGGTTGGTTGGGGTTCTTCATCTAGTAGTATGACCCAAATGTTCATTCATGAAAGATCTGAACTTTCAGTAGGGTTCTGCCATTTTTTTGTTGGCGTTGTTTGTGATAACCTTTTACTGTTGGAATGGGAGTACCAGGAGGTGCCTCAAACAACGTACTGAGTCACTAAGTATAATAGTGAAACAAACCAATTCCCCTCTATCACCCCTTAACTCCCAAACTCCTATATTCTGGCTGTGGGAAAAACACCACCATATATTAATCACTGAATAAAGATTATATCAAAACCGTAAGATGGGGGCCTATCCATTCAGGGTGGTATCTCCCAACTGGTGCTAAGATAAGTCTTTGGTAGCCCATCCAACCATTCTATCAGGCCAGCTGCTCTTGGGTGATTGAACAAAAAGCAGGATCATTGAATTCCATGGCCATGAGCCTAATGCTTCACCTCTTTTGCAATGAAATCAATTCCTTGATCAAAGAAATGTTTTATGGGATATGATGAAGGTCCACAGGGCATTCTATAATTCTGTGGATGGTGGTGCTGGCAAAAGCATTACACGTAGAGACAGCAAATCTATATCCAGAATAAATTCCAGTGAGGACAAATTGCTTTTCCTTCCGTGATGGAAGGGATCTAATGTAATCAAGTTTCCACCAAGTGGCTAATTATTCTCCCAGGAAATGATGCCATATATCAGGGTCTCTGTTATTGGTTAAATATTCAACAGTGAAGATAACCAGGTCGGACTTGTGAGGCAAAGTCCATGCTGAGGCCATGCACAGCCTCTTCCCTGCCTCCTTGGTCACTCTGTACACAGGCCCATTGAGCAACCATTCTGATGGCTGGGGAAAGAGGCTGACTGCAATGCACAGAAAAGACTGTCTTGCCCACCTGATTATTGACAGCCCCCTCTAGAAGATGCTTTTGGATGAGCATTCACATGTGACAAGGTACCCTCAAAGTCTGCCTATCCAGAGAGGTCCGTCCTTTCCCAGACCACCTCAATACCAATCTCCCAACCTGATTTCTTCCAAGTCTCTGATGATCTAGCCAAACCATTAGCCTCTATACTAGTCCATAAGCCAGTATAGAGCCATACTTCTGGCCATCTTCCAGTCCAGGCAAAGTATAACAAACAAATGCGGCACATGAAGTAATGACATGACAACTGAGAGGACTCTCCTTTACCACTGTTCTTTTTTTTTTTTTTTTTTTTTTTGAGACAGAGTCTCGCTCTGTTGCCCAGGCTGGAGTACAGTGGTGCAGTCTCAGCTCACTGCAACCTCTGCCTCCCGGGTTCAAGTGATTCTCCTGCCTCAGCCTCCCGAGTAGTTGGGACTATAGGCACATGCCACTATGCCTAGCTAATTTTTGTATTTTTAGTAGAGACGGGGTTTCACCTTGTTGGCCAGGCTGGTTTCGAACTCCTGACCTCAGGTGATCTGCCTGCCTCGGCCTCACAAAGTGCTGGGATTACAGGCATGCGCCACTGCACCTGGCCACCACTCTTCTTTAGGGCCACCCTGAGTGGGACTGGAGTGCTGTAGCCACCTACTTCTGGACCATCTCTAAGCCAGGATGAGATTTTCCCCCCTCAATCAACTGGTCATAAAGACCTCCCTGTGTGGACATCAGTTTGGGTTGTAGGAGAGGAGACAGTGCAGAGTGGGGAGGGGGAGACGCTGTCTATCAGTGCATTTTGACAACTGCATTCGCTACATGGTCTACCGTCAAAGCCGCTGAAGACAAGAGTTTGGTCACATGTTTTCCTGTGGCAGTGCAGGGCTCACCAGCCTCCCAGCCTGCAGAGATAGCTTCTTGCTGCCGCTGACATCTGGGAGCTGGCCTGGCATCTACATTTAGGCCACGGTGTTCTCCTGCTGAACATAAATAATTTCACAGAACGTCAACATCAGACATGGCCACTCTGTGACTATGACGGATGAAGATAAAATAAGAGCATTCTGCAGTCATGTCGAAACATAGATGGAAATACCAACACTGTCCAAACCACGTCAAATCATCGAACCTTGGCCAACAGGAGTGATGACTGCTTCTTTACCAATGACAACTTCAGCTTCTCTCTAGTCTGCCTTCCTTCCAGATAAGATTTATTATGATAGGCCGGGTGCAGTGGCTCACACTTGTAATCCCAGCACTTTGGGAGGCCGAGACGGGCAGATCGTCTGAGGTCAGGAGTTTGAGACCAGCCTGGCCAATGTGGTGATACCCCGCCATTTCTACTAAAAATACAAAAATTAGCCAGATGTGGTGGTGCATGCCTGTAATCCCAGCTACTCAGGAGGCTGAGGCAGGAGAATCTCTTGAACCCAGGGGGCAGAGGTTGCAGTGAGCTGAGATCACACCATTGCACTCCAGCCTGGGCGACAAGAGTGAAACTCCGTCTCAAAAAAATAAAAATAAAAAAAGATATATTATGATAGTCAATCATGTAACCTCCTGCTTCCTAAGCATCTAATCCAGTGCAATCCCTGTTTCCTCGAGCTTCCTTCACTTCATGCAAGCCCAAAGCGAAGCCCTTTATTTTTTTAATTTTTGTGGGTACATAGTAGGTGTATGTATTTATGGGGCATATGGGATCTTTTGATACGGGCATACACTGTATAATAATATCAGGTAAGTAGGGTGCCCGTCACCTCAGCATTTATCCTTTGTTTGTGGGCCCCCCAAGGTGCCTGCGGTTCCCTCATGTTGTTGCAAATGACAGGATCTCATTCTTTTCTGTGCCTGAATCGTGCTCCATTGTGTACATGCACCACATTTTCTTGATCCATTCATCTGCTGATGGACGCTTAGGTTGCCTCCAAATCTTGGCTATTGTGAACAGTGCTGCAGTAAACGTGGGCGTGCAGACATCTCTTTGATACACTGACTCCTTGCTTTTGGGTATATACCCAGCCGTGGGACTGCTGTATCATATGGTAGCTCCATTTTTAGTTTTTTGGGGAACCTCCGAACTGTTCTCCATAGTGGCTGTACTAATTTACGTTCCCACCCACGGTGTACGAGGATTCCCTTTTCTCCCCATCCTCGCCAGCATTCGTTATTGCCTGTCTTTTGAATAGAAGCCATTTTAACTGGGGTGAGATGATATCTCACTGTCATTTTGACCAAATCTAAGCCCTTTCTAACACCTTTTTACTGAGACACCCTGTGGCTCCCTGTGGTGGGTGCTCTCCCTCCCTGTGATGAGCGGTGAATTGATCTTGTTCAACCTGGAGGTCTGTAGCTGCAGGTGCTGGCCCGGCCCCAGCCTGCTGCCTGGTGCTGAGGCCGCTTCTTTCTGGAAGCCAATGCTGTGGCAGTCGGGGTGCAGGAGGCAGAACCCCTGCAGGGAATTTAAGCAGGGCCGATTTACCAGATGTAACCGGGACTTACAAAGCTACCGGAAGGGTTGGAGGAGTCGGTTCTGGGCCTAGCCTCTGAGCATAACTTCCAGAATCAATTCGTTAAGCCGGTCCCAACTCCAGAGGGGACTGTAGGCAATGTGGGGGGACTGCATGCAAAGGATACAGACATATATATACACACATATGTACACTCACACATCTATGGGGTAAAGTGGCAGCCATGACAGTCCCTTCACCTGACTTGTCTAGAAATGCTCAGCTTCTGAGGCAGTGACCCTAGAGGGACAGAGTGCATCTGGGAGAAATGTGGAAGGGTCAGCTGAGTCCAGTGGGCTCACATGGAGAAAGATCAGGATCTGTGACTTCAGGGAAACGGGACGGGGTTCGGGGGCTAGGGGAGGTGGGCCTGGGTCCCGTGAGCACAGGTGGGTCCAGGGGTGGGTGTGGGAGGAGGCGGGCTGTGGAGGAATAGCTCACGCAGGGAGTTGGTGCATTTTCCCCAGTCGAGGTCTGACATACTGAGAGGCCGAGACCCAGGCCAGCAAGGGAGCCCGGGACACTGCCGGTCCCATGGGAATCCCCAGCCTTTTCCCTGACAGCCCAATGCCCTGTCAGAGAACAGCAGGGCAGGGGACAGCTTTGGGACAAAGATTCACTATTGAGGCGTGGATGTGTCTCCACCCCCCACCCCCTCCCCTCTCCGACAGCAGCAGGCCTGGAGCCTCCAGGGCCACTTGGGAAGGCAGGACTACAGGGAGAGGTGAGAAAATCAGCTTTTTTCCCCTCACACACCCCTTCTGGCACTGAAGAAGGTCGTCACTGGAGGTGTAAGGTGACACCACCATGCAGGAGAGGGGAGGCCTTCACCCAGGTTGCAGTGCAAAGGTGCAATCACAGCTCGCTGAAGCCTCAAGCTCCTGGGCTCAGGCGGTCCTCCCACCTCAGCCTCCTGAGTAGATGGGACTACAGGTGCTCACTACCGTGCCTGGGTAATTTTTTTTTTTTTTTTTAGTTTTTGTAAAGGTGGGAGTCTTGCTGTCTTAGCCAAGCTGGTCTCGAACTCCTGGCCTCAAGTGATTCTCCAGCCTCAGCCTCCCAAAATGCTGGGATTATAGGTGTGAGCCACTGCGACTGGCCTGCGCTGCACTTTTGAAAGCTCCAAAGGCTTACAGGTGTAAACGTTGAGGTTTGTGGTAGACAGTCTGCAGAAATGACCACCAGCTATTCCCCCTGCACACAAAAGCTGCAGCTCCCATAAGGAGGTGAGTCTATTTCCCGTCCCTTAGAATCGGACCTGGCTGTTGACTTCCTTTGAATAATAGAATGCGATATTGTGTCAGCTCCAAGCCAAACCTTTAAAAGGACTGACAGTCTCCTCTTTTGTCCTCTTGCAACTCATCCACCACATAAATAAGCTCAAAGCTAGACTCCTGGATGACAAGAGAGGATGCAAAGAGAAAGAGAGAGTTTCCTAGCCCCAAGCTAATCCAGCCATCCCTGATGAGGCAGCAGCTGTGTGAGTGAACGCATGGATATTCCATCCCCAGCTGGGCTCCTAGCTGAATGTAGGGCATGTGTGGCCTAAGCCAAAACCATGTAAACCAGAAGAACCATCCAGCTAAGCCCAGCCAACACTCAGATTCATAAGAAATAATAAATCTTTTAAATTTAAGACTGCTAAGCCTTGGGTTCATTATATAGCAACAAATAATCAATACAGAGTCCACAGCTCACCAAGATTAGGAATCCAGGTAAAACATCTGCTGCTGTGGGCTGGGATCTCAAAAGTTGCATCCTGGAAGTGAAGGTAAACTAAGTAAATCAGCCTTCAGAGAGACTGAAACCCACTTTTAGGGAGATTTTTCAGGAAAATCTCAAGCCCTGAAATTAGATTAAGGTGCTCTTTTATTGTTAGTGCTTCCAGGCATCTGGATGAAACCATTGAAATTCTTCTGGAGGAAGAGAATAACCCAAGTTTCAAGTTATTTCTACAGAGGATTTATCTAGTATATAATAAAAGATAAACAGGTCCATACTGAATAAGATTTAAAAAAAAAAAAAATCCAAGCAACAACAAAACCAAACAGATAACAACAGACCCATAGAGACCCAAGATACTGGTTTAATAAGACACAACAGCTTTAAAACTGCTATGCTTAATTGATAAATGAACTGTAGATTAAACACAGGTGAAGAGAAATATCAATGAACTGAGAGATATAAGATACATTATTCAGAACAGACCAAAAAAGTAATAAATAGAGAAGAGGGAGAAGAGACAAAGGTAGGGGAGTCTCACATAGGTGGAATTTGAGGCCCCCAGAAGGACAGAAACTGGACCAGAGCAAAACATTTGAAAAGCAAATGGCTGCAAATTTTTAAAAATGAATGTGGCCGGGCACACTGGCTCACGCTTATAATCCCAGCACTTTGGGAGGCTGAGGTGGGTGGATCACTTGAGGTCGGGAGTTCAAGACCAGCCTTGCCAACCTGGTGAATCCCCACCTCTACTAAAAATACAAAAATTAGCCAGGTATGGTGGCGCGTGCCTGTAATCCCAGCTACTCGGGAGGCTGAAGCAGGAGAATCACTTGAACCCGGGAGCTGGAGGCTACAGTGAGCCGAGATGGCACCACTGCACTCCAGCCTAGGTGACAGGGCCAGACTCTAATAAATAAATAAATAAAAAATAAGGGCCAAATAAAGACACTTGCAGCACAAAGGAGTTTGTCACTAACATTTACACTAAAGCAAATTGTAAAGGAGGTGTTTTAAGCAAAAGGAATCAGGAACTGACATGGATTTCTGTCTGTCTTGCTGGGGCTGCAGCTGCTCCTGAATTTCCCTTCTTCATTACCTGCCCCCGTGGACATTCCACTCCAGCATCAGAGACGGAGACTCTTGCTTGAGTTCCACTTAGTAGACACGACCCGGACAAAGCAGTTGCAGTGTCTCAGGGAGCCCACTGGACGCAGCTGACCCTTCCACATTTCTCCCAGATGCAGTCTCTGTCCCTCTAGGGTCACTGCCTCAGGAGCTGAGCATTTCTAGACAAGTCAGGTGAAGAGACAGTCATGGCTGCCACTTTACACCATAGATGCGTGAGTGTACATATGTGTGTATATATATGTCCGTATCCTCAACGAGGGCCAAAGTATCCAGTTTTTTTCTTTTTTTTTTTTTTTGAGACAGGGACCTTGCTTTCTCACCCAGGCTAGAGTGCAGTGGCACAATTATGGCTCACAAGAGCCCCAACCTCCTGGGCTTAAGCGATCCTCCTGTCTCAGCCTCCCTAGTAACTGGGACTACAGGTGTGCACCAGCAGGAGCTGATTGTGTGTGTGTGTGTGTGTGTGTGTGTGTGTGTGTGTGTGTGTGTGTGTGTAGAGGTAGGGTCTCACTATGTTCTCCAGGCTGGTCTCAAACTCCTGGGTTCAAACAATCCTCCCTCCTTGGCTTCCCCAAGTGCTGGGATTACAGGCCTGAGCCACTTCACCCAACTACAGTATCCAGTGTCTAAGTTTGTTCTTAAATGAGCTATGTGCTGGAGGGAAAAAGAGGAGCTTTGTCTACTCTAAACCAGATCGTAGAGGTCTTTTGTTTGTCGCCCTTGGGGTTTTTCACCAAGATGCCCTGGGCCTTTGGGATGAGCCGGATGGGCCTTTCCCGGACAGGCGGAGGAAGAAAGTTCAAGGTGAGCAGTGGGAGAAACTGCAGGCCCCCTGCTCCCAGGGGAAGGGGAGGTGGCCTTCAGGGGAGAGTCCATATGGGCGCCCAGAAACTGGAAACTGCGTCCCTGAAGGCTGCAAGCCCTCTGGACAGACAGGGTCACCCCCGAGTGAAGAGGGGCTTTGAAGACACATGGAAAAGGTGGTGAGTGGGGACTGAGTTGAAACCCAGGCCCTAAGTGGAAGAGCCTGCAGTTCCTAGGGTGCCTTCCTTCTTCCAGTCAATTCATCAATCAATCCACACCAAGTCAGTGCCTACCCCAGGGCAGACACTTGCGAGGCCCGAGGTCAGGAGGCCACAGGAGCCCCTTCCCCAACCTGAAGCCCTGGAGATGGCCTGGCTGGAGGGGACGACGGCCCGCAGCGGGGACCCGACTCACTTCTTCGTCCCCACCTGCCCTGGGGTCCGAAGGGAGCCGCGTGGGAAGCGGGGACGGGGAGCGTGTGGAGGGACCCCCGCGCTCCCGGGCCGACCCTCTGCGGCCTCTGCTCTGCGCAGTCCGTCCTCTTCTCCCGACCTGGCGTGCGTCTCCTGTTCCCCGGCCCCCCATCCCATGGGACCGTCCTTCCTAACGGCACTTCACCCCGCCCGGCCCACGAGGTGGTCCCGGGCCGGTGACAAGATCTGGACGTGGCGACTCCGGGAAGGGGCGACCGGGCGCGGAGAGCCCCTGGGACCCAGGCCTCAGGGACGCATCGGGGTCGGAGCTGGGCCCGGGGGCGGGGCTGGGGTGGGGAGGCTGAGGTTCCTTCGCCCCTTCCCTCCCCTCGCCCCCCGCAGCCTCGCGGCGCGTTTCCTGCCCCGCCCGCCAGGAGGGAGTGGCCCCCGCCAAGTCCCGCGCGTCTCTGCCAAGACCCCGTGCGGGTCCGTGCCGGTCGCGCTATCCAGGCGCCCGCCCAGGCTTGGGGAGCTCTGCGCGCGGGAGCCGGCGACTCCTCGGGGCACCAGGGCGTGGCGAGGGCGTCGGCCTCGGCGGGGAGGCCTTGGCTGGGCCGTCGGGGTGGCGCCGTGCCCTGGAGGTCGTGGCTGGAAGCGAGGCCGCGGGGGTCCAGGAGCGCTCATCGGGGCGCCAGATGCAGCCTGCGGGACGTCCAGTGCCCGCGCAGGGGCCGGGCGAGGCCGTGGCCTCCAGGCAACGCGCAGCCGCGTTGGCGCGAGTTTTAAATCGGTGCCTTCCCAGCTTTGCAAGTTCTTATCAATCGTTACATGCAAGAGGTAGTTTTTAAAAAATGGTTCCCCAGCTTTATTGCGGTGTAATTGATGGATATAAATTGTATTTATTAAGGGTGTACAGCTGGACGATGGGATGGAGCACACAGGGTGGAGGGGTTACCACAGTCCTGTTTCCGTCGTGGTTTTACTTAAATTCAGCGTTACCTATGTGGTGTCCCTGGACACTCCCAGCAGCGAGAGTCCTGGTGGATGGCATCTCTTTCCCTTCTAACCATGGCCGGGGCCCTGGGTGACGTCCCTTCTAACCATGGCCGGGGCCCTGGGTGACGTCCCTTCTAACTAGGTCCGGGGCCCTGGGTGATGTCCCTTCTAACTAGGTCCGGGGCCCTGGGTGATGTCCCTTCTGACCACGGACGGGGGCCTGGGTGATGTCTCTTCTAACCATGGCCAGGGGCCTGGGCGATGTCCCTTTGGGCTTCGTTTGCATTTCCCTGCTGACTGAAGACGGCTTTTGTGCAGGTCCTATTTTTTTCTGTCTTTCCGTGTGGAAATTGTGAAGACCACCCAAATGAGGACCACGGGCCTCTTAATTCAGGGCCTGTGGAGCAGCGGCCTGGGCCCCTCCCTTGGGTGTGGCAGAGGCCAGCAGGCGGGCAGGTGGGAGGGCTTTAGAAGGGAAACCGGGAGGCTCAGGCAGGCTCCGATAGAGGTGGGGGGCTGGGTGAGGGGCCTCCCAGGTGCTGTGCTTGGGGAACTTGGTCTGCTTTCCTGGTTTGTGTAATTTGGTCCCACCGAGGCAGGCCACAGACTGGGGGGGTGTCATCCTTGCCCAAGCCCTGACCACCCCGCAGTAGCAGCTGGAAGGGTGTGCTGGGAGACTCCGGTCTCCAGCTCTGGCTGTTGTCCCTTTCTAGACTCAGCCTCTCCTTTGTGTCTCTAGAGGCGGGAATTTTTGCTATTTTTCCATGTGTTTCATTGAGCCACAGTCACCTGTTTTGACATTGTCCCTGAATGTGACCAGCAGAGCCTTGGAGTGAATTCTGGCTCCCTCTAACCTGCCCTCCTGAGTCTCCGGGCACCGCCCCGGCTTCTGGGCAACGCAGCAGCCCCAGCTCCTTTGTGACTTTCCCCCAAGACCGTGCAGCGGGAAGGGTCTTCGGAAACCAGCCACTGCAGGCGGCTGTGCTTGGCATACCCGAGGGCTTGAGGCTTCTAGGCCATGCAGTGGACAGAGTTGGAAAGTACAGACTTGTTTTGGTATGTCAGTGTTAGGTTTTCATTAGGAATGGCATTATAAACTTTTTTTTTAATATGTAGAGGCAGGCCAGGTGCAGTGGCTCAGGCCTGTAACTTCAGCACATTGGGAGCCTGAGGCAGGAGGATAGATTGAGCCCAGGAGTCTGAGACCAGCCTGAGCAACATAGAGAGACCCCGTCTCTGCAAAAAATAAACTTAGCCCAGTGTGGTGATGCATGCCTGTAGTCCCAGCTACTTGGGAGGCTGAGGTGGGGCAGGAGGGATGTGGGGGAATCCCTTGAGCCTAGGAGGTTGAGTGTCAAGGCCACAGTGAGTTGTGACCACTGCACTTCAGCCTGGGCCACAGGAGGAGTCCCTGTGTCCAAAAGAAAAAGAAAAGAAAAGAAAAGAAAAGAAATGGGGTTCTTGCTATGTTACCCAGGCTGGGCTGGAGGAATCCTCCCACCTCGGACTCCCAAAGTGCTGGGACTATAGGTGTGATCCTCGCCTGACCGAAATCTAACATTTTTACTTCTTTCATAGTTCTATTACCTTATTTGCTGACAACTTCGAGTCGTAGTATTTTTGTCTATCTTATATCCCTGAGTTTCAGATTTGTGTCAAAATTATTAAATCAACTCTGAAATGACCTTTATAATTTGCAGTTCTTTGTGCCTTGGAATATATCTAAGAATGGTTAGAACAGCAAATGTTATAGACAGGTAAATAGAACAACAGAAGAGGGTAGATAGAAGATGCCACCACTGGTCCCGTTATTTCCCACAGTATTAGAGCTCCTTGCAAAAACTGTGGTGTAGGGATTGAAGCGGGAGGGAAAAAAAATCCCATTTTTTTGGAAGATAATCTTACAGACCGAAAAAACAAAACCCACCGGACAAACCTTTAGAGAGAACAGTTCATCTTTTTCCTTTACTAGGCTGAGCAGCAGCTTGCCCCTGCCAATCTAGAAACTTCCATCCTTCAAGAATGGGAAATCTCAGGCTGGGCCCGGTGGCTCATGCCTGTAATCCAAACACTTTGGGAGGCCGAGGTGGGTGGATTGCCTGAGCTCAGGAGTTTAAGACCAGTCGGGGCAACATGGTGAAACCCCGTCTCTACTAAAAATACAAAAAAAAAAAAATTAGCCTAGCTTGGTGGTGCATGCCTGTAATCCCAGCTACTTGGAAGCCTGAGGCATGAGAATCGCTTGAACCCGGGAGGTGGAGGGAGACTTCAGTGAGCTGAGATCACGCCACTGCATTCCAGCCTGGGTGGCAGAGCGAGACTCTGCCTCAAAAAAAAAAAATTAGCTGGGCGTGGTGGCACATGCCTGTAATCCCAGCTACTCGGGAGGCTAAGGCAGGAGAATTGCTTGAACTCGGGAGGCGGAAGTTGCAGGAAGGAAGTGCAATGAGACGAGATTATGCCATTGCACTCCAGCCTGGGCAACAAGAGCGAAACTCTATCTCAAAAAAAAAAAAAAGAAGAAGAAAAGAAAAGAAATCTCTCCAGATGCATTTGTTCCTAGTAGTCTGCATCCATTTCCTTCAGGAGACAAGGTGGTTGATTGAAACACAGAGGACTCCGTGCCCTCAGAGCTGAACCCGGGAATGGCACCACGCTCGGAGCGGTGATCTGGGCACCTGTGCTCCAGCCCGTAGCAGTGATGAGCAACAGAGGAGGGACCAGTTGCCCACCCAGGATCCACCTCCACCTGCAGTGCTTGCACCCAAACCACAGGGGCCCCCGCTGTCTGGGATGCCCCCACCCTCCAGGCTGCGGCTCCAGACTGCAGAGGAGAGCCCGGCCAGGCTCCCGGGAGAACCTCGGGCCGCATCTCCACACAGGACACAAAGTCTTTGTCCCTCCATCCTCAGAGCAAGGGGGACAGCTGGTTTACTCTCCACGAGCTTAGTTAGGAGTTAAGCAGATTTCATGAAGGCACCGTGATAATATTACCAATGCTCATGGCTTGGGGTAATTGTGTCAAGGCCAATTTAACAGTATTTGCCGCAGAATCATCCTTAACTTTCAGGCTGTGAATTGGCTGTTGATCTACATAACAATCTGAGAACTTGGTGAGGTGTTTTGGGATTCTGATGGGCCTGTCGGAACACAGAACCATTTTTGAAATATTTTATTTTATCCAGTTTCTACAAGTAGAACTTTTAAACCATGGATTTAAGATTAAGAAGAGGCTGACTGCAAGCTCATAACAAATAGAACATCGAGGCTGGGCAGGGTGGCTCACATCCATAATCCCAGCACTTTGGGAGGCAGAGGCGGGAAGATTCCTCGAGTCCAGGAGTTCGAGAGCAGCCTGGGCAACATGGCGAAACCCCAGCTCTACCAAAAAAAAAAAAAGGAAAAATTAGCCAGGCGTGGTGGAGCTGCAGTGGGAGGATCACTTGAGCCCAGGAGGCAGAAGATACAGGGAGCCAAGATGGCACCACTGCACTCCAGCCCTGGGGACAGAGTAAGACCCTGTCTCCAAAACAAAAAACAAAAGAACCAAAACAAACAAAACACCCACAGAGGATCCTCCCGCCCCCCAAGCCCAAATAGAACATTGAAGTCAGCGTGAGGTCTCTGCGTTTGGTCTGCTTAGTGGCTTAGTCTGATGAGGCTGTTCTTAGTTCTGTCGTTCAGAACTATGTCTGGGCTAAGAATCCAGGAAGGCGTGGCTTGGTCCACTGCGTCCCTTCGTGGTGATGGGGGCAGAAGACCTGGGCAGCCTGTGTCCCGAGCCCACTCCCCACATCTCAGTGGCTGAGGACAGAGTCCTTGGAGGGTCCTTGCGTATTTCCTGTTGAAAGATTCCACTTCCGATCTGTAGCTTGAAGTGCAGGTCCTCAAGGTAAGCTCGAGGGAAAAGCAGAAACCACCTGTTGATGATGGGCACCCGAGTCATGAGTTACAGTCAGAGCCCCCAACGTTGGCAGGGACGAGGACGGGCCTGGAGACACAGCGTCAGCCTCAGCGCTTCCTCAGCGACGCCCCTGGGAGGGGACGCTGGAAGAACTGGCAGGTCACTAGATTCTCCCACAGAGCTGGTTTCATCATCACCAGGTGATAGGCACGTTAAACCCAGAACTGTTAACTGTTAACTAACTATAACTGTTAAATAATACCAGGCTTGTCTCTGAACAGCAGCGAGAGTGCACTTCCTCTGAGGGGCACACGAGAGTGAGACCCGCACATCCTGTGTTGCTTGACCGTCGGGACTGACCAGGGACAGAGGACACTTAACTGGCCAAATTCCCTCCTTGCCATCAGCCACGGGGCAGTTCCCCAAAGCGCTAAAGCCTGGAGAACGCAAAGCACATCCAGTTACTTAAAAGCAGCCTTTGTTTCCTACAATGAGAGAATAAATCCTTGATGTAGTCCAGTGGCCACCCGGGAGTTCCCAGAAAGACACTGGCCTCGAAGAACTGTTTCTGTCTGTTTGCCTTGAATATGGGACAGACAAGATCAGAGCAGCGATGACGAGAGAATCGCGCACAACACTTAGAGTCTGGGGCCGAGGAATGGCTCTGTTTACTCTTAACTATAAATAAATACACACACAAGTACGCACTTGGCTTTTTCAAAGTAAGACTTAAAAGGACTCAAGAATGTAACAAAGGACAAATATCTTCCCTGTTTTCTAAGAAACCAGCTTCAAGATCTGTCATAGTAACGGATATAAAAGATAAAACTCGCTTTTTATTTTCTCCCAGTGGGCTTGGTAGCTCATACCTGTAATCTGAGCACTTTGGGAGGCCAAGGCAGTGGATCATTTGAGGCCAGGAGTTCAAGACCATCCTGGCCAACATGGCAAAACCCCATCTGTACTAAAAATACAAAAATTAGCTGGGCGTGGTGGCAGGCGCCTGTAGCCTCAGCTACTTGGGAGGCTGAGGCAGGAAAATCATTAGAACCAGGGAGACAGAAGTTGCAGTGAGCCGAGATCCTGTCACTGCACTCCAGCCTGGGTGACAGGGTGAGACTCTGTCCCAAAACAAAACAAAACAACACTAGCTTTGTGTTTTCTGTCGAAGAAAATATTTTGCTCTGAGGGATTCATGAGCCTGAGACATCTCAAACCCATCCACACTGAGCAGCCTGTGTGATGTTAATTAACACTGTTTTTTTTGCTCTTGTCAAACTTCTTTGCAGGAACTGAAGACCCCGGCAGACACATGTCACTTCCCCTCAGAATTGCTGCCCGGCTGAGCTCCCGGAACCCTGGACCTGTCCTCTCTTCCTCTTCACTCAGGCCCAGCCTTGAGGACGAGCTTCTTCTCTTTTGGTTATTCCCAGAGCACGCTTGTTATCACACAAACACCATTTTCAGTTGCTCCATCTCTTCAAAAATAAGACTCTCCTGACAACACAGTACACTGAACAACCCTGAATGTCCTGTGCGGCCACGGCCACTCAGCCCTACCTGGGGAGGCAGGGCCCTGCCAGGGGGTGACCCAGAGTTTCCTGCTCTTGGGTCGTCCAGGAGGCGTCTGAAGAATGTTCTTAGGCTGCTAGTTACACATCAGTCCAAAGCCTCAGGGATGATGAGGATTTTGAAGCTATTCAGGCACCTGAGGCTGGGCTAAGACTCCCACTGTCACCTGTACCTACTTCCCTGTCACCAGGAGGGCCTGGCTCTGTCCCACGCACACCTGGTCTGCACACTCACCTGCAGGCCTGAGCTCCACCCGGGGCTGCTCCACTCCAGCCCGAAAGCCTCCCTAATGAGGGAGGTTGTTCAGTCTCACCTGGGGCTTGGGGGTGACCAGGTGGAAGGTTATTGGGGGCATCTGCGCACCTGGTGAGATGGGTACGTGTTCTCCCTGAGAGCACAGCTCATGAGCAGCCAGGCGATTCAGGAGCAGACCTGTGTCAGATGGGATTTCAGGCCACTCCGGAGAGAAAGTCACCCCTGCCCTCGCCATCATATACACACACTCCCCTCGCCCTGGGCAGCCTCTCAGCTGCTGGTCCAGAGCCCCCAGGGCTGCAGCAGTGACACCTCCTGCAGGGCCAGCCTGAGTTGAGGCAGGATCTGGGGCCTCCCCCAGAGCTCGACCCAGCCCACCCCTGCAGGAGAGGCCCCCGTGGGGCTGGAGCCATGTGAAGGGCCTGCTCCCTGGAGACCTCAGAGTGTCCAGAGGAAACAAAACTACACATAGGACTCCCAGAGGATCCGGCAGTCCCAGCACCGAGCATTATCAAAGGAAACGAGTCAGCACACAGGGACGCCTGCATGCGTGTTCACTGCAGCGCTGCTCGGTTGCTGAAATCCGCCTAAATAGGCGTCAACTGGAGAATGGATAAGGAGCGTGGTGCACACGATGCAGGACCATTCAGCCATCAAGAGAAGGGAATCCTCTCATGCAGCCACATGGATGGAGCTGGAGGTCATGACGTGAAGTGAAATCAGCCAGGCACAGAAAGACAAAGCGCATGTCCTCATACTCACAGGGAGCTAACGTGGCTCTCAGGGAGGTAGAGAGTGGGGTGATGGTTGATACTGACACGAGGCTGGGAGGGCATGTGGGTGGGAGGGGAGCGGATGGAGAGGATGCTTAATGGTACACACACAGGTACAGGGAAAGGCCTCACATTAACTGCTGTCACCGACTCTGCCATGGAACAACTATATTTACTGTATTCTCCAAAATAGCCAAAAGAGAAGATTTGCAGTGTTCCCACCACGTAGGGATGATGAGTGCTCCAGGTGAGGGATGTCCTGAACATTCCCACTTGATCACTACACATTTGATGCGCGTAACAGAATGTCATGGGTGCCCCATAGGTCTATATACCTATCAATGATAAAAAGGAAAAAGTGCCCTGGGACCCAGGCAGCCAATGACTCAGTGCTGGGCCTTGATCACAGCCACCACCTGGAGGGCATTGGCCACAGGGGCCTGATGGGCTTGGCTGATGCAAAGGTTGTGCTCTGGTCCCCAAACCTCCCCCTGAGCAGAGCAGGCCGGCCAGGGTCACCCCACCTCTCACATGAGAAGGAGTTGTTGATATGGAGGCAGCCCCAGGCAGAGGGCAGACACCGCTGGGAGGGCCGGACCCCTGCCCTGAAGTGCAGCCTTTGCAGGGATGAGCGGGACCCTCACAGACAGGCGAACCAGAGCTGCAGGAACAGAGGCCTGGACATCAAGGAGCCAGAACTGGACAACAGGGACTCAGCAGGGGCCCAGGAGACAGAATGGGCAAACAGAAGGAACAAAGGAGGGGAGGAGTCTGCACTAAGGGTGCTGGGGAGAGTTTGGGACAGAGGGAGCCACAAGATCGAAGACTTCCTGGAGGAGGTGGCACCCATCACAGGGAGGCCAGAGGAGCAGAAGGGGCAAAGGACAGACAGGAGGCTGGGAATGGATCCCAAGGGAGTGAGCCACAGGCAGGCCCCAGCACCAGTGAGGTCTGATTGCAGGAGCCACTGCAGGAGTCAGGAGAGAGACGAGGCCCGGCTGAGGCAGGAGGATGCAGGGGAGGGGGTGGGAGGGAGGGAAGAGCCTGGAGGAGGCAGCGTCCACTGGGGACAGTGACCAGGAGGCAGGCCCAGGGAAGGTCCCTCTCATTCATGAGGGTTTCAGGCCAGGAGACCCTACCTCCCTAAGCTCCACATGAAGCTGGGTCTGACACAGCCCCTCCCCTAGCAGGCAGGGGGCAAGGGGACAGCGGGGTCCCTGTCCAGAAGTCACCCAGGCCTACTGCTAGCTGGACTTGAGGCCTCTGTGTCCCCAGCAGGCAGACATGTGCTTGGGTCGGGGTGGAGCCTGCCTGAGCAGATATCCCCAGCCTACTCCATCCTTCTGGGCCTCCCGAGGCCACAGGAGACACGACAGGTACCAAGTCCAGGGATGGGAGGAGTTTGGGACCCAGCACTGCCCCAGGTTGTGGCCCTGAGCAAGACATCAGGGCTCTGAGCCTCAGTGGCCCTCCCTGGGGTCAAGCAACTCTCATCTGCTTGGGCCCAAGTCCCACTGTGGTGCCCACAGCCCTCCAAGGGACAGTGTCTTCCAAGGGACAGTGTCTTCCAAGGGACAGAGGGGCAGGGAATACAGGGTCCACTCCTCTCCCTCCCTTCCTCCTGCCCCACACCCTACCTGGGCGGCCACAGCCGCCCTGTCTCAGGCCCACAGTCCACACAGGACCCCCTTCTCTCATCTGCCCAAGGTGACCAGACCCCAGGAACAGGGTCACCTCTGCCTACTCCTAAGAGCACCTCAGGTCCCCAAGCAGGGCCAGGGTGCACCTGCTCTCCATCCCTGGCACACAGGCCCTGGCCTGCACACACAGGTGGTCCCCAGCTCTGTCCCTTCAGGTTCATTACAGGGGACCCTAATCCTCTAGGCCAGCAGTGGGGGTGTTGCCATGCCCCCAACCCAGCAAGAAATGTGAGACCAGGACAGGCCATCCGGTCCCTGGGTAGAGGGCCTGCCTGGATGGCCTTCCCTCCCGCACCTGCCCCACTGCTGACTCACCTGGAAGGATCCAGAAGCATTGGTGGGAGGGCCTGGGGCCCCCAGGAGTTGGAGGGAAGGGGCCCAAGAGAGTGCCCGGAGTTGTTAGACTTAAGTGCTTAGCGTTTGTGGAGGGGATGGGACAGGGCCCTAACAGGGAGGGGTGGGGGGAACTTCTAGAGGGTACAGGGGCAGCAGGGCCAGGCGGCCCCGTGGGCAGGGACATAAGACTAAATTGCTACAAGTCAAAATGCGACCAGTCAACCCTGGACAAGTCCTTGCTCAAAATGCTGAGTGTTTGTGAGAGAGAGGAGGGGGAATGAGGTCCTATGGGGAGGGGAGGAGGGGGGGACCTTCTAGAGGGCACAGGGCGGGATGGCCGGGCGGCCTCATGTGCAGGGACCTGGCATATAGAAGGCTGCCATGAGTTGCAGGACTGACTAGGGATTAACCCTAGACAGGGCCCGGATGGAACAAGTGACGAGCATCTCTGAGGTCAGAGGTGGGGAGGGCTGCAGGCCTGGGGTCCACTAGGTCCTGGGGCACAGGGGAGGATGGAGGCCCGGGGTCCCTGAGGCCTCTCCTGCAGATGCCGTGGAGTGGCCGGCCCTGTAGACCAAAAGGTGTTGTGGATGGTCATGGAGCGGAGAGGGGTGATGAGATCCCTGGGTGCAAGCAGGTCAGGACAGGGGAGGCGGAGCCAGGTCTGTGCCCACAATGGGGGTTCCTGGAGCCGCTGCTGGGAGCAAGTCCCCCTTACTGAGTCTACCTGCCATGACAGATGGGGATACTGAGGCTCAGAGAGAGGCAGATGTTTGCTGAGGGTCACAGCCATCAGGAAGGGGCAGGAGCCATGGAGGGTACAGGAAGGAAGGAGAGAGGTGGGGAGAGCCTCACGGGAGACCACAAGGACTCTGCTGCCACCATAGCCCAGAGCCAGCCCCTGTCCCAGGAGGACAACTGTGCTATGGGCCAGCCCCAGGGGAGTCTGTGTCCCCCAGGCAGAGCTCCAGAATCTTGGAGCCACCTGGCTGGCCTGAGCCCCAGGTCACAGCCACAGCCAAGGTCATCCCATATCTTCCCTTCACCAGGACTGAGGACCGCGATCCCTGCTGGAGGGGCCCTGGCTGCGGTAGGCTCCCTGGCAGGGGTCTGGACACATCAGACATTCTTCACACACCTGAGGTCCCCGGAGGGAAAG
Organism: Homo sapiens; assembly: GCF_000001405.40. Taxonomy (NCBI): domain Eukaryota; kingdom Metazoa; phylum Chordata; class Mammalia; order Primates; family Hominidae; genus Homo; species Homo sapiens. Next base: position 103,230,945 of record NC_000014.9, read on the forward strand.
ACCAAGCCCCAGACCCGTCCTCTCTCCTGACCTGACCCAGGGGAGGGGCAACCGAGATCCCTGCAGGGAGGGACAGCACAGACCTGGAGCAGACAGGGGAGCTGGGAACTAGCGAGGGGCCCCTGGGCAGGTCCCCCAGGAGGGCCAGAGAGGGGCAGTAATCAGAGGAAGACGGCTGCGATGGAACCAGGCTCAGAGAGAGCACCTGAGAGCAGGCAGCGCCTCTGCCCACCCGGCCCGGGGATGACGGCGCAGGACAGACACCTGGGGGGCTCCAGCTGTGATCCAGATCCAGACCTGGACGGCCCAGGAGGATGGAGGCAGAGCCCGGGCCCACAGATCTGCAGACTCAGGCACCTGCAGGGCAAGTCCTCAGAAGATGAACAGTCCCCTGTCCCAGACACACATTGTCCTGGACACCAAAGCGGGACCCCCAGATACAGGAGTGGACCAGGAAGCGTCCCAGGAACTGCCCTGTGCTCGGGCCCTGGACTGAGACCACAGGGGTCCAGGCGGTGCGAGGTGGGAGAGACTGAGGAGTCCCGGGTCCTTGAGCGAGGAGACGGGCGCCGTGTCAAGAAAACAGCCCCCCAAACCCCTGGCCCTGGCCCAGGCGTGGGAAGCATCCGAGAGTCATCAGGGAGAGTTTCCGACCGCCCAGGATACCAGGATGCAGTTGGCTCAGGTGGGAGCAGACAGGGCTTCTTGCCTCAGCCAGGTGAGGCTCAGGTGGGCCAAAGGAGAGGGCCCAGGAAGTAGGGGGACAGCAGGGGCTCTCCCAACACAGAGCCGCGATCTCACCCCAGCAGGACGCAGGTGCCAGTGCAGGAGGGGTGGGCATCAGGACGTCAGAAAACTCGCCGGGGGCATAGGTCACGGGAGGTCATTCACACAAGCAAGGCACAGAAGATTCTAGTGCAAACCACACCACAGCCAAGCACCCACCCCTGGCAGAGGAACCTCTGGGGTGGAAGAGCTTGTCCCCCACTCCAGCAGGGAGCAGCCCCTCCACTCCCGGGAGCTCCCTGCCTCCAGGTACAGCCCCTGCCACTGCTCCCTGGGCTGCGGTGTGCTCAGCACCTGGCCCTGCCCTCTTGGAGCAGATGGCACCCAGAGCCTATTCAGACACCCCGGGTCCCCTCTCCCTCTACTGGGCTCAGGGCCCAGAGAAGGGAGAAACCAGGGTGCGGATTGAGGGACTCCACCTTGGGCCTGGAGCAAAACAGGACAAAGAGCCCTGGGGTGGCAGAAATGGGCTGGGGAGGAGGCCTCTGGGCCAGGGAGGGGCTCTGCCTCCCACGTGCTGGGTTTTCTGGGAGCCTCCCAGGGCAGGAGGCCAAGGCCTAGGCCTGCTTTAACATTTGAGGGGGGCAGGCTCCTTGGCCTGGGTCTCCGCAGTGCATTTGGGCAGCAAGACCAAGAGTGGCAACCACCAAGGCACCGTCAGGGAGCCCAGCCAGGCTCTGGGGCTTCGCTCCTTATCCCCCTCCCCCGGCCAGGATTAGGCGCTGCCAGGCTCACCTGCCGGCCTGAGTGAGTCCAGCCGAGAGGGCTGGGAGGCCGGAGGGCAGGGCTGGGAGGCAGGAGGCTGGGGTTAGGAGGCTGGAGAGTGGGGCTGGGCAGCAGAAGGGTGGGGCTGGGAGGCAGGAGGGTGGGGCTGGGAGGGTGGCGGGTGGGGCTGGGCAGCAGGAGGGCAGGGCTGGGCAGCAGGAGGGCAGGGCTGGGAAGGCAGCCAGCTCCAGGGCCCCCTGCCTGTGCCAGGCCCAGTGGGAGCAGCAGGGGGATGGGCAGCCCCTCCCATAGGTGCCAGGGCTTGGTGAGGCTGGGGCAGATGGGGACCATCCCGGCACAGGCCATCCCCCAGGCCCCTCCCTTCAGGCGCCTTCACTCCTTCTGAACCTGAAGCCTCCCGCAACACCAGCCTCCTAAAATCTTGCTTCCGGGGGCCACACTCAGAGACTCCATATCCCTCCCCACTGACCGGACCTCAGGTGCTGACCCCTGGGGACCGGGTCCCCCGGATCAGAAGGCACTGAGGCGCGGAGTGTGGCAGGAACCGCTGAGGTTCCCCTACTGTCAGCATCACAGCTGGGCCCCTGGATTGAGCACAGTGGGTGTCCTGGCCCTGTGCCCAGCCTGCCCAGAGCCTCCCCTTTCCTCCTCACCTGCACCCCCTGGAGCAGCAATATCACCACTCACATTACTCAGAGGAGAGGAGCCGAGGCCGAGAGGCTGAGGACCTGTCTCGGGTCTCAAGTTCGGAGCTGGCAGCCAATGCCCCAGCGCCCCCAGCAGCCCGGCCCACTCTCTCCAGACTCCCTGCCCGGTAGAAGAGCACATGGGGCCAGCTCCCCTTTGCGGTTCCAGGAGGCTCCTGTGGTGCATACTTGCTCAAAGTGACCTCACAAGCTCAGTCTGATGCAGTAATCCCACTGCTAGGAAGATAGTGCTTTAGGTAAAATCTTTTGGTTGCCTGTGCTAGACAATCCAACTTTAAAAGGTCTTTGGAGAAAGAAGACATAGTGGGGCATCTTAGTGGTGCGTTTAGATGAACATCCCAGGACAGCTTCAGGTAGGGCTGGATCCAGGGCCCTACCACATTCACCAGATCCCCAGTGCCGTCATTCTAGGGGCTGCTGTGCTGACAAGCTGTCTGTGTGCAGCTCCAGCAAGAGGATGCCTCTGTCATGCAGGCCTCCCTGATCCTGTCTAACCTTCGCTGTGGCTCTTGGGAACCCAAGGTCCTGCCAGGGCAGACTCTTTCCTTTCCCTCAAAGTGTCCTGTGTCCTGGGTGAGGCTGAGGTGCTGCCTTTACTAACAGGCTCTCAGGGACGTGGATGTCTCTGATCCTGAAGTAACAAGGCTCTGCCACCCCCAGGGGCCTGTGACCCAGGCCTGGCCATGTTAAATGTTTGTCTAATCATGGAATGGAACTGATGTCTCAGGTGAACTGAAGGATGATATAAAATGACGGGAATCTCTTTTTCCTTCCAGGATAACTGATGCTTTCAGTAGGAGGTCCTCTCCCTACTCTCTTTTTCTCTATACATTCTGTTGGGAACAGGCCCCCCAAAATCTGGCCATAAACTGGCCCCAAAACTCTCCATAAACAAAATCTCTGCAGCACTGTGACAGGTTCATGATGGCCATGACGCCCACGCTGGAAGGTTGTGGGTTTACTGGAATGAGGGCAAGGAACACCTGGCCCACCCAGGGCGGAAAACCGCTCAAAGGCCTTCTTAAACCACAAGCAATAGCATGAGTGATCTGTGCCTTAAGGACATGCTCCTGCTGCAGATAACTAGCCCAACCCATCCCTTTATTTGGGCCCATCCCTTCATTTCCCATAAGGGATACTTTTAGTTAATCTAACATCTGTAGAAACAATGCTAATGACTGGCTTGCTGTTGATAAATACGTGGGTAAATCTCTGTTCGAGGCTCTCAGCTCTGAAGGCTGTGAGACCCCTGATTTCCCACTTCACACCTCTATATTTCTGTGTGTGTGTCTTTAATTCCTCTAGCGCTGCTGGGTTAGGGTGTCCCTGACCGAGCTGGTCTCGGCAAGTGGCGTCCATTCGTGGGGGCTCGAATCCAGGTCAAAGGGTCGCCGGAGCGATGGTTGGAGAACGTGGAACTAAGCTGGAGGACACCAAGTACTCTTAAAGCAGTCCCCGTGGTGAGTAAGAAGGGGAGCTCAGAAGCATCAGGGTAACAATGGGGCAGGTGTGGGGTGTGGTTCGTTCCACTGTGGAACTTCTTCACACTGGTAATGAGGAGGAAGGAGAGTATAATGAAGTAACAGAAGAGTTTACAGAGTAGGTTTATTTGCCAGCTAAAGCTAAAGCGGCAAAGGAGGGAGAGGTTCATCCCTACCCTTCTGCACCCCCTCCTTATTATTTTGAAGAAAAAGACCCTCCAGATCTTTCTTTTCCAGAGGACACTGGGCGAAAAGTAGTTGCCCCAGTGACAGTTTGAGCAGCGCCTCGAGCGACCGCTCTTAGTTCTATTCAGGCAGGAATTCAGCAAGCTAGATGAGAGGGTGATTTAGAGGCTTGGCAGTTCCGTTACAATACACCCCCGGATCAACAGGGAAATATTATAGCTACATTTGAGCCTTTTCCTTTTAAATTACTCAAAGATTTTAAACAAGCTATAAATCAGTATGGACCAGGTTCTCCTTTTGTAATGGGACTGTTAAAGAATGTTGCTGTTTCCAGTCAGATGATTCCTACTGACTGGGACGCTCTTACTCGAGCTTGTCTGACTCCTGCTCAGTTCTTACAGTTTAAAACTTGGTGGGCAGATGAAGCTTCCATTCAGGCTGCTCACAATGCCCAGGCCCAACCTCGAATTAATATAACTGCAGACCAGCTTTTGGGGGTTGGCGGCTGGGCTGGTTTAGATGCCCAAGTGGTCAGGCAGGATGATGCCATAGAACAGCTTAGGGGAGTGTGCATTAGAGCTGGGGGAAAAAATCACTTCAAGCGGAGAACAATACCCTTCCTTTAGTGCAGTAAAACAGGGACCCAAAGAACCATATGTTGATTTTATAGCTCGGTTACAGGAGTCTCTTAAAAAGGTGACTGCAGATTCGGCTGCTCAGGAGATAGTGCTGCAGTTATTAGCTTTTGACAATGCTAATCCCGATTGCCAGGCTGCTCTGCGACCTATTAGAGGGAAAGCACATTTAGTTGATTATATCAAGGCCTGTGATGCTATCAGAGGTAATCTGCATAAAGCTACTTTGTTGGCACAGGCAATGGCAGGATTGAGAGTGGAGAAAGGAAATGCTCCATTTCCTGGAGCTTGTTTTAACTGTGGGAAGCATGTTCTGTTGGGTCATACTAAAAAATAGTGTAGAAAAAAGTCAGCGAGTCAGGCTGCCAGATAGGGAAGAAAGAAAACTGCTGAGCCTGAAATACGTCCAAAATATAAAAAAGGAAAACACTGGGCTAATCGGTGTCACTCTAAGTTTGATAAAGATAGGAACCCGATTTTGGGAAACACCATGAGGGGCCTGTCCCGGGCCCCATTCCAAACCGGGGCATTTCCAGCTCAGGCCATTCCCTCAACCCTGTACAATGTCTGTCCCCCGCCACAGCCGGTAGTGCCGCAGTAGATTTATGCTGCACAAAAGCTGTGAGGCTTCTGCCTGGGGAACCCCCGCAAAAGGTCCCAACAGGAGTCTGTGGACCCTTGCCAGCGGGGACAATAGGATTAGTTTTAGGAAGGTCTAGTTTAAGTTTAAAAGGGGACAAATACATACAGGAGTCATTGATTCAGGTTACGATGGGGAAATTCAAACTGTTATATCTACTTCTGTTCCCTGGAAACCAGAGCCAGGAGAGCGCATAGCACGGCTCCTGATCGTGCCATATGTGGGAATGGGAAAAAGTGAAATTAAATAAACAGGAGGATTTGGAAGCACAAATAAACAAGGCAAAGCAGCTTATTGGGTGAATCAAATTACTGATAAACATCCTACCTGTGAAATAACTATTCAGGGAAAGAAATTTAAAGGTTTGATAGATACATGAGCGGATGTTTCCATCATTTATCTACAGCACTGGCCGTCGACGTGGCCAATTCAACCTGCTCAATTTAACATAGTTGGAGTTGGTGAATCCCCCGAAGTATTTCAAAGTAGTTATATTTTGCACTGTGAAGGGCCCAATGGACAGCCTGGCACTATTCAACCAATTATAACTTCTGTACCTGTAAATATATGGGGGAGAGATTTATTACAACAGTGGGGAGCACAAGTTCTAATTCCAGAACAATTATATAGCCCTCAGAATCAACATATGATGCGTGAAATGGGGCATGTCCCTGGTATGGGACTAGAACAAAAAATTTGCAAGGTTTGAAAAAACCGCTTCAAGCAGAAAGACAAAGTTCCTGCCAAAGATTGGGATGTCATTTTTGATGGTGGCCGTTGTTAAGCCTCCAGAACCTATACCTTTAAAACGGTTAACAGATAAGCCAATTTGGATAGAACAATGGCCGCTAAGTAAAGAGAAGCTGGAGGCTTTAGAGAAATTAGTTACTGAACAGTTAGAAAATGGGCACATAGCTCCAACATTTTCCTCTTGGAATTCTCCAGTTTTCATAAAAATAAAAAGTCAGGTAAATGGGGAATGTTAACTGACTTAAGAGCCATCAGTTCAGTTATACAACCTATGGGAGCATTGCAGCCTGGCTTGCCTTCTCCTGCTATAATTCCAAAAAACTGGCCTTTAATAGTTATAGATTTAAAATACTGTTTCTTTACTATCCCTTTAGCTGAGCAAGGCTGTGAATGGTTTGCATTTACAATTCCTACGGTAAACAACCTGCAGCCTGCTAAGAGTTTTCATTGTTTTAGAGATGGGTCTAGTAATGGTAAAGCTTCTTATTCTGGATCAAAAAGTAAAGTTTTCCAGACGTCCTATACTTCAGCTCAAAAAGCGGAGCTTGTAGCTGTAATTGAGGTGTTGACTGCTTTCGATATGCCTATTAATGTGGTTTCTGATTCTTCATACTTGGTTCATTCCACACAGTTAACTAAAAATGCTCAGTTACTATATCATACAGATAAACAACTGATGACAAAGACAAAAAAGGAGGAGAAACAGGGATTATGGGACAGCCCATACACAATTGAACCTAGCATTATTAACTTTAAATTTTTTGAGCCTGCCCAAAGGCCAGATGTTATCAGCAGCTGAACAGCATCTACAGAAACCAGCTGCAAAGACAGAAGCAGAACAACTGGTTTGGTGGAGAGATCCAATAACAAAAAGTTGGAAAATAGGTAAAATAATAACTTGGGGTAGAGGTTGTGCTTGTGTTTCTCCAGGACCGAATCAACAGCCGATTTGGATACCATCAAGACACCTGAAACCTTATCATGAGCCAGATGATGAGGAAGAGATTCTGGGAGGATCCCGAGGACCCCCTGGTTGCAGCCATGTTGAGGCTGACGCTGAGGAGGACCCCAACTGTCACAAGCAACACCTGCTGAACACAGCCACCCACCTGGGGACAGACCAAGAAGCTGTCACAGATGGCAGAAGAAAACCTGAGGAAAGTGGGACAACCAGTAACAATGAGTAATTTAATGGTAGCTATGATAGCGATGATCACCATTGCCATGAGTATTCCTTCAATAAGGGCTGACACAGAGAACAATTATACTTATTGGGCATATTTATCAATCTTGGCTGGCAATAATGCCTGAACGTAATCACTCTATGACGCAGTTACACATGCTTTCTGATCTTGGTATTTACCATAATAAATCTGCTCCTATAATTGAGGCATACCGTCCTCAAAAACCTATTTGTAAACAAAATAGAACCTGGCCAGAAATAATGAACATACTTGTTTAGGAAGACCGCATTGCAGAACAGGCAGAGGTGCTGCGCAGAGATTCCTATGGAATCATTATGGACTGGTCCCCTAAGGGCATGTTTAGCTTAAATCGCACCTCTCAGTCTGCGTGCCACAACCACACTATGTTCAGCTGATCTGAACAAAATGATCAGATGGCAGAAATGATAAAACATATGACAAGAGTTCCTATTATCTGGAACCATGGCAGTATAGTGGCACCTCAACCTCAAATGATATGGCTCGTTGTAGGAGCTAAACATAAGGATTTGTGGAAACTATTAATAGCTCTTAATAAGATCGAAATTTGGGAAAGAATAAAAAAGCATCGAGAAGGACACCCTACAAACTTGTTTTTGGATATTGCAAAATTAAAAGAACAAATATTTAAAGCATCCCAGGCACACCTGACGTTAATGCCAGGAACTGGAGTGCTTGAAGGAGCTGCAGACAGATGAAAAGCTAGTAACCCATTCAAATGGATAAAAACACTTGGAAGCTCTGTGATTTCAATGATGATTATGCTTTTAATCTGTGTTGTTTGTCTTTGTATAGTCTGCAGACGCGGATCCTGACTCCCGCGAGAAGTAGCTCACCGTGACAAAGCTGCCTTTGCTTTTATCACTTTGCAAATCAAAGAAGGGGGACATGTTGGGAACAGACACCCCCCTCCCAAAATCTGGCCATAAACTGGCCCAAAACTCTCCATAAACAAAATCTCTGCAGCACTGTGACATGTTCATGATGGCCATGACGCCCCCGCTGGAAGGTTGTGGTTTTACTGGAATGAGGGCAAGGAACACCTGGCCCACCCAGGGCAGAAAACCACTCAAAGGCGTTCTTAAACCACAAACAATAGCATGAGTGATCTGTGCCTTAAGGACATGCTCCTGCTGCAGATAACTAGCCCAACCCATCCCTTTATTTGGGCCCATCCCTTCGTTTCCCATAAGGGATACTTTTAATTAATCTAACATCTATAGAAACAATGCTAATGACTGGCTTGCTGTTAATAGATACGTGGGTAAATCTCTGTTCAAGGCTCTCAGCTCTGAAGGCTGTGAGACCCCTGATTTCCCACTTCACACCTCTATATTTCTGTGTGTGTGTCTTTAATTCCTCTAGCGCTGCTGGGTTAGGGTCTCCCCAGCTGAGCTGGTCTCGGCACATTCAGTGTGTTTACAGAGTGAAATGATACCCATAACTGACATTACTTTTCTCGTGGCTACAGATGGTATTTTCCCTGGAAATCTTCCTCCAGCTTTGGGAGTGGTCTCAAGTGTGGGGGCATCAGAATTGCTTGGGGTGCCTGGGAAAACACAGATCCAGGCTGTAGATTGTATTAGCTCATGGATGATTTGATTCACCACAAGGTCTGAGAAGCATTTGCTCTACAATGTTATTTTTTAAATTATTTCACTATAATTGTTGATTTTTGTTTTTGTTGTTTGAGACAGGGTCTCACTGTCACCCAGGCTGGAGTGCAGTGGTGCAGTCATGGCTCGCTTCTGCCTTGAACCTCTGGGCTCAAGGGATCCTCCTCTCTCAGCCTCCCAAGTACCTGGGACTACAGGTCTGTATCACCACACCTGGCTGAGTTTTTTAGTTTTGTAGAGATGGGGTTTAACTATGTTGCCCAGGCTGTTCTCGAACACCTAGGGTCAAGCAATCCCCCTGCCTCGGCCTTCCAAAGTGCTGGGATTATAGGCATGAGCCGCTGTGCGTGGCAGATAGTTTGATTTTTCATTTGCCATTGAAGTCATTTTACCTCATGGTTTTGAAATAATTTTTGGTCGTCTTAGCAGTTTAAAAATATTCTTTTGTTTTTTCTCCTGAGTTTGGAGCATTCCTGTTACTAATTGCTTTTTTTTTTTTTTTTTTTTGACAGGTGTACACTACCACATCCAGCTAATTTTTGTACTTTTTTATTTATTTATTTTTGGTAGAGATAGGGTCTTGCTATGGTACCCAGGCTGGTCTTCAACTCCTGGGCTCAAGCAGTCCTCCTGCATCAGCCTCCCAAAGTGCTGGAATTACAGGCACAAGGCAGCACGCCCAGCCCTAATTACTTTTATTAGGCCAAATTCCTTGTGTGGAATTCCTGTGCTTTGCACACAAATTGTCAGGTTGGCCCCAGAAAGGTGGATCCCATTTTCCTCTTTCTGTGCCTATGTGGGTGACCAATCTTCCGAATCCTACAGGAGCTGTGGTTGATCTCTGTCCTCTATTGGCTGAGATAAAGTCCACCATGGATTTCTGCTTCTTTGATTCATTGTCAGTCCACACATAGGGACAAGTTACTGTGCCCTCATTAGAAAGCCATTTGCTAAGTGGGAACTCCGGGGAGGCCAGGCCTGAAGGAGAGTTTGCCGTCAGTCATTTCGATCAGGGATCAGGGCAGAGACCACTGTCATGGGTAGAGCTGTCCCGCCATTCCCCAGGAGGAAGGCAGGGCTGATGGCAGGGGTGGGGTGGGCAGTGGTGCTTAAAAAGAGGAGAGGCCCCAGGGGTGGGCAGTCTCTTTGCTATAGATTTCCTTGCTGTCAGCCCCAAGCACTTAGCAATTCTTGCTGTCGGATTCTCATTTGCTCTCATCTGTGCTACAGGAAATCAGTGTCTTGAGCCAGATGGGGTGGCCTGAGCCTCGGGCCCCTCACAGCATCCAAGGGCAAAGTCTCAGCAGAGCCATTGCCTAAAGATGTTAAGATTATTAAATGAAAGCACAACATGCCTGCAGAAACGTATACGAATCATCAACCTACAGCTGGAAACATTTTTACAAAGCAAGCCCACCCACGGAATCAACACCTGTGACACCGCTTCCCACCCCTTCCCAACTTCCCCCACCAAGGTAACGGCTGTGTTTCACGTCTTCTAACTCCATGAATCGGTTTTACCCATTCTTGAACTTTATTGCATCAACATAAAGGAAGAAACTGAGGCAAAATTAACATAAATAGAGAGTTTATTTGGGCCACGTTTGAGGACTGAAGCCCAGGAGACATAGACTCAAGTTACCCTGGCGATAAGCTCCAACAAGCAGCAGATGCAAATGGATTTTTAAAGGAAAATTGAAGGAGCAGTTTGGTCGTTTACCAGGAATGTACATTGGTTCTTTAAAATGGCATCAGTGCCTTTTGGCCAGAACCGCCATCTTCCAGGAATTCGCCAAAATGATGAATGCAAAGGGAAAGAGGAGAGGCACCCGGTACATGTTCTCCAGGCGTTTTGGAAAACATGGAGTTGTTCCTCTGGCCACGTATATGTGAATCTATAAGAAAGGTGACACTGTAGACATCAAGAGAATGGGAACTGTTCAAAAAGGAAGCCCCGCAAGTGTCACCATGGCAAAGCTGGAAGAGTCTACAGTGTTCCCCAGCATGCTGTTGGCATTGCTGTAGACAAACAAGTTAAGGGCAAGATTCCTGCCAAGAGAATTAATGAGCGTATTGAGCACATTAAGCCCTCTATGAGCCGAGATAGCTTCCTGAAACGCGTGAAGGAAAATGATCAGAAAGAGACAGAAGCCACAGAGAAAGGTACCTGGATTCAACTAAGCTCCAGGCTGCTCCACCCAGAGAAGCACACTTTGTGAGAACCAACGGGAAGGAGCCTGAACTGCTGGAACCTATTCCCTATGGATTCATGGCATAATAGGTGTTAATAAAATAAAAGACCTCTGGACTATAAAAATGTTTCTCTTCATTGAGAAGTGTGGTGCCCCCTCCCCCAAAGAACTATTTAAAGTAAATTTTAGTTGTGTCCTAATTCATTATGTAATGTCTTCACCATTCAAACGTAATGCATTTCCTGCTGAAAGACGTGAGGTAGCTTACTGTGCAACAAATTACTCAATGAGTTAGAAAATGGCCAGGTATTATGTATGAAATATTTGTACTGGTTTGAAGATAGTCCCTCTAAATCATCAAGGAAGAAATAAAATAATTTACAACAAAAAGCTTCAGTTATTGATTGGCTGAACGTTGTTGTTTGTATCACACATTTCAGAAACATGAAGATAATGGGCGAGGACTAAGCTCTGATTTTTTATCTTGCCCAAATTCCTTTCTAAGGGGTCTGGGGAGTCATGCGCTACAAAGCAGAAATTCTCATCAGATGGGTTTTATTTAACTCTGTATATCGTGACTTACTTTCCAACCTGACTCTGGCATAACAACGAAAAAAAATCAAAATATTTTACCCCAAAATACATTTCCTTGCCATACTTTGAAATTGTCCTGCAAAGTCTCTTGTGGGAAAAATCCAGATTCTATTGGAATCCCCTTTCCCCTTTGTTTTCCTTCCTTTCTTTTCAGATCCAGGAGATAATCAACTAGAGCCAGGTACACTTTTAGGTCTGATAAGAAACATTTTACAACCTGCTCTCTCTGAAGTCTGCTATCTGAGAACTTCCTCTGCACAGTAAAACTTGGTCTCCACAATCCTTCATCTTAACCTGAACATTTCCTTTCCGTTAATCCCAGGTCTTCAGATAAACTCAACCAATTGTAAACCAGAAAATGTTTAAACTTACCTACAGCCTGGAAGCTCCCGCTTTGAGAGTTGTCCCAGTTTTCTGAACCAAACCGTTGTATTTCTTTCTTTCTTTTTTTTTTTTTTCGTTTTAAGGAGTGGAGAGTTTAATAGGCAAGAAGGGGCAAGAAGGATGGGAGAAGGAAGAAGCTCCCCTGTACAGAAACAGAGGGATGGGGGGCTCCAAAGCCAAGAGAGGGAACCTCCAAACCCATATATTTCATATATATATATATATATTTTTTTTTTTTTTTTGAGATGGGGTCTCACAATGTCACCCAGGCTGGAGTGCAATGGCATGATCTCGGCTCACTGTAACCTCCGCCTCCTGGGTTCAAGCAATTCTCCTGCCTCAGCCTCCCGAGTAGCTGAAATTACAGGCACCCACCACCACGCCCAGCTAATTTTTTGTATTTTTAGTAGAGATGGTTTCACTATGTTGGTCAGGCTGATCTTGAACTCCTGACCTTGTGATCCACCCGCCTCAGCCTCCCAAAGTGCTGGGATTACAGGCATGAGCCACTGTGCCAGTCCCTCTTAAATATATTTGATTGATGTCTAATGTCTCCCTAAAAATATATAAAACCAAGCTATATGTGCCCCGACCACCTTGTGCACATGTTCTCAGGACCTCCTGAGGGCTATGCTATGGGCCATGGTCACTCATATTTGGCTTAGAATAAACCCTGTAACATATTTCACAGAATTTGACTCTTTTCATTGACATGGATAAGGATCACATTGTACAATTTGTGGTAACTTTTAGGAAGTCTAGACAGTCAGCTAGCCTGGAAACTACAGGGAAGGAAAGAAAAAGCCTTTGAACAGTGAACCCTAGGCACAGCTGCTGGCATCATTGTTCTCTGGGCCTGATAAGTTTGCAGGTCTCACATTCCTCAGGCTGCTCTGAGCCACTTCTCTTTCTTATTTCCTCCTTTGGATCAAGATCTTGCTCTCTGAAAGTATTGATGATCAATATTTTATTTTATTTTATTTATTTTTTGGAAACAAATGCTCGGTGCCTCAAAGAAGAACCAGCACTGAGACTAAGGATCTCTCAGCAAGGCAAATTTACTTCGGCAGAAGGGTATGTGCATCTCACATGTGAAGTAATGGCAAAAGCACACAGAACAAAGGAAAGCAGGGGTTTTTATTATGTCTAACACAGCTTCTGCTTCTGTGTCTTTCCCCTATTGGCTAGGGTTGGACCACACAGTCTAAACTAGTCCCAGTTGGCTAAACATTTAAACTTTCTTAGATAAGGTAGGCACGTAAGGGAGGTGAGAAGGGAGAGAAGGGGGGTCATTTACGGAGGGACTAGGAGGGTAACCTATTCCCTAATAAGGAAAGAAATGTGGACTGGGGTTGTAGCAAGTTCAGGCATGCCTAGGCATATTCAGACAAGCTGCGGTGCAGCACAGGCAAGGGGGTATTTGGAATTGTAGGATAGAGAATGAGGAAACTGGATAAGCTGTTTGAAGAGGAAACCTAACTGCATCTAACATTTTATTTATTTATTGAGACAGAGTCTCACTCTGTTGCCCAGGCTTGAGTGCAGTGGTGTGATCTTTGCTCACTGCAACCTGTTTCCAGGGTGCAAGCAATTCTAATGTCTCAGCCTCCGGAGCAGCTAGGACTACAGGCATATGCCACCATGCCTGACTAATTTTTGTATTTTTGGTAGAGATAGGGTTTCAACATGTTGCCTAGGCTGGCCTTGAACTAACTCCTGGCCTCAAGTGATCCACCCTCCTTGGCCTCCCAACATGCTGGGATTATAGGCGTGAGCCCCTGCACCTAGCTGATCAACATTTTAAGTGTAAATTTGCCCAGCATCACTGGGAAGGCTCATTCCCATGGGGGGGGGGGGGGTAAGAGGAGAGGTGCTCTGGCTCATGAACTCGGTGAGGTCTCCAGGCAGAAGATATTGGCAGCACAACGGGACAGAGCAGCGGGATCCCAGGCCGCCTGCTTGGAGAGAAGCTGTGGTGTCGCGGATCATTCCTAAGTGTTCTAGCTATCATGATTTTCGTTTTTATTCTTGACTTTAGACATCTAGAAATACAAAGCCTAATCAAGTGAAGAATAAAAAATATGATGCAAATAAAATCCCAATCTGGAAAGCATTCCTATTCCTAAAGGTAATCAATCATGTAAATCACGTGAGGGGTCTGTTTTTCTACCATCTTGCAGCCATTTTGCCTTTTTTTTTTTTTTTTTTTTTTGAGACAGAGCATCACTCTGTTGCTCAGGCTGGAGTGCACTGGCGTGATCTCAGCTCACTGCAACCTCTGCCTCCTGGGCTCTAGTGATACTCCTGCCTCAGCCTCCCAAGTTGCTGGGATTACAGATGTGTACCACCATACTTGGCAAATTTTTTTTATTTTTTATTTTTTTTTATTTTTAGTAGAGATGGTGTTTCGCCATTTTGGCCAGGCTGGTCTCGAACACCTGACCTCAAGGGATCCACCAGCCTTGGCCTCCCAAAGTGCTGGGATTACAGGTGTGAGCCACCGCACCCAGCCCATTTAACTTTTTGAGTGATTTCTAATTAATTTCCCACTTCTCGTCCTGGTCTGAAGAATAAGGTAACTGGCTGCAGATCAGCTTCAGCTGGGGATCTCCAGGTGGAAGGTACCCATGCATGCAGGACTGCCTTTTTATTTATTTTTTTTAATTTTACGTTAAGTTCTGGGATACACATGCAGAACGTGCAGGTTTGTCGCATAGTATACATGTGCCGTGGTGGTTTGCTGCACCTATCAACCCAGCATCTAGGTTTTAAGCCCCACATGTATTAGGTATTTGTCCTAGTGCTCTCCCTCCCCTTGCCCTTTACCCCCTAACAGGGCCACGGTGTGTGTTTTTCCCCTCCCTGTGTCCTTGTGTTCTTATTGTTCAGCTCCCACTTATGAGTGAGAACATGCGGTGTTTGGTTTTCTGTTCCTGTGTTAGTTTGCTGAGAATGATGCCTTCCAGCTTCATCCATGTCCCTGCAAAGGACATGACCTCATTCTTTTTTATGGCTGCGAGGACTGCCTTTTTAAAATGAGAAATGTGAATGCATGAGTCAGTGCCTTTGAGTTTAGCTGCACAAGGAATTGGTAAACAATCCCCAACATGGGCCCTTCTGGTGAGCTGGAGGGAGTCCCTTATTTGATAGAAAGAGTCCTTGATTTGATGTCTTTTCCAAGAATCAAAACCTCCTAGTTGCAGGCCATGACCTCTGATGTCTTCGTCTCCTGGGTGCTGACTCTTCAAAGAATCTTTAATTTAGAGTTTTTAGTGAGAAGCTGTATAAGGCCTTGCAATCATGAAGAATGTCACCTTTAGGGTGAGCTGGTTCACTGGGCTCCTTCCTCCAGGCACATGGGGCTTCCTGCAGTTATTTCAAAGGGAGAAAGCTGAGGTTTTCCAAACAGGTAGAAGGTAATTTAAGCAATACCAATGGAAGAGCCTTAGGCAAGACAAGGTTCAAAGTTTCTGTAAACTTTGCCATTTGTTCTTGTATCCATTGTGGCAGGAAAATAAGGTCTGGAGGCAGGGAACATAAGGCCAATTCACACTTCAGCTATAACAGGAAATATCCTCTCCATATGGCATCACTTTACGTCATCCTCTTCATTTACACAGGGTGTACCCCAAGTAGAGGGTATTTAAACTCACATAAACTCACAAAAACTCTGTAACAGGGCCTTTGAGCCCCTATGCTCAGGCCCACTACCACACTGTGGAGTGTACTTTCATTTTCAATAAAACCCTTCATTCGGCTGGGTGCAGTGGCTCACGCCTGTAATCCTAGCACTTTGGGAGACGAGGCAGGTGGATCACCTAAGGTCAGGAGTTCGAGACCAGCCTGGTCACCATGGGGAAACCCCATCTCTACTAAAAATACAAAAATTAGCTGGGCGTGGTGGCGGATGCCTGTAGTCCCAGCTACTCGGGAGGCTGCGCACGACAATCGCTTGAACCCGGGCGGCAGAGGTTGGCAGTGAGCCGAGTTTGCACCACTGCACTCCAGCCTGGGCGACAGAGCAAGACTCCGTCCCAAGAAAAACAAAGTAAGACAAAGCCCTTCATTCTTTCCTTGCTTTGTTTGTGCGTTTTGTCCACTTCTTTGTTCAAGACACCGAGGACCTGGACACCCTCCACTCTTAACACCGTCTATGTGTTCCGCCAGGCCAGAGGCTGAGGGTGGCATGCATAGTGCAGTGGTGAAAAATCGCCGTATGTCACAAATAGACCGAATTGTCTGACAGGTGAAATGGGTTCCTCGGTTGCTGTGCAACTTGGAGGACTCCCCAAGAAGGAATAATTTTCTCTAGCGAAAATTTACCTACTGTTCAGGCCATGGCTCTACGGCATGGCAATGCTTCAACCCAATGAGAAAACATGGAAATCATGACCAGGATGTACTTGTATCCTTGAGATAAAGGCAGTTGGACAAAATTCAGTTGCCATTTTATCTCAAAAGGTCCTGATGGGAAATGTCTCAGGGAAATGTCCTTGAGGAACGTGGAGTGCTTTTCAGAATTGTGTTGGGACAAGCAGGATGGGGGGAGTACACTTTTTTTTTTTTCTGAGATGGCGTTTCGCTCTTGTTGCCCAGGCAACAAGTCTTGTTTTGTTTTGTTTTGTTTTTGAGACAGAGTCTTGCTCTGTCACCCAGGCTGCAGTGCAATGGCGCAATCTTGGCTCACTGCAACCTCTCCCTCCCGGGTCCAAGCTATTCTCCTGCCCTCAGCCTCCCAAGTAGCTGGGATTACAGGCGCCTGCCACCATGCCTGGCTAATTTTGTATTTTTTTAGTAGAGATGGGGTTTCACCATGTTGGTCAATGTGGTCTCGAACTCCTGACTTCAAGT